>NC_000008.11:21072223-21375254 GCF_000001405.40 Homo sapiens | reverse complement strand
AACCTATAAGATTAACAGCAGACTTCTCAGCAGAAACCCTACAAGCTAGAAAGGATTGGGGCCCTATCTTCAGCTTCCTCAAAGAAAACAATTATCAGCCAAGAATTTCGTATCCAGCAAAACTAAGCATCATATATGAAGGAAAGATACGGTCTTTTTCAGACAAACAAATGCTGAGAGAATTCACCACTACCCAGCCACCACTGCAAGAACTGCTAAAATGAGCTCTAAATTTTGAAACAATTCCTGGAAACACATCAAAATACAGCTTCTTTAAGGCATAAATCACATAGGACTTATAAAACTAACATAGAATTTAAAAAACAAAAACAACAACAAAAAAAACAAGGTACACAGGCAATAAATAGCATGATGAATGCAATAGTACCTCACATCTCAATACTAACATTGAATGTAAATGGCCTAAATGTCCCACTTAAAAGATGTGGAACTGCAGAATGGATAAGAACTCACCAACAAATTATCTGCTGCCTTCAGGAGACTCACCTAACACATAAGGGCTCATGTAAACTTAAAGGATTGGAAAAAGGCATTTCATGCAAATGGACACCAAAAGTGAAGAGGAGTAGCTATTCTTATATCAGACAAAACAAAATTTAAAGCAACGGCAGTTAAAAGAGACAAAGAGGAACATTATGTAATGGTAAAAGGCCCTGTCCAAAAGAAGAATATTACTATCCTAAACATATGCGCCTAATGCTGGATCTCCCAAATTTATAAAACAATTACTAATAGATCTAAGAAATGAGACAGACAGCAACACAATAATAGTGGGGGACTTTAGTACTCCTCTGATAGTACTAGACAGGCCATCAAGACAAAAAGTCAACAAAGAAACAATGGATTTAAACTATACCTTGGAACAAATGGACTTAACAGATATATACAGAACATTTCACCCAACAACCACACAATATACATTCTATGCAATAGCACATGAAACTTTCTCCAGGATAGACCATATGATAGGCTATAAAACAAGCCTCAATATATTTAAGAAAACTGAAATTATATCAAGCACTCTCTCAGACCACAGCGGAATAAAACTAGAAATCAACTCCAAAAGGAATGTTCAAAACCATGTAAATACACGGAAATTAAATAACCTGCATCTGAATGAGCATTGGGTCAAAAACAAAATCAAGATGGAAATTTAAAAATTCTTCGAATTGAATGACAATAATGTCACAACCTGTCAAAACCTCTCGGATACAGCAAAGGTGGTGTGAAGAGGAAAATTCATAGCCCTAAATGCCTACATAAAAAAGACTGAAAGAGTACAATCTGACATTCTAAGGTCGTACCTCAAGGAACTAGAGAAACAAGAACAAACCAAATCCAAACCCAGCAGAAGAAAGGAAATAACCAAGATCAGAGCAGAACTAAATGAAATTGAAACAAAAATAATACAAAAGATAAATGAAACAAAATCTGGTTCTTTGAAAAGATAAATAAAACTGATAGACCATTGACAATATTAACCAAGAAGAGAGAAAATCCAAATGACCTCATTAAGCAACTAAAAGAGAGATATTACAACTGACACCACTGAAATACAAAATATCATTCAAGGCTACTATGAACATCTTTAGGCACATAAACTAGAACATCTAGAAGAGATGGATAAATTCATGGAAAAATACAACTCTCCTAGCTTAAATCAGGAAGAATTAGATACCCTGAAGAGACCAATAATAGGCAGCAAGATTGAAATGGTAATTAAAAAATTATCAACAAAAAAAGTCCAGGACCAGACGGATTCACAGCAGAATTCTACCAGCCATTCAAAGAATTGTTACCAATCCTTTTGACACTATTCCACAGGACAAAGACAGAGGGAATCCTCCTTAATTCATTCTATGAAGCCAGTATCACCCTAATACCAAAACCAGGAAAGGATATAACTAAAAAAGAAAACTACAGACCGATATCCCTGATGAACATAGACGCTGAAAACCTTAACAAAATACTAGCTAACCAAATCCAACAACATATCAAAAAGATAATCCACCATGATCAAGTGGGTTTCATACCAGAGATGCAGGGATGGTTTAACATACACAAGTCAATAAAGATGATACACCACATAAACAGAATGATACAATGGACTTCGGGGACTTGAGGGGAAGAGTGGGAGGGGTTGAGGGGTAAAAGACTACAAATAGGGTGCAGTGTATAATGCTTGGGTGATGGGTGCACCAAAATTTCACAAATCACCACTAAAGAACTTTCTCATGTAACCAAATGCCACCTGTACCTCAGTAACCTATGGAAAAAAAAAAAAGTGAATTCTCTTGGGACCTGGGAGCTCTGAGAGAAAGCAGACAGGCACAAAAGAGTACATATTGTGTGATTCCGTCTACATGAAGTTCAAGAACAGAATGCAACTGATCTGTAGAAGTAGAAATCAGGCATAGGTCATGAGGACTGGTTGGAAGAGGACAGGAGGCAACCTTCCTGGGTAACAGAAATGTTCTTTACTTAATTTGGTTGTTATTTACATAGGTGTGTACGCATTTGCCAAAACTCATCCATTATATAGTGAAGGTCTATGCATTTCATTGCATGCATATTTCTCAATAGAAATGACTCAATATCAAGTAAGAATCATCCATAAATTATCAAAAGCCCTTCAACTATTGTTGTATGATGTTACCTTAATGCTGCAAGTCACTTTTCACTAGTTATTGCATGAAGCTTATGCCAAGAAAGAAGATGCCCCCAGCATAGAGCCTGAGCCTTGCCTGGCATTGAACAGCTTGGGGAACACACGTAGAGCAATAATATGTTTTCTGAAACAGCCTGTTTCTTCACACAAAGAAACGTGAAGATCTAAGTTAAAAACCAAAAAACCCTACATGAAAAATGCTCCAATGCAAAACAATGTTCCTAATCAATGATGCCTGTACCGGAAGTTTGGATATTTGTCAGATGGCAGAAATTATTGTAAGTTCTGAAAAAAGACGATTTAACCTGGTGTCACAAATTTACACAGTGGTCTTGGTGGTCTTCTAAGTGCTAAGATGTATTATGCTACACGTTTTCATGCTTGTGCTGTTCTGTACTGTGCTTTAAAAATTTCTAGTATCTATTTATAATTTGAATCAAATGTTTGCAAAGCCCCTGAAGTACCTACCAGGTTGAAAACCAATGGTCTAGCTACACTCTCTGTAATGGAGGCCAGGATGCTGCCTTCCGTTTATGCTAAATAACTTTGTTAATGGCTGGGCTTAAGTGTTAACAGTTTAGTGGTAATGGGTAAGCTGGCAGTCTGGGAGACTAAATGACTCCTGTTAAAAAATTGATAATGGCTACTCCTGGGCAGAAGCAAAGGACAGATAAATAAGGAGAGGCTATGAACTGTCCATTGAACTAAAATCAGATGATGTGGGTTAGAAGCATTATTTCAACCCATTTTTGGCTGTGTGAGTCTTGATGAGCCATTCACATTATCTGGGCCTCAGTTTCTTTTTGTGTCCTGCCCCCCTCAGAGGGCTAGAACGGTGCTTCTTCAATGTTCTTAAAGGTACAAGTCACTGAGACATCTTGTTAAAATACAGGTGATGACCCAGGAGAACTGGAGGAGGCTGGAGACTTTGCATTTCCAGTAAGCCCCTGGGTGATGCTGATGCTGCAGGTCCAAGGACCACACTCTCCAGGGGCTGGGAAACTCACACCACTGCTTTCTGAGAGGGCCTCTCAGTGATGCAATTTAGATTAAGGGTGGAGAGAAGGTGGGATTTGAGAGGAAACACAGATCCGTAAATGCTGTGCTGGCCAATATGGTAACCACTAGCCCCATGTGGCTAACTAAGTTTACATAAAATGAAATTAAAAATTCAGTTCCTCAGTGGAAATAGCCACATTTTAAGTGCTCCATAGCCAATAAGGTGACTATTGGCTAATGGATTATATTAGTCAGTGCAAAATAGGAATGTTTCCTTCATCACAGACAGTTCCATTGTGTAGCACTGCTTTGGGGTATTCAAGAGAGCAGAACTTGACACGGGAGCAGGCTGGAACCTGGGAGCTGGACAGTGTTCCAGAATGAGGAGTCTCTCGAGCAGATGATCAGCTGAGCTGGATGAAGCAGGACACTGCATCTATAGGTAATGCTGGTAAAGGTCCATCTGGAATTAATGAGTGTCCTTCCAAATCTTTGGACCTGGAGTCTATTCTTACTGCTGCTCTGCTCAGGTGGCCTGTGGGTTGGGTTTCTGACCTCACACACACCATTTGCCTCTTCCAATCACTGCACATTTAGCACGTGTGGTTGCAGTAGACTGACGTTGGTGGATCTCCAGACCATTCAGAGCTGGGAGGAACCCTATTTCGGTGCTTTCCAAACCATCTTCTGGGGAGACTGCACCATCCTGGCTGGGGGCTCCTTCTGCTTCAAAACAGATCGGTTTCACTTTCGTCTATTTCACATATTAGTTTCCTTGAAAACTTCCCTTTTGAAAAAATTGGTCCCACTCTTAGCAAAGTTTCACGTCCACTGATGCTAGTTCAGCCAGCTCACTTTATAAACAATGAAACTGAAGTCCAGAGAGGTGGAGGGCCTGAAATTTCCAAGGTCATATGGCCAATTAGTGAGCAAGCTGAGATGAGAAGTCGAGTCTCCTGACCTGGGCCGTGTTCCTTCCACCAGCTCACTGTTAATTACCTTCTGGGGCTGTGTGTCTGGGCACCCCAGCTGGGCTGTTGGCTCCTGGAGGGGAGGACGAGGCCTGAGGCATTTTTGGAACTACTCCTGGTCTGTGCCTGGCTCGCTGTGGAGAAGTAGTGCCATCTAGTTAATTGCAGGTTATGGTAGCTCCCTGGGAGCTGAGGTGCTGGGAGGAGTTCAGAGGCAGAACACATGGATGCCTCAAAACTTCCGCCTCTGTAATTTGGAGGTGATGCTCTCAGGACAACTGGCTTTTCAGGTGCCTGTGACTTGCCATCACGAAGGACCACTGAAAGGTCATCAGAAGGTATTCACTGTTCCTTCTTCCCCAGGGTCTGGTGCTCTGTCCCAGAACTGGCCCCCAGGTCAGGCCTGCGCTCCCTGGGCTGGAATGTGGCTAATTTCTAGCTTCCATCTGGAGCTAAGTGCTTTTCCATTGTCAGCCTCATTAACTATACAATGATGATTGCTGGCTCCCCAGCTGGCTGTCTTCCTCCTTTTTTGTTTTTGTAGTAGATCTTTCTTGAGCTTCTATCTGTCCCTCTGGTAACACTTCATGTTGATATTCACACATGCTAACCATATGCCAAGGAACAGAAGTTTCTGAGCCTCTCCTAAATGGTGCTGGTGAGGGATTGGATCCAGTTAGGCCACTGGATGCTGAATGGGGATTGTTAGAGGATGATGTGAGAAACAAAGCTCTGACAATCCTGTGTTCCTTTTAAGTTGTATTCTGCCCCAGAGACCAGGAGCTGAATGTTTCAGACAGTTTCTTGCTTCACAAAAGGGTCCCATTTACCAGACATGTATCATTTAGGTGAATTTGAAATTTATTCTAAATTTAGTGGTCTCTTTGTTTACTCCCAAAACAATGATGATTGGTTGGCATATACATAATGCAAGGGCTTCCATGAATCCGTAGGGCTGTTAGTACTGTGTATCTACGGCCTTTCTCAGCAGATCTCTGTGCCCATTCCCCACCAACCCCACGACTTCATGCACATGCACACATACAGTCCATTTTGGAGGTAGGCCAAGTGGTTCATCCAAATCGCCTGGCCATCCCCTGGTGAGTTCAAGAATTAGAGATAATGATGCAGAGGACAGGGGGATAGTGCCTACCTTGTCTTCTTGCTGGTTGGTTTGTTTTTCCTCTTTTGGAACGTTTATGATGGATACTACTGGTTGACTCACTTAAGGCCCACTTGACTTCCTTCTCCCTTATCTTTCTGTCCAATAGACCCTAAAAAGCAAAACAAAGTACTTACATTTCTAGCTTCACTTGTCATCAGCATGGCCATGAGACATCATTCTGGACAATTGTCTTTTGGCAAATTCTCGGGGGGAGCTTCCATTCCTGGATAAAAACACCAAACCTTGTAAGAAGTAAGATTTCATTGTATACTTTTGACTTATCTCCCTTTTTCCTGTTTGTAATATAGAAACAATATTTGAAGCTGCAGCAGCCTTTTTGTGACCATGAGGGTGAGAATGAAAGGTCCATATTAAAGACGATAGAGCAGAAAGGTAGATGGAGCCTGGATCCCTGGTGACAGTTTTGTGTAGCCATGCTAGGCAGCTGCACTGCTACCCTGAATTATTTTTTTAATTTTTAATTTTTTTAGTTTTCTTGAGATGGAGTCTCACTCTGATACCTAGGCCGGAGTGCTGCGGTGCAATCTCATCTCACTGCAACCTCTGCCTCCCAGGTTCAAGTGATTCTCCTTCCTCAGCCTCCTGGGTAGCTGGGATTACAGGTGTGCACCACCACACCCAGCTAGTTTTTGTATTTTTAGTAGAGATGGGGTTTCACCCTTGTTGGCCAGGTTGGTCTTGAACTCCTCATCTCAGGTGATCCGCCTGCCTCAGCCTCTCAAAGTGTTGGGATTACAGGTGTGAGCCTCCGCGCTTGGCATGAATTCTTATTATGAGAGAAAAAAAAAAAAAAAAAAAACCCTACCTCATTAGACCACTGTTTGTTGAGTTTTGGATTACTCTCGGTCACATACATTTCTAAATGATTCAGGAAACATGGCAGTTTTTTGTTGTTGTTGTTGTTGTTTTATAGTCCACTTTTCCTACAAGGAAATTTCTTGGTTAAGAAGCCATGTGGTTGCCGAGAATAGCCCTAGATTAAAAGTCAGAATGTTAGGTTTCACTTCTGGATTTGTCATAAAACTGGATCCACAAGGCTATTAGAACTACCCACCCTGCAGGCCTTTTGTACAAATCATCTTCTGTATCTGTGCCTTCATCTATAAAATGATGGTGTTCAATTTCTGGCTTCTCTAGGATTATGTGAAGTTTTCCCAGTCTCGTGGGAAAGGATAAACTGGGAAATGTTTTTGCTTTGTGCCTTTCCATCAGTGGTATTCAATATCTACTATTTAGCCCTCTAATCCAGCAGAGAATTAGAATATAAAATGAAGAGGAGGATTATGTCAATAATAAAATCCTGTATAACAAACCACCCCCCAAAACATAGTGGATTAAATCGAAACAACAACTGCTTATTATTTCTGTGGATTGGCTGGCTGGTCTGCTTATTATTTCTCTTGACTCTGTGGATTGATTGGCCAGTCTGCTTATTCTTTCTCTTGGCGCTTTGGATTGGCTGGCTTGTCTGCTGGCCTTGCCTGGACTCAAGTGGCTGCATTCAACCTCCAAGAACCTTACTGTGACAGTGAAGCTTTCTTCAATTGTGTTGGTGTGGTCATTGGCTGGGGCTTCTTGTTTCTCCTCCAGATCCTCTCTCTACCTTGTCTGTCCATCACAATAGCTTGTAGTTCCTTGCATGAGGATTCAGGGTTCTAAGAGGCTGAATGAAACAGAAGCTGTGGGACTTTTTAAGTCCTGGGCCTAGATGTTCCAGAACGTCACTTCCACCACGTTTCCTCCACAAGACCCCTAAAACCTCACCTAGTCATAATATTGGGGTCGATGTCCTCAATGTTGTGTTCTGCCTCAAGTCCAGAGGTTGACAAGGTCCCTTGCATGTTGCTGTTCCCATGGGTCTACTGCTGATTAAGAGACCTGAACATTGAAAAGACAAGTTATCTGCCACCACACCCCCAATATACAATGCACCCAAGACAATGGAGTGGAAGAAAGGGTCTTCACAATAGACAGACATTCACAAACAGAAGGAGGGAGACTGGGAGACACACACTGGCCTATAGAAAAGCTGAACTTGGCTGGACGCAGTGGCTCATGCCTGTAATCCCAGCACTTTGGGAGGCCAAGGTGGGCAGATCATGAGGTCAAGAGATTGAAACCAGCCTGGTCAACATGGTGAAACCCTGCCTCTACTAAAAATACAAAAATTAGCTGGGCGTGGTGGCACACATCTGTAGTCCCAGCTACTCTGGAGGCTGGGGCAGGAGAATCCCTTGAACCCGGGAGGTGGAGGTTGCAGTGAGGTGAGATTGCGCCACTGCACTCTGGCCTGGCAACAGAGCGAGACTCCCTCTCAAAAAAAAAAAAAAAAAGGCTGAAATCTAGTCAAGCACATGTTACCAGTTTCCCAACTCCAGACGCATGGGTTTTCCTTAATTAGAGTCTAATGATGCTCCCTTGGAGTGGTTTCCTCATCCGTTGATCTTAGCTCCTGTTTTTAATCTTCCACACTTGTGGCTCTGTCCTTTGAACTCTTGGTCTAGGCTCAAGATGCTTTTCTTTTTCTATAAGAAGTGTCTGTGTTTTCAGCTGAGATTTTTCTATCTGCTTCCTGCCTCAGTTGAGTTGGGATAGGGGTAGAGGCCTCTTTTCATTCTGATCTGTCACTGTCCCCTTTTAGTAAGAAGTGAAATACTTCCTTTAAAAACTTTGTGAGTATTTGATGAGTGAGATTACTGTCCACTTCATTAGGTGAATGCCACACCCAACATTTCTTCTGGGGCAGGCCTCACTCTATCTTGGCCTGTAAGTCATGGGACTGCAGGATTCTTACAAAGGCTTTTGTTATGCTGAAAGTGTCTATGATGCATTGTCTTAAATCTTTTTGAGTTCCTAATCCATGGTGTTATGGCCGTACTCTTGATCTTTATTCTGAGGCCATTTCTTACTTTGAGGATCTTTTGCTGGCTGGAGAGACTATCCCGGCTTCTCTTTATATTCTGTAAGTTCTTCTTGAAAGCTGAAAACAGTTTCTGATTTAGTTCATCTCTGTTTTCATGTCTTTTATGCAACTAAAAGAAGTCCAATGACACTTTCTACGTTTCTACATCTCTTTAGCCAGATCCACGAGTTCATTAGGTATCATTAGGTACCTTCCATAGTGCCACAGTCCATAGTGTTCATATTACATAGAATGTAATGTAGATGTCAAATATCCCACTTCTGTGTAATATGAATCATCCTTTCTCCAGTCTCCAGAAATTGGTACCTGAAAGTGGGTTGCTATAACAAAAGTCAAAATGTGTGACTGACAGAACTGTTAGGACTGCAGGGAAATGGTTAGTAGAGTCTGGAGGAGAGTAAAGGATTCGGTACTGAAGACCACCGTCCCTCACCGTTGTTTCTTGGCCATGTAGGGGACAGAGAACTGGTCTTTTTAGCTCACATGTTCTGAGTCCACTGCCCCTGAGGAATTGCGCCCAAGGATCCTCATCCATATCTGGATCTGATGATGAAATTCTGAATTTCAAGGAGATAGTTTAAGAGGACTAGTATTTTGAGGGTAGAGGTACATGTGAATCATTGTGATTAGAGGGTAGCCAGTACAGATTGTTTGCAAAGATGGCCACAAAAATCCTTTTCATTGTACATTCTGTCTTGCAATGTGACTTTGTTATTCTTACCATCAAGAGATGGAATCTATTTCCTCACCTTGAGTCTAAGCTGGCCTTGTATCTTGCTTTGCCCAACAGAGTGAAGTGGAAGAGATCTTGCAACATTTCCTGCCCCACTGACCCCCTACTTTGGGCCTTAGCCCCAAGAGAAGAAGTATGACTACCCTACTGTTCACAAACAAAGATGTGGAATCAACCTAAGTGTCCATCAATGGATAATTGGATAAAGAAAATGTGGCATAGATCTATACAATGGAATACTATTCAGCTATAAAAAAGACTGAAATCACATCTTTTACAAAAACATGGATGAAACTGGAGGCCATTCTCTTTAAGTGAAATCACTCGGAAATAGAAAGTCAAATACCGCATGTTCTCACTTACAAGTGGGAGCTACATAATATGTACTCATGGACATAGAGTGTGGAATGATGGACATTGGAGACTTGGAAGGGTGGAGGTGGATGGGAGGGGTTGAGGGATGAGAAATTATTTAATAGGTACAATGTATATTATTTCGGTGATGGTTACACTAAAAACCCAGACTTCACCACTGGGCAATATATCCGTGTAATAAAACTGCATTTGTACCCCTTAAATTTATACAACTAATAAATAAAGAAGTATGGCTACTCTTCTAGAGAAATAACATGGAGAGGTCCTGAACAGCAGCAGTGTCAACCACCACGCATGTGCCAACAACACAGGGAGAAGAATGCCCAGCTGAGAGCCCAGCCAGTCCACAGAATTATAAGAAAGAGCAAATGATTGTTGCTTTAACCAGTTAAGTTTTGGAGTGGTTTACTTTGCAGCAATAGACAACCAATACAAGGACAGTGGCCTTGTTTTCCGCTTCTCAGACACTCAGTCCCTTGAGTGCTTGTGAAGGCAGCAGTTCTGTTTTTGGAAGGCTCAAGTTACCTGGAAGCCCAGAAATTATCTTCCTGAACCTTTGGAGTGGAGCCCAGCAGGTGTTTAATGGCTTTCCCTGGAGTCCTCTGTTGCCTCCCTGCCCAGCAGCCTGTTCCTCATGGACTCCAGAGTGTGTAGTGAGAATAGTCACAACAGCTGGTGTGAACAACTGCAGGACAGAAAGGCACTGGGAGGGTAATTACTTAGAAGCTGGAGGGATGTTGAGGACCGAGGCTGCACCCTGCATCCATACGTCGTGTCTAGGAGAGACTAGATGGACACTGGATAGGCCTCTGTCCTCAGGGAATTCTCTCCTACTCAGTGTTGCAGTGGCAGGCAGGTGCTTCCCTTTCCTTGAATGAGCCCTGTGTTTTTCTGTCTCCATGTTCCCCTGCCCCTGGAACTCCCCACCCGCCTTGTCTACCAGAGGAAATCCTACTTCATTTTAAAGACTCATTCACACATCTCTGTAATGCTTTTTTTAACCTGCCTGAGCAGAGTCAATCGATCTGGTTCTGCTCCCACAGAGCACTCCTTAGAACACAATCAGCTCTTACCACAGTCTGATTTGTCTGCTGGGTGCTTTACTAGTTAGGGCTATAGTGAAGTGAGTGTAACAGAAAGTTTTAAAGCAATAGCATCTTAAACAAGGTAGAAATCTTCTTGTATATAGGAAGTCTGGAGGTAGTGACTCTGGGGCTGGTCAGTGCCCCACTGTGTCTGGGCCCAGACACTCTCTGTTCTGTGCTCTACCGTAGACAGGTCCCATTCTAAAGGTAACCTCCAGGTCTAAGGTGGCTACTAGAGGTACAGCCTTCATGTTCACATTCCAGCCTCTGGAATAAACTTTTACAAAGGCATAACCCTTCCCTGTAAACACATTCATTAAAAATTGCAGACACCACTTCTGCTGATGCCTTGGGCTAGAGCTGCAGGTGAAGCTGGAAAATATGGCCTTTAATCCCAGCTCAAGTTGAGAGTTGTATTTCTAAGAAAGAGAGAGATGATTAATAATAAGTGGGGCAATTATTGGGTTTTGTCAAAGAATCATCCTCCTCATTAAAATGACCTTCTTGAGGCCAGAAAACACACCTCCTTCATCCATGTTTTCCCCAGATGACCAGCCCCATGCCTGACACATGGTAGACATTCACTGAACAATGACCTAACATATCTGCTTGCTGATTTGAGGCCAGTACCTCTGGGAGAGAAAACACAATTCATTATTAGAAACTCAGTAGAAGTTTGTTTCTAGTCTCTGAGTTCTGCCTTCTTCCTTCCCTAAAATTTCTTTCTGACTTTTCCACGCCTATTCTCTCCCTTGCTCCTGTATCCTCAGGTCCTCATGCCATTATTATCAGCCCATCTCACAAACTCTCCACCCAGCTACTCAGAAGCTGAAGCCAGGGAGAGCTACAGGCTGGGAGGTGCTGTGTTGCTCTCATTGGTTGAGGAGATGATGGGGGTGAGGTGTGTATTTGGATTGGAGAGCAGGGAACTGGGTTGTAGTTTCAGTTTAGACACTGGGTAAGTCCATGACTCTGGTAAGGCATGTTGATTATCTTTACCTTGATTTCTTCTTCTGTAAAATAATAGAGATATACAGTCTCTCCACACTAGAGGTTTAGAACACACAAGAGCATACTAAAGACCACATCTATTTTATATGTGTATGTGTATATATATATATATATATGTATAAAATAAAATTGCAAGGTGTTACTATATGTACATTTAGAACAAGCAAGCAAGCAGGCAAACAAACACACATAAAGATTCCTTGCATCCTTCTCCACTGCAACTGGTTTCCCAAACAGGTATTATTGGATTGAAAGGGATAGGAGGAATCTTGATCTCTGCCTTCTTCCTCTTCCCTCTGTTTTCTTTCCTGGGCTGCCTGAACCTAGAAGTCCTTCTCAGCCCTGAGGTGTTACTCCCAGTCATTTCCACTGGTGGGCCAGTAATGGCAGGATGATGGATATTGCTGTTGTTGCCTGGACTGAGATGGGGAAATGTTTTTCTGGCTGGCCCTGGAAGCCTTCATGCCATTGATTTTCTTGAAACTCAGAAGCTTGACAGATGTGAACCAAAGGTGGCCTGCAGGGCCCTAGGGATAGACTGCCCCAGTTATCTACCCTTTGAATGTTTTTAGGCACTGCTTGGCCTTTGAAGTATTTACTGTGTCATAAAAGTTTGGAGAATGGAGGAGGAAAATAAATGGACCAGTGAGGTCTTGGGAGAGTGTCTCAAGACCATGCAGGCAGATGGGATGGGCTGGCCCTCCATAACCCCTTTGCTCTTCACTCCCACTTCCTGGGGGAGGTGGCAGAGTAGAAGAGAAAGCATTCCTTCCAGAAAGCCAGGGAGTGTCAGGCATGGTCTCACGACCACCACTCCAGGCTCTCCAGCAGGTACGGCAATGGGAGGCTTTACCCAACCTTGTCTCTGCCACTGGGAGACATAGGCAGGAAAGCTCACCTCCCTTCACCTGTGATCCTGATCAGTATGTTCCAAGAGAAGGAAGAGGGAGTGAAGAGAAAACAAGGATCGGGGGGTAAGATGAAGGCAGGGGTGAAGTTATCACACCTCCTGGAGGTGAGATGCAGACTTTGCTAAGAGGGTCTCAGCCACCAAAGCAAAGAGGAGAACACAACAAATGATTACTTACAATGTCCACATGAGAGATCAAAAGCCTCCTCCCATCCTACTTGCCGAAGTGAGTACAGTGTTTTCTGCGATGAAACGGGTTCTTCTAAAGGGCTATGACATGCTTAGACTCATTGCTCTCATGCATAGGACAGGTGAGACCTCCTGGGTTGTTCCTCTAAGGGCATGATGTGAACATACAATTCCAATAAAAAATAATGTAGAGAGCAAAGTGAGACAATTTTAACCTGGAACAGTGCTAAAGCACTTTGTGACCCTCTTTCTTTTCAGACCCTTTTGCTAGGGCATTTATCCCTTGTTGGTCCTGGAAAGTCCACACTGGGTCCTTAAAGCTGAACAGAAGCAGGAAATGTTCCTGACCTAAAAGGTGAGACCATGAGGCCTGGCTCAGTGGCTCATGCCTGAAATCTTAGCTGTTACTGAGGCAGAGGTGGAAGGACAGTTTGAGCCTAGGAGTTTGAGACCTGCCTGGGCAATATAGCGAGACCCCCTTCTCTACAAAAAGGAAAAAAAAAGACAAAAAAACAAACAAACAAAAAAAACAAGTGAGACCAAAATGAGAGATTTTGTTTTCTTGGGAGCTGGCAAGAGAGAATATAAAGGACTGCAGAGATTTCCATTTCTGTGTTGCCTAAGTGTTGGGCTAGGTAGGGAGGAGGATGCTGTGTGAGCTCTAGTCCTTTGTCCCCTCACCGACCCCTCCATTTGTTCAAACTGTGGCTGCCGCCTCGGGGTCCTGATCAGGATAAGAACTGGGTAGAAGGCATTGGGCAGAGGCTGGGGAGAAGCTGTTCTGCCCAGGCTGGCTCATCCCTGGGGCAGGAGACCCTGGGCTGCAATGAAGCTCAAACCCTGGTCCCACTGAGAGGTGGCAGAATTGAAGCCTGAACATGCTGCCGGAGCAGATGTGGGCTCTGGAATGTCCTTGAAATGTGAAATTGTGAGGATAAAGGGAGCTCAGGGACCAGAAGGCTCCATTGAGAGGGGTTAATTATGAGGCCAGTTCCACTAGATGAAACCAAGAGACCACGCTGCATAAACTGTTCCCTGCCAGCTCCGGAGCTTAATAGCCCTGCTCACTCCCTGGCCCTGGCCCTGCTCAATTCTGGGTTGGCAGGGGTGGGCTACAGGGATAGGGGAGAGGGAAGATCAGAGGCAGGGTTCTGAAGAAGAAATATCCAGGAGGCAGCTCCTTGAGGGTCAGGCAGATGCCAAGGCAGAACCGGGAGGGCTTGAAGAATGGCATTAGGAGGATGGGTTATCTGCACTAGAGGGAAACCAGGAAAGGAAGGGCAGCTGGAAAAAGGAGGAGAAAAAAAGCAGAAAGATGTGGGGAACAGGCAGGGATGGCTAGCAGAGAAGAGAAAATGGACTTGGGAAGAAGGAGGAAAACTAGGGGGTAAATTCTGCACAAATCTATGTTTTGGGAGGGAACCCTAAATATGTGACTGAGAAAAATGCTAGAAAGCAGTAATGTTTTGGAAATATTCTTGGACCTGCCATCTAACCGCTTAAGAGAGGTGAAAGAGGTTAAGAGAAGGTGCTGGGTGGCTCAGAGGCCCTCTCATCCTAAAATAGTTTGGTAGCAGTGGATACTGCAGCCCCGATGACAGAAGTCGGCTGTCAGGATCTGCCTGTGGCTGGCAGGTGGGTCCCAGGCCAGGGGCTATGGCCACTGTGTGCCTCCCCAGTCTCTCCTGAAGAGGGGCAGCATGTCTTCAAAGGAGCCCTGGGCAGGGAGTCAGGCAGCAACATAGCAGGACACTGAGCAAATCATTGAGCTCTCTGTGCCTCAGTTTCCTAACAGTAACATGGGGACTATAATGACTCTCTTACCTACCTCTTTAGATTTCTGCAAAGACCAAATGAGACAGTTGCCTATCATCCCTTCCCCTCCCTTCCCCTCCCTTCCCCTCTCCTCCCTCCCTTCCTTCTTTACTTCCTTCCCTCCCTACCTCCCTGTCCCTTTCTCTCTCCCTCCCTCCTTCAATCTATTGCAAAAATCTTTATTGAAAACATTTGTACCAGGCGCCTTGCTGAGTGCTAGAGTTACAAAATGACTAAGACAGGGTTCTTATTTTCAAGAAGCTCAGTCTCATGGGGGTGTCACATGTATAGCCAGATATTAAGGTCCCATGAGATAAGGGTTAAAACCACAACACGCATAAAGCCTTGCAGTTATCTTTGCTGGGGTCGAGGTCAGCTGTTTCTGCATGGCTTATAAGTATTCATGCCCTGGAACTAGCATCAACATCTGCCTCAGGAACCTCTTTCACTTCACGTTCCTGCTTCACCGAACTGCCTGTGCTTCTCTGAGAACAGGTGGGCTGATACCTGTCCACCTTGGTTTATGTGGCTTTCCGAGCTTGAAATGCCCGTTTTCTTAACTTGTCCTGATTCCCACTTCCAGATGTGGCTTGTTTGTCTTCTCTGGAGAGAGCCCTGTACTCTCCACCCCACTTGCTGCCTGAGGATCACTTAGGCACCTCTCATATTGTTCAGAAACTGTCCTTCTTTCACTACTCTTTCACTTATTACTATAGATGCAGGGAGAACAGGGCCCCTGTCTTACTCACGCTTATTTCTCGGTGAAGGATGACTAGTCCAGGAAGTGTTTAATGGAAGCTGATTGAACTGAACAGCACAGCTCTGACATCACAGGGGAAAGGCAAACCGAGGAGTCAGAGGAGCCACCCAGGAGCTGGGTCTTGATGTATGAATAGGAGTTTAAGGAGAAAAAAAATTGAGGGAAGAGCATCTTGGTAGGAAAATGTGTACACAAAGGCCAGAGGTGTGAGACCAGGTGGCTTGGGTAGGAATGTGAGTTGTGTGGGCTGGAAGACAGGCAGCTACAAAGTTAAAGGGTATAATGGTTAATTTTATGTGCCAACTTGGCTGGGCCATGGAGTGCCCAGATGTTTGTGCAGACATTATTCTGGGTGTGTCTATGAGGGTGTTTCTGGATAATGTTAACAGATGAATCGTAGATGGAGGAAAGCAGATTGGCCTCCCTAATATGGATGGAACTCACTCCATCAGTTGAAGGCCTGAATAGAACAAAAGGCTGAAGAAGCGGCCAGTCGTGGTGGCTCAGGCCTGTAATCCCAGACCTCTGGGAGGCCAAGTCCTCCTTGATCACTTGAGATCAGGAGTTCCAGACCAGCCTGGCCAACATGGTGAAGCCTCATCTCTACTAAAAATAAAAAAAATGAGCCAGGCGTGGTGGTCTGCACCTGTAATCCCAGCTACTTGGGAAGATAAGGCAGGAGAATTGCTGGAACCTAGGAGGTGGAGGTTGTAGTGAGCTGAGATTTCGCCACTGCACTCTAGCCTGGGCAACAGAGTGAGACTCCATCTAAAATAATAATAATAATAAAAATTAAAAAATAAAATTAAAAAAGGCTGAGTAAGAGGGAACTCTTCCTGCCTGACTGTTGAGCTGGGACATTGGTCTTTTCCTTCCTCTGGACTTGAACTGAAGCACCAGCTCTTCTTGAATCTTGAGCCTGCTGCCTGTTGGACTGGAACTCACACCGTCAGCTCTCTTGGGCCTCCAGCTTGCTGGCTGCAGATCTTAGGACTTGTCAGCCTCCATAATCATTGAGCCAATTCTTTATAATATATGTAGATATGTATATCCTGTTGGTTCTGTTTCTCTGGAGAACCCTAATACTAAGGGGGGCATTCTAGAAGGCTTGCGAGCCCACTAAGGTGATGGAAAAGCACAGGTGGTTTTAAGCTGGGAAGGGCATGATGGGGCCTGTGTTTTCCCATCTTCGAGTCCAGTGGAAGGAGGTCTGGAAAGCCCTCATCAGCTGCCCTGACACCCAGGACTTTCTTGTCCCAGTGACTGTTGCCCTGTGCCTGCCTCAGGGGTGAGCCTGAGATCTTGGTGCTGCCTTCCATGGGTCTGGGGGCTCCAGGTCATTCCTCTCCTCTCTGGGGTGCCCTGACCTGTGTTTGACTGAAGATTGGCTCCAGCTAGACTCTGGTGATCTCTTAATGTGTTGGAACCTGTAAGCCAGGATATAAACCTTCTCTGGCAGGAGGAGAAGCCTGTGCCTCGTACCCTGATATTTTTGTGGTTCCTGTGCTCTCCTTGGCTGTTTTCCTGTAATATTTGGTAAAGTATTCTTGGATTTTCCATCCAACAATATCTAAGCTGTTCTAAGAGGAACCAAGGGAAGATCTGCATGTATGTTTAGATGAGTGCTTTGAAAGTGAGTTGCAGTCCTGAGGGTTCAAGGTGTGAACAGCAGGTCCTGAAGGGTGAGCAGCAGGTTCTGAATGCAAGAACCTTGAGGGAAAGAGAAGCTGCAGAAAGAAGCCAGAGCTGATGCCAGAACCACTTGCTCCAGCCTGCTTTACCCACTCACAGGCTGTCCTATCTGAGACAAAATCTTGGGAAGCGCTGTTTTATCTTAATAAGGGGGTCCTTTTACAATCTTGCATCCGGCAAAGCCATATTCTTGGAAAGACAAACATAATTTCCCTTGGACTTTGGAGTTAGTCCTAGGTTTGAATTTTGGCACTGCCACAGCATAGCTGTGTGCCCGGGGAATCTTCTGGGGTTTTGGCCTCATTTTCTTTACCTATGAAATGGGGAAATTCATGCTCACCTTCCAGGCTGGTTGTGAGGCTCATTGAATGAGGTACAGACGTTGAAGCTGCAGCATGTAGGATGTGCTCCCCAACATGTTATGCACCCATTTTCCAAGTCCAGAGAAAAGCTCTCTAGATAAAGTGCGCCATCCTTGCCTAGGACCCCCTGAAGAATTCATTTATTTCTTCCCTTCATTTATTCTGAAAATGTGTGCTTCCTTCCCCATAATGGAATCTGCACTAATGACTGTGGCATCCCAGGCCTGAGGGCCCTCTGTGAAGCCTGCAGCCAGTTAAGGCCAGTGGGAAAAGACTGAACATTCAAACTCATTTTTAGGAAATGACTGAGTGCCTGTATGTCCCAGACAGACTAATGCCAACACAGAAGCATGACTCTTTAAATTCTTTGACTTCCTGTCCACAAATGGAAGGGCTCCAGAGAGAGGCCAGAAAATGGTGCTGAGGAAGAGGAAGCATATTCAGGTCCAGACCATGCTGGTGGCCAGTTTTTCCGTTTCTTCTAGGACATGTGATTATGGTACCTCTGACTATTCAACCCAATGGATGTTTGTGTTTATCATTTGATATGGTTTAGCTGTTTCCCCACCCATATCTCATCTTGAATTGTAGCTCCCATAATTCCCACACATTGTGGGAGGGAGCTGGTGGGAGTTAATTGAATCATGGGGGCAGTTTCCCCATACTGCTCTCGTGGTAGTGAGTAAGTCTCACGAGAGCTGATGGTTTTATAAGGGGAAACCCCTTTCACTTGGCTCTCATTCTCTCTCTTGCCTGCCATCATGACTGTGAGGCCTCCCCAGCCATGTGGAACTGTGAGTCCATTAAACCTCTTTTTCTGGCCGGGCGCGGTGGCTCACGCCTGTAATCCCAGCACTTTGGGAGGCCGAGGCAGGCATATCACTAGGTCAGGAGATTGAGACCATCCTGGCTAACACGATGAAACCCTGTCTCTACTAAAAATACAAAAAATTAGCCGGGCGTGGTGTCGGGCACCTGTAGTCCCAGCTACTCGGGAGGCTGAGGCAGGAGAATGGTGTGAACCCAGGAGGCGGAGCTTGCAGTGAGCCGAGATCGTGCCGAGATCGTGCGACTGCACTCCAGCCTGGGCGACAGAGTGAGACTCCGTCTCAAAACAAAACAAAACAAAAACAACAACAACAACAAAAAAACACCTCTTTTTCTTTATAAATTACCCAGTCTGGGGTTTGTCTTTATCAGCAGCGTGAAAATGGACTAAGACATCATTCATTCCTTTCATTCTTCATTCATACATCACCCTCTATTCAGAGGTGAATACTATGGCTCCAGCTCTTAAGGCCCTCATTCTAGTATGGGCAAGGGGAATAGACGAGCGCTTCAGAACTTGTTCGGCTGTGTGATAAATAGTGTGATGGAGACATGTGACAGCCAGGAGTTTTGGAACACGGAGAAGGATTCCCAGAGAAATGACCTGTGACTTGGGTCTTTAAGGACAAGCAGGAATTTTCCAATGCAATAAGAATTGCACGGGGCTGTGGAGGGTGTTCCTAAAATAGAGATAATCTTATGCAAAAGCTTGGAGGCATGAAGGCATGAGAAATTGTAGCATGTTCAAAGGATTGCAAATAGTTCAGACTGGCTGGAGGGCAGGGGCAGAGAAGGACTGTGTGCCTGTGGGGTGTGTGTTTGGGTGGGGGCAGGTGGGACCTGGGGTGGCAGTTGGGAGCAGAATGCCCATAAGCGTGGGATTTGAGGCTTGAGAGGTAGAGTTCAGATGACCTCAGGGGAGTTTAACTTTTTTCTGGCGGAAATTAGAGCTTTGGAGGAATTTGAGCAGGGAAGTAATGAGGCCACATTTCTTTATTGATTATTTTTTTTCAGTAATATAGATATTCAAAGAGCCATAATAGGAATGTTCCTTGCTTTTGTGGAGTTTGAGGTTTGATTGAAACAGCATGTACACTCAATGCCCTTGTCCCTCCCCTCTCTGGGTCTGTTTACTCATTCGCAATATGAATATACAGCTAGGGTTTCTCTAGGTCTTGAACCCCAGCCCATGGTGCTGAGGCCATGATGCCTGTTGGATTTTTCCTGTGCCTGTCCAGGGCACTGGACCCGGTGCCCCATCCTTGTCACTGGTTGGAGATTGGCTATGGATGGCCATGCCCCTCCCCAAACAGTAGCCAAGGGGCCCCCCAATTTTTTTGGTAGAGAGGGGTTCTCAATCTGTTGCTGTAGCTGGAGTGCAGTGGTGTGATCACAGCTCACTGCAGCGTCAAACTCCTAGGCTCAAGCAATTCTCCTGCCTCAGCCTCTTGAGTAGTTGGGACTACAGGCATGTGCTTCCACACTTGGTTAATTTTAAAATTGTTTTATAGAGATGGGGTCTCACTATATTGCCCAGCCTGGTCTTTAACTCCTGGCCTAAAGGGATCCTCCTACCTCAGTGTCCCAAAGTGCTGGATTGCAGGCATGAGCCTCTGTGCTGACCACCCCTCACCCTTAAGTGTTGGCCGCTGCTGGGCCCACCTGTGTCAGTTGCCTAAATGACCTCCAGACAGGTGTGTGGGGCCATCTAGGGAGTCCCAGTTAGTCTCCAATGTCCCTCCTACGTCTTGGGATAAATCTGGGACTCTTCTCCCTTTGGGGAGCTGTCTAGAGTCTGACAGACTTACTGCTCAAATCATCCCTTTTTCTCCAGCACATAATTAGTGACAGACTAGACTAGGTGACCTTCGGCAGTCCATTAAGCTTGTGGGAAAAGTTAAGCTAGGGAAAACAGAGATATAAGGATTGTCACAAACTGTTAGGTAAAGAAGAGCCAGAAGGGTGAAGGAATTTAAAGGTAGGGAAGAGTGTTGGTTGGCTGAGGGGACCAGCCACTTCCTTTAAAACCTGCAGCCAAGTGTCTCTCCAGAAGCTCTCCTCTCCCTGTATATCAAAGTGCATCACTTTGATTTCTTCCAGGGAGTTGCAGCAGGTCCTCCTCTGTGTTTTCAAACCAGCTGTTGAAGGCAGAAGCCTTTTTGGAGAAGGTCAGGAAGTTGTTCTCCACCTTGTGGAAATGACTCTGAGCCTCCAGCAGCTTCTTCTGGGTTTAGAGAATAAACTTGTGTCTATGTGAATATGGACAGTTAGCATTTACCAACAGGTGTCTGTCTACTTTCTGTTCCTTAAAAAGGGAAAAAAAAAGTGCCAGGCACGGTGGCTCACGTCTGTAATCCCAGCACTTTGGGAGGTTGAGGCGGGTGGATCATGAGGTCAGGAGATCGAGACCATCCTGGCTAATGCAGTGAAACCCCGTCTCTACTAAAAATACAAAAAATTAGCCAGGCATGGTGGCAGGTGCCTGTAGTCCCAGCTACTTGGGAGGCTGAGGTAGGAGAATGGCATGAACCCAGGAGGTGGAGCTTGAAGTGAGCTGAGATTGCACTGCAGCACTCCAGCCTGGGCGACAGAGCGAGACTCAAAAAAAAAAAAAAAAAAAAAAAAAAAAGAGAGAGAGAGAAACCGTAATAAAGGAGATTATAGAAGCTCAGTAAGGGATGGGTTTGAGATGTTTGAGTGGGTTAAGTGGGCATTTTGGCAATCTGCCTTCTTTGGCATGTTTAATTGTGATGTTTAATGGACATCTTTGCAGTTTAAGATGACACTTTAAAAATAAATGCTCTCCCAATGGTGACTTGAGTCCTGCCACTCAATGGGAGAATCAGCAGAACCTGGAGGGTCTTATTTGGAACTGACATTCTCTGTGTAATTTCGTTCCTATTTATTTTTAAAGTTTCTTTGTACTTCACTGGAAAGGAAAGATGATGTTCAGTTATGTTAAAAGGATACAAGTTGCTTTTTTACAATGAAACTAAATGTGAACACACACGTGTATGAGTGCACGTGTGGGTACGCGCACACACACACAGGCACACACACTGCTCCCCTGCTGCGTGCATTTCCCACTGGATTGCAGAACGCACTCTGCTCCCTGCCCACGTCTGTCTGTGTTAAAGGGCATTGCCTGGCTCATTGCTGCCCTGGCTTCAACCACCCCCCACCTGCTCAGGCACTGTCTGGGTAGGGCACATGGTTGGGGTAAAAGCTTCCTCCCAGCCTCCCCAGTGGTACTAGTTCCCTCACCCTAGGACTTGCCTGTTATGTATCTGAATCTCCCACCACTGTAGGCCCCTTCGGAGTGTGCCCTGTCTTTTGGTCACAGTTGGTGTCTCCAGTGCCTGACACAACACAAGTGCTTTGTGCTTGTTGGACGAAACCATGGGAAAGTTGCTGGAGACAGGGGTTCATCCTCTGAGGGATGAGGATAGATGGTTGCCTTGAGTCATTTCTTCTGTGGAAAGGACAGAGAGAACTGGATCCACCTGAAGCAAAATCGTAAGGCAAATATTTCATCTTCAGTGATGGTCCTCAGCTCCCTGTTTGGGTAGGTTTTACCTTTTATCTATCTCTGCTTCCAGATATGGCTTTAGGTGTATCCCTACCTGTTGAGTTATCCTAGACATACAATTTATGAAAACACTCACACGAGAAAGGGCCTTGCTTAAGCCGAGGGGTGAATAAGGTTTTTGTTTTGTTTTGTTTTTGTTTAAGACAGGGTTTCACTCTGTTGCGCAGGCTGCAGTGCAGTGACACGATCATGACTCACTGTAGCCTTGACCTCCTGGGTTCAAGCAATCCTCCCACCTCAGCCTCCCAAGTAGCTGGGACTATAAGTGTGTACCATCATGCCTAGCTAATGAAATTTTTTTTTTTTTGGTGGAGTCTGGGTCTCACTATGTTGCCCAGACTGGTCTTGAACTCCTGAATGATCCTTCTGCCTTCGCCTCCCAATACATTTATAGTATCACCTTGTAATCCCTCCCCCATGTCTGGGAGGAGGCTGGTCAGGGCAGAACTGTGGACACTGGCCTGTGAGATCTTTGAGAGCCGGTACCCTAGCCCCTGCCTCAGGGCTGTGCGCAGGCTGGAGAGGTAGAAGGTGTTCCAAGAAAGTTTCGGAATGAATGAATGGAGAGTCCCTTGCTCCCTCCTGTATTTTAACTTCTGCCAAAATGGAGTTCTTATTTTTTCCTGTCAAAATGTAAATTCTTGAGATTCTTAGCAGTTTTGAGTGACATTTTCCTTGTCCTGGTATTGAAAAAGGCGATCCACCTAATACCGGTAGGGCCACTCACAGTTCTCTTCGAAAGCCCCGCATGGGATAAATGATGCTAATGTATGCATATTTACAGGCAACTAACTCCATACCCTAGTGAGCTACATAGCCTTGTGAGTTCAAAGTTAACCTTCCAACAATAGGAACAGAATTTTAATTGAAAAAGGTAATGTAGGCATCTGGCAGATGTGGTTTGTTTAGGCGGGATTCTATTAAGGAGTCACTGAAATGACTGTGTAGCTGTTCTAACAGATTCTTATTTAAATGAGATTTCACTTTTCCTTTTTTTTTTTTTTTTAATAAAGGGAAAATTGCCCGTGTTTGCAATGTTTTTCAATGAACTGAGATTTCTTTTTCCTTTTTTAAAAATTATAATTGATTTATTTTGTAAGGCAATATTGCCTAACATTCACAGGCTGATTCGAGTAAATTATTCACCAGCATTTTAATTTTTTGGGTTTTAGTGATACGCCAGCCTGTGCCTGCCTGGAGCTCCATCAGCTCCCTTCTCTCCACCAAAGTGCAGGGACACGGTGAAATCTCTGCAAACAACATGGATTGAAAGCTAGGGGACATTACTCTTAACTAAAGCCACAGAACACTAGGTTATTAATAAGGACACTTGATGGATCCCATCTCTAATCGGGGGTGGGAACGGGAGAGTCAGCAGGTGGCCTGCTAGTGCACAGGTCACTTGTTCTTCTCCTGGGGTTATCCTCCTTGCAATCAGGTGCACTATGCAGTCAGGCCTGTCAAATGCATACACAAAGGAGAGAATATTGATTTATTTAGGTGGATAAAATTATTTCTCCAAGTCCTGCTTTTCTGATTCAGAATATAGATTCAAACTGATTGCAGAAGTTGGAAGCCTCTGAAAAGTGCAAAAATCTTACATATATTATCCATATTAGCCCAAGAGTGAAGGTTGCCGTAAATACCAGGTCATCAATGCCAAGGGCAGATTGGGCTCTTCTCGGCCTTGTTGTCTGTCCCCTCCTCCAGTCCTCTCGGCAATGTCAGAGGGGCCAGGCAAGACTGAAGAAACCCACCATCTGGGGCATGGGTGGCCTGCCTGCCCCCGGCCTAAGGATCTCCAGGAACAGTCCTCTCTGGCCTCTTGCAGTGAGTACAGAACTTCTTGAGGAGCCACGGGCTCTCGGGAGCACAGCCTGGGGGAGTGCTCTGTGCCACCGGGTGGAGAGAAGGGGCAGCCCACTTGGAGTTTGCCCTCACACCGCCTGGCATTTCAAGGTGGCTGTGACTTCTGATTTATTCCCGGGTGAACAGGAAAGGACGCCTTCTCTCCTCATGGAAGAAAATGTTGAGTCCTTTTGGGACTCTCTGGCAGAATGCCCGCTCCAGAACAGCTGTCAATCGCTAGAACAACCCTAAGATCAGCGTGTTCCCCACGGGGCCCTTTTATTATTATTTTTAAATATTAATAGAACTAATTAAATATAGAGGTGTGCTCCAGCCCTAATCTGTGGTGTCTCATCTTTCCTCCCCTCCCTCCTCCTTCCCACTGTGCCTGAGTGTGTATTGTCAAAGTGTCAAGTGAGGAGGGAAAGAGAAAACCAGGCCAGATAACGCAGAATTGGTATGCTGGGCGAAGGCTGCGGACACAGGGGACTTCTTTTAATCCAGTCCATTAATCAATTTCTCTGTAGAAATTGAATTAACTGTCTTTCATCAACATCACATCCGGGGACTTGAAAACATGATGCGCATACAGCAATGTAAATGCAGCAGGCTTGCTTCCTTTCCCATGTAGGTGAACCTGCGGGGCTCTTGTTCTCTTGGTCCAGAGCGTGGGGAGTGGGAAGGATCTGAAAGTTAAATGGGTCTGGCCTTGGCCTTGGCCGGGTCTGCCTTGAACCTGGGATCCAGGGGAGACACTGAAGCAACCTGCTGTTTTGTTTTTCTTGCTCACAGCCACTTAGAAAGACTTCCTGCTCCCATCTCTCCTTTAACCCAAACACATTTGCCATTGAATATCAGTCTCACTGTCGTAATTTTTCTTTGGCCTTGAGTTGCAGAAAAAACCATCAGCCTGTTCCCTGCTGTACTCACAGCTGAGTCCTTCATCCCCGCTGAGACAGGGCTCTTTCACCGGGTCAGCGGACTCTAGCCTGCATGGAGAATATATCAATGCAAGTATGAAAGGATCTCTCTCAGCCTTTGAGAGAAAAATTTGGGCATTTCCATTTATTTATTTATTTGACACATAAAAATTGTGTATATTTATGGTGTATAACCTGATGGTTTGAAATATGCATACATTGTGGAATGGCTAAATCCAGCTAATTATCATATGTACTGCCTCATGTATTTATATGTAATGACATTTAAATCTACTCTTTCAGCAATTTTCAAATATACGATACATTGTTATTAACTACAGTCATTGTGTGGTATAATAGATCTCTTCAGCTTACTTCTCCTAACTGAAATTTTGTACCCTTTGATCATCATCTTCCCAAGCCCCTGGTAACCACCATTCTCTTTGCTCTATGAATTAGTCTTTTTAAGATTTAATATGTAAGTGACATCATAGGGCATTTGGCTTATTTTACAGACATTTCCATATGTGTATGGAGATGCAGTTGCAGAGAGAGGTTACGTGCAGGAGGTGCTCCATGGAGATTTGTGCAAAGGAGGTGCACTCTGCACTGCTTACCAAGGTGTATGAGTCCAGTGAGACAGAATACTCACCCACAAAATGTTACATGAAATGAGTTTATTATGTATAGACAGGCAGCAAGGGACAACAGAAGCTTAGAATTCACTGTGAGCTGGTCCCCCAAGGCTTAGGAAAGCTGCCTGGGGCAGATGGAGTCTCAGCGGTGTGTGCCCCACCTGAAGAGCAGCCTGTCCTGAGTTTCACACCCTGGGGCCCCATGAGCCACTGGACTAAAGTGTTGAAGGACAGCTTGTTCTGCAGGGAGATGGGAACTGGAACAGAGTCTGGACTGTTCTGGCCAGTTCCCTCTTATTTCAGGATTCTGTTCTGTTTAGCAATCCCAGAACATTCCACACTTACTCTTGAAAAATACAGGCAAGAAAGAGTAGAGAAGTGGGTCGCTCTAAGGCCATCTGGAGAACTGTCCTTCAATTTGAGTATTTCATTCATTGGATCAACCAACTAATAGATATTTATTGGCTTCCTGCATGGCAGATCCAGGATCTTTGCTATGTCCCAAGGGCACAAAGAGTAAAAAAATAAAATAAAATAACAAACTGATGCAGTCATTGCCCTTGAGAAAATGATTATCTGCTGGGGGAAAACTGGTAGAACAAGAATTCATAACACACCAAATACATATTCAAAGTTTTCAATTAATGTGGTGGGGAGGGAGAACAAAGAGGAAAGAGTGAATATTTGGCTTGATAGGGAAAGGGAAACAAACCATTTGCTACAAGGAGAGGGGGAATGGAAATAGATTCCAAGAGAATGGATGTTGCCCACTCTCTCATTCCATTCTCTACACAACAATCAGATTAAAATATGATGTCATTTCCATGCTTACAATCCCAGTGGTGTTTCCTTTCCCCCAGAATAACACACAAAACATTTTTTTTAAAAGCAGGGAGACCTCTCTGGTTATCCCTAGTACCTGCTGCATGATGGTCACCCCAGTGAAGTTTGGTGTGGGTACACCAAGCCGAGTCCAGCCTCCAAGGCTACACACCTGCTGTTCCTTCGGGCTGGAATACTTTCCCCTCATTCCCCTGCCCCTGCCCCTGCCATTGTCTGACCAAATCCCAAATTCTGTTCATCCTTTGGACATCTACAGGGAAAATTTCCCTGGCCTCCCAGGTGGGTTAGGCCCCCCAGTACATCCCTGAACAACAGCCTGGACTTCTTTTCTCTGAAACCATTGCATTCGTAATTAGTGTTTAACAGTCACATTCCTCCCCAGACTTTAGTTGCCAAGAGACAGAAGGCTGTATCTGTGTTGGTCACTTGGTAGGCATCAGGGCCTGGCCCATTGTTGATGCTTAATAAGTGCTCCATAGATATTCGCTGGATGAGTGGGTGAAAGGCTCATACTTAAAAGAGGCTTGCCTGGGGGAAATGGTGAGTGTGGCTAGCAAGTGGCTTGCTTCGTACGGGACAAGCAGCCCTGCGATGTGAGATTGGGCGGGATTGCATGTCAGGCTAAGGCATTTGGACTTTATCCTGTAGGCAGAAGGGGCCATGGAAGGCTTATAAGCAAGAGAGTGACTTAATCTGATTTGTGTTTTAGAAATACAACTCTAGGGCAATTGATTCCAGAGTTAACTGTCCTGAGTTGGCTCTGATTTGATTCCCCAGGTTCTCACTTCCCCAGTTAAGATAAGTGAGGGGAAACAAGACTTTCTGGGGTGGGCAGGCTCATCAGTTGACAGGGCATGTCGTCTTCTGCCTGTAACGCCCCCAACCCCCACTCTGCTCAAACCCCTTAGAGGCTCCTCATTCCCCATAGTTTGATTTTGAGGCACACTCGGAATGTGGTCGCTGCAGCTGCGTCTCATGAGCTGCGTTCTCTCCAGCCTTCCTTTCTTTGCTTGAGATCCCCCTCTGCCTGGAGAGCCCTCCCTACCATCTTTGTCTTTCTTAATACTGCCTGTCCTTCTTGGTCCAATTCAAGAATTTTTGAATGAATTGTCTTTAATGAAATAAAGGCAAAAACAAAAACAAAAACAAAAACAAAAACAAAAACAAAACAGGTGACCCCAATAGGGCCAACCAAGAATGGGGAGGATGGGGACGTGCCCTTCTACCTCACACCCTCCCCCATGTCCCTCCCCTGGGGGGCAGGCTCAAGGACACTGTGTATGCTCCAGTGTTCTCTGGAATCTTGCATCACTGCCCAAAATGCTTGGTCCTATACTATCTTCCTCCCTGTTGGTCTGAGTAAGATGCTGTTATTTTCATCCATGGAGCTCACAGTCCAGTGAGAAAGAAAGACACATGAACTCAATCTCCACTAGGGGGTGGAGAGAAAAAGGGGACAAGGTGGGGGTGTCAGATGTGGCTGGATAGGGAAGTCACCAGCCACAGGCTGCCAGACTGGAATAGACCCCAATGTGGAATAGCCTCTGGCTTTGGAGGAGGAAGATGAACTTAATACCTGGGTTTTGTTTTGTTTTGTTTTTGAGACAGTGTCTCATTCTGTCACCCAGGCTGGAGTAGAGTGGTGCAGTCTTGGCTCACTGCAACTTCTGCCCCCCAGGTTGAAGCGATTCTCCAGCCTCAGCCCCCTGAGTAGCTGGGACTGCAGGTGTGTGCCACCACTCCTGGTTAATTTTTGTATTTTTTTTAGAGATGGTGTTTCTTCATGTTGCTCAGGCTGGTCTCGAACTCCTGAGCTCAAAGTGATCCACCAGCCTTGGCCTTCTAAAATGCTGGGATTACAGGTGTGAGCCACCATACCTGGCCTCCCTGGGTTCTTTAATTCCCCTCTGAGCCTTGTTGGTGAACCGGGAAAAACAACGTCTGCTTGCAGGCTCATTGTGAGATCTGAGTGAGACACAGGGGCACAGTGCCTGGGCGAGGGGCTCCCCAGCAAGGCACGCCATCCATCTGCAGATGCGTGCCTTCCTTTACGTCCCAGGGGGTCAGGGTGGAGGAGCTGGCACAACGGAGTTGATGTGTGAATGTTTGATGAATGAATGAATGAGAGGATGAAGAGAGAGGAGAGAGTGGCAGTTGCTCCCGCTGTGAGACCCCACATGGGACCTGCTGCATCACAGCAGGCACTGCGGGTGAAAGAATGAACCCCCAGCTCTGTGCTCTGTAGGGACAGAATGCTCCCACAACAGGGAACCAGAGAAAGACAGGAATGGACCCAAACTGAAGTGGCTTAAATTAACTCATGCTTCTTTGGCATTCAGGCTCATCCATTTGAAATAAATTCAAAACTTATGAGTTTATTTATTTCATTTGGTTAGAAACCAAGACAATAGAGGGTGGAAGATACCAGTTTCCCTAGAAATATAACTTTTTCTCCCCCTTTCCTTTTTTCTTTTTTAAAAACCCTGGGCAACTGACCTAGTTTTTTATTCCCTTTGAACTCCACTGAGGCAGATCCTCTTCAAAGCAGGGTTGTAACATTCAGGTTCTTTGCTTTATATAGGTCAGGATGACTCTTCGAGTTACTAAAAAGGAAGACGAGCTGCGAACACCATCTTTTAAAGCTGCCTGAGTGCCCAGAGCTCTTTTGGAGTTTTCTCTCCTGGCTTCCTCCCTAGCCCTAAGCACTTAAGTCATGGCAGTTAGCAGGAAAAGTGTGGCGAAGGGAATGTTTCCTATTTGGTTTTCTACTAAATGACTTTTAGAAGGGAGCTGGAGGAAACAAAGCCTTGCGTGGTGTCTTTACATTGCTGGGGTCTCATGTTGGGGTGCAGTGGGGGAGTTACCTATCTTCCACACATCATGGGAACATCTGACCAAGAATCAGGGGACCTGTTCTTGAATGGTGTAATCTCGGATAAGTTACAAACTTCTTTGTGTTTTTTCATCTGAAAAGGTCCCCTTCGGCTCTTTGCTCCTCTGATAGTGCTATAATTTTGATGTGAGTTGAGGGTGGAAGAGAATCTTGCAAGGAACTCTAAAAATAGACACATCCTCCCTCCTCCCAAATAACACTATTGTTTCCTTGCTGTGCCATCCTTGCAGAGCAGGGCTGGGTGAATATACAAGGTCTTCTCCCTGTGTGATTTGAGTGATTCTTGATGGCGAGTCTGCTCCCAAATCTCTCCTGAACTGACATGCCTCTAGCTTGAAATTTCACCATTAGAAAGTCATTCCTTTGAGTAGGACATTACTGAATTCAAGAGTTTTAGGTTAAAAGGAATTTGGGGGATTGTGTTCATTTGAGGAGGAGTTTAGTTTATCAGACTCCCTTTCCAAAAAGACAGCTGGCTGAGGACACAGCAAACCAGGTAGATACATTCTGAAGCGTGCTAGTGGGACAGGCCGGCTTAGGTGATATTCTAGGCAAGTCCCCTCTTCCTGCAAATGAGCAACATGGGCCAGCATTCCAATTGTGCTGAGGCCTGGGGGCCCTGTTTGCATTTCGCTAGCAGGAAGGTACCTCAGAGTTCAACTTCAGGCCCTTCCTCCCCCTGGTCCCCACTTTCACCCCCATTTCCAGGATTCAACACTCACTCAGAAACTTGGTGAGCCCCAGAGTCCAGCCGAGTCAGGGTGTGTGCCTCACCCCAGCCCCCAGTATGCAGACCTGTCCCCAGCTCCCTCGTGCAAGCACAGAGGTGCTTCAGTTACTGCTGGCAGCCAGGGCCCAGGTGTGCGCCCTCTGTTTCTTAACGCAAGGTTCTCAGAGATGGCTATTACACATTTTAACAAATAGCAGGAACACTGAGGCAAGGACTTTTATAGCAATATGAACACTGTAATTTCAACCTTTTAGGGCAACCAATCTATGGAATCAAATCCAATAGGGAGGAGGCAGAGTTGAGTTTCAGCCGTGAACCTCTGTTGCCTGGGAAGAGGAATGTTCTGCAAAAACTTGGACTGAAAGCTAGGATACCACCCCCACCAGGGCTCGGTGCTGTCAGAAACACAAATGGCAATTCCTGGAGCTGATTCACTGAATAGAGCCCTGAAAGGTGAGCTCTTTTTCACACATTCAATCACATATGGATATGACCGATTTTTTCTATGGGCCCAGCCTTGTGAAGTGGTGGGGAAATCTCTGCTACCACCAGCATTAATACCATCTCTACAGTGACTAATACTGGCTAATATCATTGCTAGGTACCATGCTAAGTGCTTTGCGCAGATTTATATAATTCACATTGAGGCCAACTCTATGCTGTCGGTTCTATCGTTAGTCCATTTTTACATATTAAAAAATGAAGACTTAGGAAGACTCCCTTGCCTGAGGGTAGTAGCTTAAAAGTGGGAGAACGAGGGTCTTGTATTTGGAGAACCTGAGTCCAGAGCTAGTGTTGACTACTATTCCTCTCACAGTCTCTACAAAGATGAATAGCACCATCCCATGGTTTTTAGTTTTCTGGGGGGATGGGGGAGAAAGAACGTAAATAATTATAACACATGGTAAATACCATCATAGAGGTTGTACTGAGTTCTCTGAGAGCATTCATTCATTCATTAAGCGCTTCTTGTTGGTTATGGTAGTGAGCCCAAAGAGTTTAAAGACTCAGTCCTGATTTTGTAGAGATTATCGCGTAAGCATGCAAGACAGAATCATGAAAGAATCATGCAAATAAATGTAAATTTATGAAAGAAATTATGCAAATGAGAGAATCATGCAAATAAAATAATGAAAGAATCATGCAAATAAAGGTAAATTTAGTGGGGAGTGAGTAACTCGCTTCCCAGTGGGCTCAAATAAAGCTTCAAAGAGGAGGACACATTTGCTCTGGTCTGAAGCACGGGATGAATTTGCCAGGTGGGGAGAGTGTTGCAGATGGGGGAGAGAGAGAGAGCACAGGCAAGGCTCTGAGGTGTGGGGGAGAGGAAGGTGTTTAAGGAATGACGACAATTCCAGCAGGGATGGCTGGAGCATGAAGCATGTGGAAGGGAGAGGCGAGAAAGTTAGGTTGGGGTCAGCCTGTAAAGGGCCTTGTTTTCCAGGTAAGAAGCCATGAGAATGTCATCAGGTAGAGCTGGAGGCAGGTCCACACAGAGCTTGGGGTGGAGGATGGGCATGGGCCAAGGAAGGGGCACTTGGTATTTGATGTGATTGCCCACCCAATCCGGATGTAGGATGGGAAGGAGGAAGTTCCATATTTACCTCTTCAAATTGCACTTGGGCTTTATTGAGAAGGATCCTTTTGTGCTCAACTCCAAGATGGGAAGTAGTATAAGGATAAGGGTGGGACTATAGCTGGCAGCAGCTTTAGACATCCAGTTCAACTCTCTTGTTTAACAGAAGAGGAAATTGAGGCCTAGAAAGGGAGAGGGGAGTAATTTTACCAGAACAAGGGACAGTGATTAGGCTTCAACCCATGTTTCTTAGTGGTCAGCCCATTGCTTCTTTTAATTAGTTAATGTAACACTTCCTGAACACCCACCATCTTCCTTGCACATTTGAGTTTGGGCTTATCTAGAGTTAGGAATTTCTGAATGACTGGAGTAGGTCCTAGGTCAGAGAGAAACTTAAAAAAAGGTCCAGGCTTGTATTTGTCATTTTCAGGGCATCTACACTTGTGCACCCTGCCTAGCACCTCAAAACTCAACATCCCCAAATCAGACTCATGATCCTGACCCTCAAACTTCACCCGCTTCCTCATTTTCTATTTATATGAAAGGAACCACAACATTTCCAGGTATCTAGTCTATAAATCTCAAGAAATGGCACATAGAATATGACACTGGACACTCATTGAGTAAAGAATGAAAACAGATGGTGATTCTAAGAATGTAAATGTTAGGTATGGTCAGGTAAAGTCAGTGTGGCCACAGGAGGAAAGGAGACTGAGGTCTGGAAGGGAGATGTTTCTCCTACTCACAGGTCTTACTGAGTAGGGTCACCCTGTGTTGTGCAGGGCCACAGGGGTAGCACCAGGCTTGGGTCAGGTGGCAGAAGATGGAGCAAGGGGAAAACCTGACCCATAGGCTTTGGGGTTTCCATGGAGAAGGCAAGGCAGGGAAAAGTAAGCAAATTGGTGAGTTTGACTAATTCCGGTAGGCTTTGGGTTATAAGGGCAGTCTCAAGTTGCCTAGTACCTGGCCCTGGGATGATTTAGGACAGAAGAAATATTAGCTTGGTATGTGAGCCTTAGACAGAAAGGTATTTGGGGCTGTAGACTCAGGATTGGTAGGTTTGCATATGAAAGCCGCCTGGGGGCTGAGCATTTTGTTATCTCTAAGACTTGGCTAGCCCTGGGAGTGGCAGTCTTCCAGCTAGTAAATTTTTAAATTTATGATGTTAAAAACATCATAAAATGCAAGAAAAAAATCCCCACAACCAATACAATACTTTTTTCCCCTTTTCTCTTATTCCCCACACCCAGGTACTAGCTACTCTTATCTGTTCTGCTGTAACACTCTCTGGTGCTGACAGTTCCTTGGAGAGCTCCCCTCCACCCCTCCACCCCTCCATCCCTCCAGTGTTAATGATTGTATCCAAAAGAGATCTGGCCAGATGGAGATGGCTTGGGTTGCGTTAGTTCTAACCTGGCTCTTTAAGGTGTTTGTATCATCTTCCCTGTGACTGCCTCTCTGCTCTCAGGTAATTTTCTCCCTTCAATGTTTCTTGGCCATCTTCAAGAATCCAGTGACAAGCCCCCACTGGAAATTCTGGGTATTTAGTGTTCTCTACACCCTGACCCCATGGACTCCCCTTCCAGGTTTCTCTCTTGCCCTTCCTTTTCTCAAACAGCACTTACTGCTAGGTCCTCCACCTCGAGGGGCTTCTGCTGTGGCACCCAGCTATTCGAGCATGATCTCTACAATGAAGCCTGGTTTACATTCACACAGCTTATCCCAATCCCTTCAGCAGGAATTAATAACCTCATCCCCTGCACCCCTACGGTGCTACTGATTTTTGATGATTCAATTTGTCTTGTGTTTTGTGATAATTTCATTGGGATGTGGCAAAGGCAGTGTGATATAGGCTGGGCAGATGGCCCCATTCATCTCTGCTCCTGGTGCCCCTTCCATCCTGGGGGCCAGTTGTCTAAGCCGGTGCTATAAGCCTGAATCAGGATCCAAATGGATGCTGGTCTTTTCTCATCTTTAGGATGCCACCTCACCCTTTATCCCATGCACAGGGTCAAAGTGATGCTTCAAGCAGCTCTAGGACTCACACACCTATGGGCTATACTGAGGCCCTGTGGCTGCACTCCAGAAGAGCATTCTGTTGAGTGTATCTCTTTCACTGGCAGGCATGACATTTCTTTCTTAAGTGTGCATGAGATTTGGTTGCAGGAATGGTGCTGATATGCTGATTGCAGATAGCTCTTGCCTATGTCAGGCCGAGGATGAATTTGGGGCTCTAATCTGCCTCGGGTCCATCAGCAACCCTTGGGGCTGAGCCTCATGCACAGACTCTTGCCCGAATATGTTCTGCCTGCAGTGTCACCTCCAGTCTACAGCACCCTAAGGTGATGGCGATAGTGGCAGGGGTCTTTTACATTGCACACCCCTGCTACTGGCATCTGAGGTGGTCCCTCATCCCCTCTGTGCCATGTATCAGGTAGTCCTGATACAAAGTAGACTTGCATTTGTGACCTTCATCAGGGAAGCACGGTAGCAGCTTTGAGAGGTATTGCAAACTTGAGGGCAATACCTCTCAAGGGCAGTGTGTTGAGGGAAGCATGTGGACAGTGAAGAGTCCCATACAGTGATATAATTGGTGTGAAATACACAATTCCAGGGAACAGCAGAAGCAAGAAAACCTTTATGGTTTCTGGGCAAATAGGTTTCAAAGAGCTACAGTATTATAAGTAAATAACAACATTGCTATCTTTTTCTTTTTTCTTTTTTTGAGACAGAGTCTCACTCTGTCATCCAGGTTGGAGTACAGTGGGGTAATCTTCACTCACTACAACCTTCACCTCCCAGGCTCAAGTGGTTCTTGTGTTTCAGCCCCCCGAGTATCTGGGGATCACAGGCATGTGCCACCACGCTTGGATAATCTTTGTATTTTTTAGTAGAGACAGAGTTTCTCCATGTTGGCCAGGCTGGTCTCAAACTCCTGGCCTCAAGTGATGCGCCTGGCTCGGCCTCCCAAAGTGCTGGTATTACAGGTGTGAGCCACTGTGCCCAGCCTTCTATCTTATTCCTAAGGTGAGAGATGGAAAGTTAGCCAGGAATGGCACATTTGTTAAAGAGCACGAGGAGATGGTTTCTGGGCATGAGAAGGAAGAGATGCTGCCTGTACTCTACAAAGAATCATCAGGCACACCAGTTGGTCAATAAAGATACATCTCTTATTCAAAACTAGGAATTGACAAACTTCAGCCTGTGCCCGCCATAGTCCAAATATGGCCATCCCATTCGTTCATGTATTTTCTGTGGCTGCTTTCTGTGCTATAACAGCAGAATTGAGTGGTGATGACAGAGACTATATGGTTTGCAAGGCTGAAAAAAAAATGTTTATTATCTAGCCCTTACAGAAAAAGTATGCTGACCTCTACTCTAAATCTTCATCCATAAATCACTACACCTTACATGGATCCATAGATTATTTTTTTAACCTCTTATTTTGAAACAACTTCAAACACAATTTGTGTGTGTGTGTGTCTGTGTGTGTGTGTGTGTGTGTAGTACTAACAATTCTCATATATTCTGCCCCAGAAACCCCTTTCATGTTTTTCCAATTGACCCAATAACATCTTTAATAGCAAAAGGATCCAATCTCAGGTAATGAGGTCTGTCATGTCTCTCTAGAATCCTTCAGTCTGGAACAATCTATGAGTCCCTCCTTGACTTTCATGACCCTGACTTTTATTTTTAACTTTTTATTTTCAAATTATTATGGATTGACAGGGAGTTGCAAGAAGAGTCCAGAGAGGTCCCATGCACCCTTTGCCCAGTTGCCCTAATAATCCTGTGTTAGGATTTGCCAGAGAAACTGAACCAATAGGGTGTGTGTTTATGTGTGTGTGTGTGTGTGTGTGTGTATGTGTATGTGTGTGTATGTAAACAGAGAGAGAGAGATTTATCATAAGGAATTGGCTCACATGATTATGGAGATTGGTGAGTTCAAAATCTACAATGTGAGATGGTCAAGCTGGAGACCCAGGAGAGCCATTGTTGCAGATGAAGTCCGAAGGCAGCGTACTGGAGGATTCCATCTTACTTGGGGAAGCTGGTCTTTTGGTTCTTTTCAGGCTTTCAACTGATTGGATGAGACCCACCCACATTATGGGGGGCAATCTGTTTACTTGAAATTTACCCATTTAAATGTTAATTTCATCCCTAAACACTCTCCAAGCTGACACATAAAATCCAGTGTCGCACCCTTTACGGTAACCGCTTACGTAGGTATAGTATAATATCAACCAGGAAATTGACATTGGATCCATGGATTTTATAGCCCATTTTAAAATTAAGATTTCTTTATTTTATTTTATTTTATTATTATTATACTTTAAGTTTTAGGGTACATGTGCGCAATGTGCAGGTAGTTACATATGTATACATGTGCCATGCTGTTGTGCTGCACCCATTAACTCGTCATTTAGCATTAGGTATATCTCCTAATGCTATCCCTCCCCCCTCCCCCCACCCCACAACAGTCCCCAGAGTGTGATGTTCCCCTTCCTGTGTCCATGTGTTCTCACTGTTCAATTCCCACCTATGAGTGAGAATATGCGGTGTTTGGTTTTTTGTTCTTGCGATAGTTTACTGAGAATGATGATTTCCAATTTCATCCATGTCCCTACAAAGGACATGAACTCATCTTTTTTTATGGCTGCATAGTATTCCATGGTGTGTATGTGCCACATTTTCTTAATCCAGTCTATCATTGTTGGACATTTGGGTTGGTTCCAAGTCTTTGCTATTGTGAGTAGTGCCTCAGTAAACATACGTGTGCATGTGTCTTTATAGCAGCATGATTTATAGTCCTTTGGGTATATACCCAGTAATGGGATGGCTGGGTCAAATGGTATTTCTAGTTCTAGATCCCTGAGGAATCACCACACTGACTTCCACAATGGTTGAACTAGTTTACAGTTCCACCAACAGTGTAAAAATGATCAAGTGGGCTTCATCCCTGGGATGCAAGGCTGGTTCAATATATGCAAATCAATAAATGTAACCCAGCATATAAACAGAACCAAGGACAAAAACCACATGATTATATCAATAGATGCAGAAAAGGCCTTTGACAAAATTCAACAACGCTTCATGCTAAAAACTCTCAATAAATTAGGTATTGATGGGACGTATCTCAAAATAATAAGATTTCTTTATATAGACAGGACTCTACCAAAAAACATTTGCCCAGGGTAGCCCTGCTTGCAGTTTTCAACCTTCGCTCCAGGGAATTGTAGACATTCGATAAAAGCAATTCCCAGCTGCCTCTGAAGTATGGGAGAAGTTAGGGGGTTGTTTCCGGGCCCCCTCCCTGCTCTTGACAGAGCTGTTCTCTTTCATCTTTGTGGCTGATTGAGTTTCACTTGGAGGAAAGGTCTCATTGCTAAAACAGTTTGGCTTTCTGTGGCTCCTGGCCATTTTTAGGGCACCTCTGATACATACTTCTTGCCAACATTTTCTCCAGACCTGCTTCTTGTCCTCCCCGCTGGCTCCAAGCACGTCCTTCAGCCTCTTGAGTTTGATGCCTGCCCCTGACCTCCCACCAGGTTTGATCTAACACATGCTTTTGGTATCTCAGGCCTTGGCTACCTTCACTTCTCCCCATTTTCTTCCTCCTCTGACCTCCAGTTTCCCTAATATCTCAGGTGAGATCTTGCTTTCCTTTCCTAGCCATAGAGAGCCCCATTTCCTACTTTTGCTACTGGTCACCTTTCTTGAGAAATGGGCAGTAGGTTAAATGCCCTTTCTCCTTCTTCTTTTTTTTCTTTTAGACGAAGTGTCCCTCTTTTGACCAGGCTGGAGTACAGTGGAGCGATCTCAGCTCACCGCAAACTCCACCTCCTGATTCTCCTGCCTCAGCCTCCCGAGTAGCTGGGATTATAGGCCTGCACCACCATACCTGGCTAGTTTTTGTATTTTTAACAGAGACAGGGTTTTGTCATGTTGACCAGGCTGGTCTCGAACTCCTGACCTCAGGTGATCCGCCCATCTTGGCCTTCTAAAATGCTGGATTATAGGCATGAATCACCGTGCCCGGCCTGCCCTTTCTTCTTTATCAAAATTTACTTCTTCCTAAAAATTATCTCTAAAACACATCAGATATGATTATGTCACAAGACCACAACCATAGTGGGATATTTGAATAAACTATTTCAGTCTTTGATCAAGTAGATTAAATGTCAAATAAGATTACAGAAGATTTCAGTGATTTGTAAATAATTTTGATTTTTTGATAGATATTAAATTTTTAAAATCATACTCTTGCTAAATACATTGTTTTATTTGCTTTTATCATCTACAATGCCAAAATTTGCTAACTTCTAGCTTTTACAACTAACATTCAGTTTTTAATTAGAATATTGGGTACCTTAATGCTTGAAAATAACTTTACATTTCTAATTATTTAAGGTTTATGCCAAAATAAAAACTGTTGACCTCCCTAAACAACTTGAGGCTTTTTGTTTCCTTTTCCTTTTTCTCTTTCTGCTTTTTGTTTCTTTATTTGATTTATTTCATCAAATTTATAACCACACCTAAAGCAAATTATTTGGACCATTCTACTTAGTTTCAATGTTTATTACCAGGCTTTTTGAGGTCCCCCATCTTCCTACAACTCTTCTATTCTTGATTCCAGTGTTTTAGAGAATGTTGTAAGAAGTTTTTCAGAAAGAGAACTCAAGTATACTTTCTAAACTTAGAATGTTTAAAAACTGATTTTCTGTTGTCATTATGTATAAAATAATTGGGTCACATCCTTTTCCCATAATGCCAGACTATTTTTTCCTTTCTATTTAGAGATTGTTACCAAGTCTATCCTTTACAACACTGATTGATTTTCTACAGTGTTGAATCCAGTGTGGAACATAATTTAGCTGTTATGTTTCTTCATGAAATTTCTACTTATTTTGCCTAAAATTGGCAAAGTCCTCTCACATTTTTATTGCACACATGAAACATATTTCCTATATTTTCTTCTGTTCCCTACAGTGAATAGGACAGATTCTTCTCTGAGAACTGAGCACGTTGCTCTCCTATACTGCAGAATGTTTTTGAACGTTTTATATTTACTCAATGATTCACTTAACAAATATATGTTGAACAGTACATGCCAGGCACTGTTCTAGGCACTTAGGGACATAGTGATTAATAAAAAAAAGACAAAAATCTTTGCCTTTCATAGAATGTATACCCCAATCTCCCAGTGAAGATTGACATTAAACAAAATTAAATAAAGTACACAGAATGTTGAATAGCGATGAATGCTAAGGAGAAAAATAAGGCAGAAAGAGCAGTAGGCTAAGTGTTGGGGGGGTTAACATTTTAGGTAGAGTGGCCAGAGAAGCAGATGAGATTGAATAAAGATATGAAGGAAATGAGGGAAGAATTTATCAGCTATCTGGGGAAAGAGATCTGAAAGACAGGCAGCAATTGATAGTGCAAAGGCCCTGAGGCAGGAACCCGCCTGGCATGTTCTAAGAACAGGAAGGGTACAATGGGCTAGAGCAGAGCGAGCAAAGGAGAGAGTGGTCAGAAATGAGGTGAGTGACACAACAGGGGCAGATCCTGTAGGATCTTGAATTCCATGTGAGGATGTCAGGTTTTACTCTGGGTGTGGTGGGAAAGTTGGAGGAGAGATATGACATCATATTTTGATAATTCACTTTGGCTAGTGTGTTGAGTTTAGTGGGGAATGGCAGAGACTGAGAAACCAGTTAGGATGCTATTGTCATAATCTAGGAGACATTAGGTGGCTCGAACAGAGGATTAGCAGTAGGGGCTGTGAGAAATGGTCAGAGTTTAGCTATATTTTGAAGACAGAAAAGGATTCTGGGAGATCGAATCAGTGTGTGAGATAAAGAGTGAGTTAATACTGAATCTGGGGTTTTTGGACTGAGCACCTGAAAGGTGGAGTTCCATTAACTGAGATGGAGGAGAGGTGCAGCAGGCTTGGTGGGCAGGAATCTGGAGTTCCATTTTGGTCATATTAAGTTTGAGATGCCCATTGGACCCCTGGGTGGGATGATGAGTAGGCAATTTGATATATGAACCTGGAATTTGAGTGAAAGGCTTAGGCTGAGATGTATTACATTTGGGAGCCATCAACTTATGGATGGTAGCTAAAGCCATGAGAGCAAATGACATGAGCAAGTGAGAGTGGGGCATCCCCATGTTGATGGGCCATGGAGAAGAGAGTGACAAGCAAAGGAGACTGAAAAGGAGTGGCGGAGAGACAGGGAGAAAACTGGGCAATTGTGGTATGGCAGATGCCAAGGAAGAAAGAATTTACATGAGGAGGGTGATCAGCTGTACTAGTGCTGCAGATTGGGTCAAATAATGAACAACTGAGAATTCACCACTGGATTTAGCAACATGGAGGTCACTGAGGTCTTAGAGAAAAGCAACTCTGAGGAGTGATGGGAGCAGAAGCCTGATTGGTGTGAGTTTGGGAGAGAACTAGAGGGAATTGGAGACACAGATAGGCCTACCCTTTGAAGGTCTTTTGCTATAAAAGGAAAAAGATAAAAGGGGGGCACTGAGAGTAGAAGTTAGGTCAAGAGAGGGTTTTCTTAGTGGAAGAAATAACTTGTGTTTGTATCCTATATTAGTTTTCTATGGCTGGGTAACAAATCACTCAAACTTACTGGCTTAGAACAATATGAGCATACTATTATTATTAACTTTTATTTTTATTGTTTATTATACGTTAAGTTCTAGGGTACATGTGCACAACGTGCAGTTTGTTACATAGGTATACATGTTCCATGTTGGTTTGCTGCACCCATTAACTCGTCATTTACATTAGGTATTTCTCTTAATGCTATCCCTCCCCCAGCCCCCACCCCCCAACAGGCCCTGGTGTGTGATGTTCCCCACCCTGTGTCCATGTGTTCTCATTGTTCAACAACCACCTGTAAGTGAGAACATGCTGTGTTTGGTTTTCTGTCCTTGTGATAGTTTGCTTAGAATGATGGTTTCTATCTTCATCCATGTCCCTGCAAAGGACATGAACTCATCCTTTTTTATGGCTGCATAGTATTCCACGGAGTGTATTATTTTATGGCTTCTTTGGGCCATTAGTCCAGGGATGGCAAAGCTGGATGCCTCTGGCTGAAGGTTTCTCATGAGGCTGCAATCAAGGTGTTGGCTGGGCTGGGTCCCTTTCTGGAGCAGGTGGTCTTCTTCTAGGCTCACATGGTTGTTGGCTGAGCTCAGTTCCTTGCAGCTGTAGGACTGAGGTCCCTGTTTCCTTGCTGGCTGTCAGCGTGGGGCCACTCTCATCTCTGAGCTGCCACTCATAATTTTCAGGCCCTGATAGCACCTGGCAGCTCATGCCAAGGCCAACTGGAGACTTCTTGGCTCAGTCAAGGCCTTAGCCCTCTTCTAAAGGCCTTTCTTTTGGTTAGACCAGACCCAGCCGGCTAATCTCCTTTTTGAGGAACCTGAAGACAACTGAAGGGGGAACTGAATCACATCTGTGAGATGCTCTCACCTTTGCCATATAAGGAAATATAGTCCAGGGAGTTATACAACAGCCCTTTTGTCATATTTTCTGGGCTAGAATCAAGTCATAGATTCTGCCTGCAGTCAAGGGGTGGGAGGTGCACAAGTAGGTGACTCACTGGGGGTGTCCAACACATGTGCCTGTAGTAAGAGATCAGTAGAGAGAAAAAATGTGATGATACAAGGCAGAAGAGGGGAGAATGCTGGGGCAGTGTCCTTCAGTGGGTGAGAGGGGACAGGAGTGAGTGCACACACAGATGGAGACATGGGGCTGAGCTCGGAGGACAGCCAGGCAGTGCACAACAATGGGAATCAAGGCAGGGAGATTGAATGTCTATAGCTGTGTGTGTGATAGCAGAGCTTGGGGAATGCCTCTCTTCTTGCTATTTCAGTGTCCTCTGTGAGATAAGGTGGGAGGGTGATAAAGGGCTGAGAGTAAGGATGGGAAGAAGGCCTTCGGGTTTACTTTAACATATGCTTATATTTCTTTTTTTTTTTTTTAATTTGAGATGGAGTCTCACTCTGTTGCGCAGCCTGGAGTGCAATGGCAAGGTCTGAGCTCACTGCAACCTCTGCCTCCCAGGTTCAAGTGATTCTCCTGCCTCAGCCTCCGGAGTAGCTGGGATTACAGGCACCTGCCATCATGCCCGGCTAATTTTTGTATTTTTGTAGCGACATGGTTTCACTATCTTGGCCAGGCTGGTTTTGAACTCCTGACCTCAGGTGATCCACCCACCTCAGCCTCCCAAAGTGCTGGGATTCAGGCATGAGCAACTGCGCCTGGCCTAATATATGCTCATATTTCTCATCATATAGCTGATCTGTCTATATTTATTATAATGTATTTTGGCATCATTTTTATTTGCTGTCTAATCTTTATGGAGAGAGAAAAGGGAACCTAAAGACTTGGTGTCGGGGATACATTTGAGATGAATGGACAGGCTGGAGCTGTCACAGGGTGCTTAGACACCAGGCTGAATCACTTCATGTAAGGACTAGATGAGCCACTCAGGTCTTGACCCAAGGAAAAATCAAAATATCAACCAAAATGCACATAGAGATGAGGCCACTGGCTCAGGATTGAGTAGGGGTGGGGATGGTGGTCTAATCACCATGGCTCGTGGCACTCATGCGTTGAGGACACACTTAACAAGTGATTCAGAATCTGGAGCCACTAGGCTAATAGATATTGCATATTCAATATTTTCATTTATGGCTCATAAATGCAGGGCTTGTCCTGACTTAAAAACTGCACAGAATACCTGTATCACAATGCATTTTCCCCACAAAATTTCCCAGGTAATTAGTTTTATGGAGTATTGCCATTTGGCACATCTTTACCCCCTTTCCAAGCACTCCTGGGGATAGCTAAACTACTGGAAGAGAAATCTTACCACATAGCTATATGTAGAATTTAAATGCACATAAAACAGTCTGTAGTAGGAATAGCAAGCTTTCCATGTAGAGTCTGTATAGAGAAACAGAATGTGCAGACAGCTCCAAGTTTAGAACTCCATTCATCTCACCCACAGTCATTGATAATTTCTCTACGGCATCCCCAGGGTGGCACATGAAACCTTGGGAGAGGCTTGTTTCTCTGGCTAGGCTGCTCACCTTCCTGGTTTTTCTAGAATTCCTTGCTTCCATTAACTTTCATCCCCTCTGTCTTTAGATTTATTCTAGGCACATCGTCACCCCACCTTCCCCAGCCCCAATCATGGAGGTAGCAGGAGCACCCTCTCCAAACTACATCTTTTCCCGCTGCAGGGACCCTGGCCTGGCCTACCCCTGCTGAGCAGTCTTCACTTTCCATTATCAGTAAATCCATGGGTTATGCAGCCCGTGGGTCTACAGTCAGTGTGTTCCGTATTGGAGCCTAATATGTTGCTGCACTCATTTTGTGATGGGGAAGAAGGGTGTAAGTTGTTTTTCTGATGGCTATTGTTTTGTTCCTCTCTTTCTCTATAGCTTTCTGCTGCTTAATAGCTGGAAAGAAGGACATTGAATATTCCCAGCACAAATAAATGATGAGTGTTTGAGATGATGGAAATGCTAAGCTACCCTCATTGATCACTATACATTGTATGTATAGAAATATTACTGTGTACCCCTTAACTATATACAATTATTATGTGCCGATTAGAAAATAAAACTTAATAAATGTGATTTTTCTTCCTATTGTAGGCTAGGAAGGCTCATAGCTAGGGAGGTTTTATGTCATCCCAAGTAAGAAGAGTGTCCCTCTGGATTGGCCAAGCTGGAGGACACCCTGTGTGACACTCTACACACAGCTGGCAGGTCACAAAGTTCTGACAGCAGTTTCCAATAAGGATCTGTTCCCCCAACCCTAAATCCACGGGGCTGGGACTGAAACCACCCCCATAGGATTGACAAGAATTGCATGTCAAGTTCTGGACAGAATTACAATTATAATTAAGCATTCATCAGGTTGCGTTTGGTCCAGTCCCTTGTTGCTAAAAGTCACTAGATATTGACCATGTACATCCCCATTGTTCCTATAGACAGGATCTCTGACATTAGATTCATAAGCTTTTTGTTTAAAGATCCCTTAAGATGTTTCTTATACCTGAATTTCAGCAACCAGTTTGGAGACCCCCAGAGAGGAGTGGGACCCGCATGAGAATGCAGCTTCTTCACCTTCCCATCCCATGATGTCACTCTGCACTCTTAGACCAATCAACAATCTCCAAACTTTGGCTCACTCCAAAATCCTTAAAGGGCCTAACTCCAAGTTCCTCCCATCTGCTTGTTTGGTGATGCTATAGTTAAACCTCCTTCTGTGCTGCAACTCAGGGTCTCAGCATATTGACTTGTTATGTGCATTGGGCAATGAACCTATTACGGTTACAGAGCCTGCTCTAAAGGTATCACAGTAGAATTTCCCCAAAGAAAACTGACCTTCTTTAGTCAGCTGAGGGTTATGTGAGTGGCCGTATTGGTTTTGCAAAGGCTGGTAGGCCTGTATTACCCTGTGAGTTGTAGAGTCTTTGGTAATTTGATCCAGTCCTTGCCTGGCCAAGGAGGTTTGATTTACATAAGGAGCTCCAGGGTCCAGGTGGAGGAAAAAAATTGGTCCCTTCTAATCCCTTCTCCCTGGGATTTGGATGAATAGAGCACTTTAGGGTGTGTTAAAGGGTGCAGGAAGGGCCACAAATGCCTTGAAAAATGTAACAAATTTAAGGCAAAGGGGTGCCAAGTCTGGTGACCTAGGACCATCATGGGAAGGAAGGATGTTTTGATGCAGCAGGTGGCTGATGGCAGGAGTCTCTCTGGACACAACTTACCCACATAATGATTGATTTATTCAATAAGTGTTTATGGACTATACCATACACTGGTCTGGGCTTTGGGTTTACATTGATGGATAAAATCTGTACGGTCTCTATCTTTGGAGCATTGACAACATGGTTGTCTTCCGAGAACAGTTGCTGAGCATAAGTGCTGAGTCTGGGATGCCCACTGTGAAAGGAGAATAAATCTTGGGACCCCCAAATCACTAAGCCAAAGGGAAAAGTCAAGTTGGGAACAGCATCAGGCAAACCTGCCTCCCATTTTATTCCTAAACAAGATAGCTACAAAGATTTAAAAAGGCTACATACCTCCCTCACAATTTGCGCACTAGGAAATTCCTTGTGAGCCTCCAAATCTTTACCCTAAAAACGTTCTGTTGAATTTTACCCTGACAACGTAAGTTGATAGCTTATCTTCACAGGTGTGGGACAAAGGACAGAACCCTAAGTCATCCCTCTGCTCACCTGAGACAAATGCATATCTGATTGCTTCCTCTGATGCAAAAATGCAGATTCACTGAGCCAGACTAAGTCATAAGTGACTATTCCTCTGCCCGCCGCACCCCCCAGATGTAAATTGTGTATCCAGTGAAAGGCAGATCAACGACTCAGAAGAATGCAACTGTTTGTCTCTTATCTACCCATACTTTAAAAATATTTCATCCTCTATGCCCAATACCACTCTTTCCCCTTTAAATACTGAAGTTCTCAAAATCACCTTTGGAGAAAAGCAGAGACCTGCCTCCTGGGCATGAGTACTTAACCTGGGCTAAATAAACTTTCTAAATTGATTGAGACCCATCTCAGATACTTTTTGATTTATTCTGCCTAGGGCTCCCCTGCCACCCTAGAGGGGCCGAGATTCTCACATCAGTGGTCACACATTTTGTACGCTGTGCTGTACTAGTTTTGAAGGAACTAGAATGGGGTAACCGTAAGCAATCAAGGAGGACAAGGCATGAGATGTGGGTGGTTGTTCTGAGGGCAGTAAGATGAGCTGAATATGAACAGGTTGCTGGGCTGTGGGATGGAGACTGGCTTGAAGAGGCGGCAGGGTGGATGTGGGGAGCCTCTAGGAGGCTTTGCGGTAGTCTAGGCCAGTGGTCTTTATGTTGTGTGATTATGAACTCCACCAATGGAAAGACATTGAGCTGGTACTTCCAATGTGTATATTTTACAATTGATTTCCAAAAAGTATACTAATCTATTATAAGCCTTATTTCATATATATGTGAAAAATATACAATAGAAACGTATATTTAGGCTGGGTAGAGTGTCTCATGCCTATAACCCTAGTGCTTTGGGAGGCTAAAGTAGGAGGATTACTTGGGGCCAGGAGTTCAAGAACAGTCTGGGAAAGATAGTAGCAGCCCTTCTCTATAAGAAATGAAAAAAATAGCTGGGAGTAGTGGCACATACCTGTAATCCTAGCTACTTGGGAGGCTGAATTGGAAGGATTGCTCGAGCCCAGGAGTTTAAGGCTTAAGGATGTAGTGTGCTATGATCACACCATTGCATTCAAGCCCGGGGAAAAAAAAGTTATCTATTTATCTGTTACACATATAAAATATACATAAAGAATATAAAATGAACAATATTGATTTAAAGATAAAATATTACTTAAAGTATTTTTGTTTTAACTTATTTGTTAATGCCTCAAAAATGTGATTGACTATGCTTCACAACGTTTATTGTATCTTGGTATATGACTTTGTGACTAAACAATTCAAGCATCAATTTTTAAGTAGAGTTTATTTCAAGATTTAGTTTTCTTATCTGTCCATTGCTGGAAAAGACATTTTGCAAAGATATGCAGATACAAAGGCAAGAAACACTTCATTGGTTATACTTACTAAACCATGTTGAAAACAAAACCTTGTTTCTTTTTTTTTTTTTTTTTTGAGATAAAGTCTTGCTTTGTCACCCAGGCTGGGGTGCAGTGGTGCGATCTTGGCTCACTGCAACCTCCGCCTCCTGGTTTCAAGAGATTCTCCTGCCTCAGCCTCCCAAGTAGCTGGGATTACAGGCACACGCCACCATGCCTGGCTAATTTTTGTATTTTTAGTAGAGATGGGGTTTCACCATGTTGGTCAGGCTGGTCTCGAACTGCTGACTTCGTGATCCGCCCACTTCAGCCTCCCGAGGTGTTGGGATTGCAGGCATGACCCACTGTGCCTGGCCTGTTTAGTACTTTTCTCTTCTCCTTTATGTCGGTCAGTTGTTCTTTAAGGGTCAGAAGATGCTGCATTTTTTGTAATTTTAACAAACTTGTTAAAAAATTAAAAACTTAATTTGAACGATTTTAGACAGGGTAGAATAGTCTATTTTCAACTTTTTAAATTGTGTCTACATGAGAAATTTTAGAAGTAAATGACTTGTATCATTTTTTGCAACAAAATGTAACAATTTTAACATTTTCAAATACCTATTTCAAGATGCTCTCTCCTTAGCACAAGATTCCTTGAAAGGGATTCTTCACATTCATTCCTAACACACTCAACTTTTTTTCTTTTTATATTTTGGAGACAGGGTCTCACTGTCTCCCAGGCTGGAGTGCAGTGGTGCCATCATAGCTCACTGCAGCCTTGAACTCCTGGGCTCAAGCAACCCTCCTGCCTCAGTCTCCCAAGTAGCTGGGACTACAGGTGGGTGCTACCATGGCTGACTAATTTTTTAAACTTTGTGTAAAGATTGGATTCTGTTACATTGCCCAGGCTGGTCTTAAACTCCTGGCATCAAGTGATCCTCCTTCCTCAGCCTCCCAAAGTGCTGGGATTACAGGTGTGAACCACCATACCTGGCCCTAAAGCGTTAAACTTTGAAGGAGGTTGATTCAATATGTTTATGTTTTGAAACCATCTATTAGGAAGCATGTTATTGATAGCCACATGCTAGACCAGAACACCAGCAAATTGGGAGCACTTGGCTCTTTTTTTGTAAAGGAAATGAACAATTTAAAGTTATAGCATACTATGCATTTGGGCAGGTGATCATCTTTGGGGGGTAAAAAGAGTTCAAAAGGTTTTTACAGTCACTTCCTATCTTGTTAAGAAGGGTTAGGAAGATTCTAGTACCATCTGAAAAAGAGCATTGTAAGCTGAGCGTAGAAAACCAACAGCATGGTGAAAACATAAATTGTACCCACTGTGTAAAACAGTGTGGAGGTTTCTCAAAAGATTAAAATGAGAACTATCACGTGATCCAGCAATTCCTCTACTGGGCATATACATCCAAAGGAAAATCCAAAATCTGCATCTCAAAGGGATGCCTTCACTCCCTTATTCATTGCAGCATTATTTATAAGCCAAGCATTATGCATATGGCTAAGATAGAAAAATAGTTCAAATGTCCCTTGATAGATGAGTGGATAAAGAAATTGTTGTATATATGTGCAATGGAGTATTGTTCAGCCTTAAAAAAGGAGGTCCTGACATTTTCAACAACACAGATGAACCCCTGGGCTATCACGAATACCAACCCAGAGATACTCTTTCTGCTGGGAAGGTGTGGGGTACCTGACAGCTGACTGGGAAATCCAAAGGTGATTGGAACTATGTGGTCATTCTTTGGGAGAAAGAGAGGGGGCAGAGAAGGGCACGTAGCACATATACATCCTGTGTCCTGCTTTCCCTTGATAGGAGAATCTCTCTATGCTAGATATGGACACAGTGCCTGCTTGCCTCTTTTCCATTGGTTGGAGTTGAGTTTTGTCCATTGGACACTGCCCACCTCTCCAGCCTGAGTTTTCATCAGGTCTAACACCCCTTTTGTCCTACCAGTGGGGATTTGCCCACAATTCTCAAATGTCTTGAGTCTCATTTCTTTGCTTGCATCATTCTCTCTCCTACACTGCTAAGCAGCCTCTCCCTCAAAGAGGCAGCTCCCGTCTGTATTTCCCACCTGCACGTCCCGCTGGCCAGGTGCTTCTCTGGTCTCCTGTGGCACCAAGAACAGGTCTTTATCACAACACTTATCAGCCTGTGTTGAAAAGTTGATTTTCCTGTCTGTCTGCTTGAAGAGACGCTGAGCTTCTTGAGGAAATGGAATCCTATTCTGGATGTAGGTTCTGAATGAACGTTAGAATGAATGAAGGAACTGTGCTGGGTGCCAGACAGGCATCGAGGTATATAGTTGGTGCTGAGCAGGGCAGTGTGGCCATTGACGAGGAGCAGGGTGGCATCTCTGTGGGGCACCCCTAGAGCTTACTGGCCAACCCCCTTTAAAGCGGGACTTGTGCTGGGACCTTTCTCCGGGAGAGGGACCCTTCTCTCACCCCTCAAGCCCCTCTTTGTCTTCTGGCAGCCAACACAGGTACTGTTTGCTCCCAGAAATTTAACCTTTCCTAAATGCCTGCACTTGACTCTCTATCATAGCTGCCTTCAGTGGTCTCCCTGCCTTCAGTGTGACTCGACTGATAGAAGCTTTCCAAACAATTGCATTCTCTAAAATCTGAAGAACCCACTTCGGTAACAATTTTCTTTCTAGCTGTGCATTTTCAAAGCTATTAACTGTACTTTGTTCTTGAAATGGGGCTGAGCCCTTGCTTGGGGGTCAGATGCTTCTTGTGGGTAAGTCCAGCTCTGGAATGGCAGTGGGTCCCTCCCACTGCTGTCTGAGCTTGGGTGCACGCTTCCACCCCCAAGCTGGCCTGCCCATGCCTTGGCCTCCCTGGTGTGGGTGGTGGCACTGGCTCACGGGGGAACTGGTTATTCCAGAATACTCTCTGTAGGAGACAGGGCTCCTTGGGGGCTGGACTTCGGTCAAGTGCACAGTGTGCACTGGTCCTTGGAGATACACACATTTCACAGAAAAGATCTAGTCTCCATCCCAGATGGCTCGATAATCAGCTGTGTGGATAGGTAGCCGATGTGTGGGGGGAGGATTGAGAAAAACTAAATCCTGGAAGGAGGATAGAGGGAATGAGACAGGTGGACCCCTCTGTAGAAGGCTGAATTATTGGCCCTGATTCTGTTTCTACACTCTTGGCCCTATGACTTTGATGCCTCCCCATTCCCACTAATTGTGCAGTGAATTTCCTCCTTGACTTGGGGTAGCCTTGTGATTTGCTTCAGCTAGAGGTATAGGGTAGAAGTGAGAGGGTGCCATGTCTGAGGCTAGCCCTTCAAAGAATTGTATATTTCTGCTTGCTATCACCGTGAGGAGCACTTCCCCCAGGTCGTGGCACTGCATCCATCGCCTTGGTCCCACGATGGGAGCAGACCCGAGTCTAAACCACAGCAAAGAGCCATGTCCAGCCAGATCTGCAGCCTAAAGCAGAGATGCTCCCTTCCCATTGGCCAATCTATGGATTTGTGAGAAAAAATATAATTGTTACACTGGGTTTTGGGGTGGTTTGTTATGCAGCTATAACTAACTGACACAATGCCTCAGTGTAAGATTTTAAAAGGGGTAAGTTGTGTCCTTTCTACTCTTTCAGGAACTGTCTCCAAATTTCCTTTTACCCATAGGTAAGATCATGCCTTTTTCGTACCAATAATAAAAATTGAATTAATTACAGCACTATTTATGGAACACTGGCAGTGTGTCAAGTTGTCTTATAGTTACATGTTTTAATTTAATCTTCACAACAATCCCTGTGATCCAGGTGTGATTATCATCTCCATCTTATAGATGAGAAGCAAGAGGCCCGGAGAGGTTAAGTAATTTGCCCCCAGTTCACAATTCACTAAGGCATGATGCAGCAAGTATATGAACCCAGGCAGGCTGGCTGCAGAGCCAATATTCTTGGCTGCTACTAATTGCATCCTTCCTACCTCTTCTCACTTTTTCTTATCAGAAATCCAGAAAGATGAACTCAATCCTAAGGGAGCATCTGAGACAAATTTGGGAGAGCTTGTCTTTTAGCCCTGAGCTTTAGGAGTAGTTCAGGAGGTTTCCATTTGTTAAGCGTTACTGAGCAACCTGGAGAATCTGGGTTGCAAATGACACTGCTGAGGCCAAGGCCAACATAGCCTTCCAGTGTACTGCAGTCCTGACCACAGCTGTTTTCCGGCTGGTAAGCTCTTTGGGCCACTCTGAAAGCACAGGACAGAATGTGGCTGTACCCTTCTCTTGTCTGTGGCTGTGCAGTGCAGGGGAACAGGCCTTTGAGTCCAAAGGGCTGCTTTCTAACTCCAGGCCATAACAGCTATTTAGTCTTAGGGGAGCCAGACTTGTGTTAACAAGTGCTAGTACAGTGGTTGTAAACTGTGGAAATATATAGATGCTAATGATTAGAATTATGGTTGCTAAGATTCATAACTTGAAGACAGAGTTGCCACTCTAAACCTGGCTAGTCATTGTTTGGTTGATGTCCTGGGTAGCTAATGAAGTACTAGAAACTTGTTCTAAGCATCCTGTAAAGCTTACTTCTATCCCTTCTACGTTCCTTCTTTTGTTTCTTCCTCCTTTCATCCTTCTCTTTCTTCCACTTCTCTTCCCTTCCACTTCTTTTCCTTTCCCATCCATCATTTATTCAACAGCATCTCTTAGTCTGGAGTTGCCAATTTCTAAGATAGGAATTGTAGAGTAGATGCAAAAACCAGTGCATTGCAGCTAAAACCATCTCAAAGTTGCTCCCCCTACCCCAACTCACGTACTGGTATCTGGTGACCATAGCTTGCATTTCTTTTCCTTTGTGGAGGCCAATTCAATAATATACCCAGTACCCAGTTTCCAAGTCAGAAACACAAGAAGTCCCTTTCCTCCCATCCCACCAAACTTGAGTAATAGGGGATGACGGTGGCAATATCCATCTCAAACTCAAATCCCAGCCTGGGAAAAGAAAGAATGCAGGAGAAGGACAGAAAGCATGTGACATGCGGAAGAAGAGGAAGAGTAAATTGCCCTGGACATGAAAGGAAGGAAATTGCATATATCGTAACCGAATCTCATATACATAAGACAGACATGGCTGTTTTAATAGGCTCTGGAAAACTGAAAGGACCCACAGGGAGAAAGTACTCGTAGCAAATGAGATGCAGATTTTGGAAGAGAAGCAGACAGTAGCTATTCCTAGTGGAAGCAGGAAGATGGGGTGGTTTTTAATTAGGCTTATCCTGTAGAAGCCTGGCACAGGCTGAGCACAGGGCATCAGAAGGGCCATTCAAGCTCGGGGCACCTGAGTGAGAGTAATAAGACTCCAAGTGTAAATAGACCACAGTCAGACCCTACCTGGGTCCGGCTAAACCCCTTAAGCTTCACGTGTAAGGACAGAAGCCAAGGTCAGATACTGATATTATCTACCTACCTTTGGCTACCTACTTTTGGCTGCCTTTGGCTGAGGAGTTGCTAGAAGCAGAGACGGATGACAGGACTGGGGTGGAGATTTGAAGTGTAGGCTATGGGACATTATGCAAATGCAAGCTGAGTGAATTAAGAGGTGTTTGCCTGTTGGGTTTGGACAGATTCGTAGGGATGGACTCTGCTGGCAAGGGTTTTGAGGATGGGCATTTCAGAAGGCCTTGAGTTTTGACCCTAGGTGTGGCCAGCAATGTCCCTGCAGGTTTAAAGCCCTCTGCTTTTGAGCACATCTGGGCATCATCGTTGTAGTTCGTCACAAGGGAGATATGGGAAGTGAAGAGATAAGGCTTGGATGTGTGCAAGCTGATGGCTTCTGTTGTTCATTTTCGAGCCAGCAATTACAGGGAAGATGGTCAGGAGATTGGAGAGGAAACGGCCCTTGACACGGAACATTCCTGAAGCAAATATGGCATAAGTGGGGGTGGAGCAACAGGAGGCAAAGAGGATGGTGACAAGGCACCTGCTTCCTGGGATGGGCAGGATCTGGCCACAGCAGCAGAAATGAAGCATGATAGGGTCACAGTTGAGAGCATGGACTGAGAGGCAGTCAGCCTGGTTGAGAATCTTGGCTCTGCCACTGTGCCTGTGTGACCATGGGCAAGTCACCAAAATGTTCCCTGCCTTGGTTTCTCGACTTGTAAAATGAGGACCGGCATGAGAATTAAATGAGTCAGTATTTACAAAATGCTTAGGAAACTGTCGGGTACGTAGCTGAACCTTGCACAGGGTCTGTTAAGTAAAACAAAATAATATAATTTAAAAAGAAAGCACAAAGAGCTCATCCCTTTTAAGATGGTACAGGGGAAATGGGAAGACAAGCAGAGTCCTAGATGCCATGTGCAGAAAAGGCTGAACGGGGGAGTTGCTGATTCATTGAATGTGACTTACAGGGAAGAGTGGTGAATATTCATAGCCTGGGAGCCCCTGCTGCTGGGATCACTGGGAGGATTGGAAAATACTGCAGAAGCTGGCAGGAGCATCCTCTTCTGGGGGAGAGTGATGTAGGTGTGTGGGACCTGAGGAACTGGATGAGGCAGAGGGATACCCCCAAAAAAGCTGTTACACAAGCTGCTGCATCCCAGGCAGGACAGTGGAAAACTACTAGATGTCACAGTAAAGTCCCTGATGCAGTGAGTAAGCTGCAATGTTTTGAAGTTGTTTCTGTCATTTATGCCAAATTTTGAGCCAAAAGGAGAGAATGGAAGTGCTGAGGTCACGAAGGCAGTAGGTGTGGTGGTCCCTCAGTAATCTTGTGGGTTCACAGATAAACATTGACCTAAAACCAACAACCAACCAACCAACCAGCCAATCAACCAGCCAGGTATCTATTTTAACAGCAACCAACCAACCAACCAACCCACCCACCAGGTGTTTTAATACCAGGCAACTGGAGATGCAAGCTTGGGTTAAATTAGACATGAAGGTTTTTGCAGTGGCCACAGCTGTTTTCTCTGGAAATGAAAATCCAGACCTTGGAGCTTCTGCTTCCCCGAGCACACACTAGTCCCCAGGAACAAACCTCTCCTTCTCTCTCTCTCTGGCTCTTCCACCTCTGCCTCCCCGTGCTTGTGAGTGTTCTGCAGCACCAGCAAAGAACACAAGCACCTTGAAGCCATGAGGGAGCGGTGGAGGAGGCTGTCCCTCCCTCCTAATGACTTTCTCTGGACTCGTTGCTGTTAGAAGCAGTTGTAAGGCAGCAGGGAATCGGCCTTTGAAAGCAAAAGCTCCCAACAGTGGATTTTGTTTTCCGTAAGTAAATTAATTGGACAGCCCTGTGTAAAGGGTGACAAGAAGAGAAAGAAAATGAGCAGGAGAGAACTAGAGAGCCAGGTAGTGGAGGGGAGGTGAAGCGGGGCTGGTTGAAAGTAGGGTAGGCCATTCCAAGAATTATAATACATTGATAGAAATAATCAAGTTAGCAATGATCCAAAGACTTTATCTATATTATCTGCTCATTGCCTTCTGGGCATCAGCCAGCTGTTATGAAGCTGTTGGAACCTCCTGCTCAGCCAGGGAACATAAGAATGAAGATGGAGAGTTTCCCCTTAGGGAGCTCATCCCCACTGGGCCCTGTTAGGCTGTGAACTCATCTCCTGATGACACCACCTGGCATTTCCCCTCTTCTGCCCCCAGGAGTGCTGACACAGCAATTCACACACAATCACGACCCTTTCTGCCTTAGCCTCAAGAAGTAGGGGTGGGAGGCTCTTAGATATCCACTGGATAAAAGGCAAGCCACCCCCTTTCTTGGGGAAAACTTCTGTTCTGGGAGCTAGTACAAAGATGAGGTGTTTTTTGCTGTCTGGAAAGTGGGTTTAGAATCATGGCCAGTTTCATTTATGGAATTTCTTTTGGCCATATGTTCCTATTTATTCTGATTGGGAATGGCTTGGGGAATCTCTTAAAGCTTCAAGGAAGGCAGCTCAGCTTTCCCTGAATCCCAGTGCATCTTCATGGTGAGGTATCACACCAGAAACACACCCAGGTGGGTGCACACATCAGTGTACCTTCCGATATGGACAGCAAGACTGAAGATGGTTTTAGGATGTTTACAGGGGTCCAATAGACTTTGACTCTGGAGTTGAAGACAGGAGTTTCTTCCAGCTTCCTTCCATGGGAATAGTTCTGGTCTAGAGACAAGAAACCTGTGAGGCCCTTTTGAGTCTATAATCCACCAACTTGCTGACCTTGAGGAAGCCACCCTGCGTTTATGGGTCTTACATTTCTTTCTCATGAAAAGGAGGGTTTGGTGATGATTCAAGGTCCTGGGGCTGGGCTTTGGATCTGTGAATCCCCTGAAGCCAGATGTAACATTCTCTGTGTGCAACTGTATGTTTGTACATTTTCCTGGGGTAAAGGTCTACAGCTTTCGTTAAGACCTCAAGAGGAGGTCCTGGGAATAGGAATTTCCTTTCCCTTTGACATCTAAAAATCCTCTTAGAGTCTACAGCTCAGGCACAGGCCCATCCAAGACAATATTTAGTCTCCTCTCCTGGGCTTTTTACTTACCTCTTCTAGTCCTATTATTACTTTGATATTTGTTGTTGTTGTTTTGTTTTCTTTTACTTGTTATCTGGACCAATGCTTGTCTAGCCTTTCAATGACCAAAGACTCCAATCTCTGTGTTGAGAGAGGATCTGACATGGATTTTCATAACATTTGAGATGTGAAAACAGCTTGGGAAACACAGTTTAAATGTCCAAATCTGTATATTTCCAGTAAATTCTTGTGCTTGTGGAAGTAGACTCTTGGAAATTGATTGTTGGGTCCCCCGGCTCTTGCTTTCTCTTTAATTCTTAAATATTTTTCTCTTTCTGAAGGAACTTCCAGTCTCTTTAGACACATAGAAGAAGTTTGGATAGCTTCTTTCAGAGGGGAAGCATTTTCTGAAACCTCCACATCCTAGTTACCCAAGCTGCACAATACACCTCTCCTTTCTCCAAACATTATTAATAACAATTCCTTTGATTAAAAATTTTTAAAAATTATTCATGGCTCTTACTTGATTTCCTGACCACCTTGTCAGGCAGTTATCAGATGAGATAATGCCTACGAAGGCACTTTGTCATGGGACAGGCGTAAGGAGGGTGGGTGAGAGAGGATTGTTTTACAACTGATATCAGGAAAGCAGGGTAACTGCCTATATGGTTACCTGCAGGTTGGTTTATCACAGCAACTAACCCCAGGGCTTTGGAAACAGGCAGATCAGAGGCCAAATATTAGTCCTTTGTATAGCTGTGTTGTGTTGGGCACAGTGCTCAAACGCTCTGAGCCTCTCTTTCCTCATACATAAATGAAATGGTGACATTGATGCTTATATCCCAGGGATGACATGAAGATGAAAGGGTATTTTGACCCTAGAACCTGGAGTACAGTGCCTGGCACATGGTGGTGGCCTGCAGCACTGTAGCCATTCTTATTTTGGCAAGGTTACCACACCCACCTCCATCATAGAATTTTTGTATCTGCCTCTTGACTGTAAATTATTGGAATATCCTGGAAGAGCAACAGCAATAAAGAGAATCAGATATAAAAGGAAAAGTAGAGTTCCTCTATCCTACTCCCAAATCAACTTATAGATGAAAGTAAGCCCAGAGAAAGAAAGTTGTTTTTCTCAAACACACAGCTATTTAGAAGGCAGCAACAGGGTGATAAATTACCCTGGCACTGAAGGGTTCCACGGGGTGCAAGACTTTAAAAGCTAAAACTGGGACAATCCTGGGTAAACCAACATAGGCTACTCAACCGAGGCAGTGACAAGGTAAGATTTTGATCCCCTGATTTCCAGCCAGACTAGTAGCCTTTTCAACCTATGAAACAAGTGTTCTATACAAAGTCCATCTTCTCTCAGTGTTTACCATTTTCGGCAGAAGCTCTCCCACTGATATGTCTGGCCCCCACACTGTTCTAGAGCCCAGAGAAGGTGAAAGCATTGTCCTCTACTCTCCATAGGGCTCACCTCCACACATCCCCTGACCCTTATTAGGCTCACAGTCCTGGGTGAGTCTCGGGGCTATTTTAGGGCGGCTGCATGGACCAGGGCTGGAGCACAGGGGCTGGATGAACTTGCATCTGTCTGCTGTTAGCTGCATTGCTTCTGGGTGTGATGCTTAGGCCACATGGAGAAGAGGAAGAACAAGATATATTTGTGGGAGCCTGGATTGATCATAGAGAGAATGGGACAAGTGACATCAGATCAAAAGCAAAGTTGGGAGATGGGTGAAAAAAAGAGTAAAGAGTTGAGATTGGTGGCATGAAGTTCTGTAAGTGACATGCCACAACTTCTGCTGGTATACATGTAAGTAACAAAGAACTCATCTCCAGAATATATAAAGAACTATAAATCAGTGAGAAAAAGACAAACAATACATTAGAAAAATACACACCTTAGAAAAATAGACAGAAGGCTTACAAAAGATATCCAAGTGGTCAGTAACACATGGAAAGGTACAAAACTTTAGTCAACAGGGAACTGCAAATTAAAATCACACACACTTACCATATATCAAGCTATTTAATTTATATATCAAGCTATAAAATTGAAACATCAAGTGCTGGTAAGAACGTAGAGCAACTGGGCCTCTCATACTCTACTGGGAAGAGAATGAACTGGTACAACCACTTTGGAAAATTGCTTGGTAGGACCTACTAAAGCTGACTGCACACACGTATCCCATGAACTAGCAATTCTTCTCTACATGTGCACCCAAACAGAAGTGAATGCTTACGTGCACCAAGCCAGAGATAATGTTCACAGTCTTATTACTGACAAGTGCTAGAAAGAACACAAAGATCTGTCCATAGTATGATGAATAAATAATTGTGATATAATTACATGGAATATGATATAACAATGAAAATGAATGACATCACCATATCTACAAACATGAATTAGACACAGAAAGGTACATATTATATATATGATTCCATTTACATTAAATTCAAAAATAGGTTCAACTGATCACTGGTTTTAGAAATGAGGATGATACTACCTTTCAGGGAGTGAGTGACTAAGTGAGAGCAGGAGCAGAGCTTCTTGAAATGTTCTTTGCCTTGCTCTGGGTGGTGGTGCAAGTTTGCTTTATGAAAACTGATTGAGATGAGCCCTCATGATTTGAAAACTTTTCTGTATGCACATAGTTCTTCAGTGAATACATTTATTTTAACAACGAATGCATTGTTTCATCGAATGTCTTTCCTTCATGTTCTGAGTCACTGCAGCTCTGGGCAAAAAGTCTGGGCCTTAGTTTCCCCAGCACACTATCCTGCTATTCAGAGTTGTTGCACAAAAGAAAGGTATCCATTCATCCCTTCCCCTTGGGTTCTACCGTAAGGTGGGTACCCTGTGCCAGCCACATTCCCTCTCTAGGATGAAGACTCCCATGGGCAATGGCGTTATTTTCTCTTTCCAGACATAGAACCCTTTTTTTTGTTTGTTTTGAGATGGAGTCTTGCTCTGTCATCCAGGCTGGAGTGTAATGGTGCAATCTTGGCTCACTGTAACCTCTGCCTCCTGGGTTCAAGTGACTCTCCCACCTCAGCCTCCCAAGTAGCTGGGACTATAGGTACACGCCAATATGCCCGGCTAATTTTTGTATTTTTAGTAGAGATGGGGTTTCACCATGCTGGCAAGGCTGGTCTCAAACTCCTGGCCTCCAGTGATCCACCTGCCTTGGCCTCCCTAATTGCTGGGATTATAGGTGTGAGCCACTGCAGCCGGCCAGACATATGCACCCTCTTATTCCTCTCTAGAGAAATAACATCCTTTGGCCAGGTGCGGTGGCTCACTCCTGTAATCGCAGAACTTTGGGAGGCCGAGGCAGGCAGATCACCTGAGGTCAGGAGTTTGAGACCAGCCTGGCCAACGTGGTGAAGCCCTGTCTCTACTAAAAAATACAAAAATTAGCCGGGCGTGGTGGCAGGCGCCTGTAATCCCAGCTACTCGGGAGGCTGAGGCAGGAGAATCGCTTGAACCCAGGAGGCGGAGGTTGCAGTGACGCAAGATCGTGCCACTGCACTGCAGCCTGTGAGACAAGAGCTAGACTTCATCTCAAAAAAAAAAAGAAGAAATAACATCTTTTCTGTTTATTCTGGGCCCCACACAGCGCCAAGCCCCCTGTTCTAGAACTTTAACAAATTGACTCCTGCCAATCTCCTCTTTTTCTGCAGCCTTTCACTTCATTTTTAGGCCACTTAGTCCATTTTCCCCCCCTTTTGTCCTTGGTTCTCAAGAGAGCCCATTTGGGCTGAGCCCTATTTGGTGACAAGTTGTCAGAGCAGCTCAGGCCTTAGTTCTGTTGTGTGATTTAAGCCAAAAAAAAAAAAAAATTTGACTGGGGAAATTAGATGGAGGTGATTGCAGCTAAAGTGCCTTTTATTGAAGCTTTTGGAAAACGTAAATGTCATCAGTCTTGTCAAAGCCAGACACAGGAGAAAATAACAGGACTCAAGGCGGGCCAGCATACATGCTGGGGCTCACAAACTTAGAATTAGCCTCCCTATTTGTTATTACTTTTTCCTTGTAGGTAGTGGGAGGGAAGGGGGAGGAGAGGAGAAGATGAATAGAAGGGGAGAGCAGGGTGCGGTGGGAACCTGGGTGCAAAATGTCGAACCTGAACAGTGGTGGTGATTTTTTTATTCCTCTAGAGCATGGACAACATCCCTGTGATTTCTGAGCAACTGAGATGAGAGCAGCCAAGAGTTGAAAGCATCAACCTTGGCCTGGAATTAGAGTTGTGGACAGTTGACTAGGCTGGGATGGGAAGGGGGATGTGGTGCTGGGGCCCCTGTGCTGTCATCAGAGCAGCTGCAGATTGATCAGGTGCCCCAGCGACGCTGGAGATGACCATCCAGGAAGGATCTGCCCATCATTCAAAGACCACTGCTAATCTACAACACCTGAGACCTGGGTGGACTATAAAGAAGAACAAAGTGTGGCATGTTGCCAAGAATCTAGAACTAGGACTTTGAGGAAGGGTGGGTGTTAGCCGTGGATCTGTAACAGGAGGGAAATCTATACATGGAAATTGGTTGAAAGTTGAGTCTGAAACCAATAGATTAGTGAATGAGAAGAAAGGACAGGTGACATGTGAGTTAACCAGGAATCTATGCACAGATTGAGGTTGGGGCATATCAGATGTGACTCAGAGAGCAGACCCTTGGTGCAAAGGTCCGGACTGGTGATGGTCAGCCCTGGCAAGGGCGGGCAGGAGGCAGCAGGTGCTATACATTAGGAGGTAGAAATCTGGGGAAGAGAAATCTAGCTCCTTGGTTCTGGGTCAAGACAGAGTAAGGGAAATAAGATAGAACCCAGTCCAGGTTATAGGGAACAAAGTGTGACTTTAAAGAGGAAAACCTGGAGTCCAGTCTTGGAGGAGTAGAATGTTCGAGGTTAGAGTGGAGTTCTAGTGGTAATATTACCTTAAAGAAGATCTCTGAGACTATAATCAAAGTGTCCTCAACTCTCTGAGGATAATATTAACTCCCTGTTCCATAGAGGGTGAGACTCCGTTTGGAAGTTGAGTAACTCTAGCTCCTAAGCTTGGTAGCCACGCTTAATGAGCCAAACAGTTCATTATGTAAGAGCTGCGTCTGGTCAGTGCACACTATCCAGAACATGCTGTGTTAAATCTGAGCAAGCCAGACAACAGAGAGCTTTGAATTCAGAAAAAGGAGGGATTGTTTAAGGCTGATGTCATTTGTGAAGATTTTCTGGAAGAGCTTGAACTCAGAACCCAAGGTTTCCATCTCTTCACTAGTTCCTAAGAATTAACACCAGCCAGATGAGAATACCTGGAAGCACCTGCAACACTTCCCATCAGCACTAAATTATTCTAAGTAAATTCCCTTTTCAGCCCGTCACTGTGGCTCACAGCTGTAACCCCAACACTTTGGGAGACTGAGATAGGAGGCTCGAGTGTAGGCCAGGAGCTTAAGACCAGCGTGGGCAACATAGTGAGACCCGTCTCTACAAAATTCTTTTTAAAAAATTAACAAATACACCCCTTTCAAGGATTTGCTTCCCTTACTTGTGAAATGAGAGTTTGAACTAAAGAATGTGTATGATCACTTCCTCCTCCCATCTCTTGTCATCATTGTTTGGCGTTAGTATGCCCGAGCATGTCACATACCACCTTTTGTTATTCTTTGCTGAATTTCTCCTTCCCCAGACCTCTGAAGGCAGGAAATCTGTCGTTTTCATAGAATATACATAGCAGAGAAACTGTCATGAAGGAGGCACTCAATAACTATTTATTGAATGAATGAATGAAGTGCAGCCAATATTCTTTGATACCTGCCCATAGGTTTGAGACTGGAGGCCCTCAAGAGAGTCAAAATGCCCTCCCCGCCCCCAGCCTCCTGCCATTTCTTCCTCTTTGATGCTGGGTGGTATCTGAACTATCTTCCTTGGGGCAGATGATTTTTTTAAGAAATTGATTCCTCATTTCAAGCATGATAAATCCAGAGGCAGATAACTGGCAACTTGAGTTAGGTGTCCACAGAGGGCAATTGGCTTCAGAAAGATAGCCTGGGTGACTTACATCCCCTTCCAGCAGCAGGGAAGAGCTGGAACCTGCAGTCCCTGGACAGCACCCGCGTTCCAGGATCAGGGATAGTGTCTCTGGCAGCAAAGGCAACACCACCCGCGGTCACTGTGTGTTTCCCTGGCCTGACCCACTGGCTGTCTCCCAGGAAGGATCCTACACTTGGCATTCCAGCGACTGCCAGCGCCCTGGACTGGATCCAGGTGTGGTCCTTTCCCACTGACTCCCAGCTGGACTGGTTCCCAGTGTGTCCTTTCCCATGACTCCCAGCTGGACTGGATCCCAGTGTGGTCCTTTCTCACTGACTCCCAGCCTGACTGGATCCCAGCGTGGTCCTTTCCCACTGCCTCCCAGCCCTGGACTGGATCTCAGTGTGTCCTTTCCCACTGACTCTCAGCCCCGGACTGGATCCCAGCATGGTCCTTTCCCACTGACTCTCAGCCCTAGAGTGGATCCCAGTGTGTCCTTTGCCACTGACTCCCATCCCCGGACTGGATCCCAGTGTGGTCCTTTCCCACTGCCTCCCAGCCCTGGACTGGATCCCAGTGTGGTCCTTTCCCATTGACTCCCAGCCAGACTGGATCTTGGTGTGTCCCTTCTCACTGGATCCCAATGTATCCTTTGCCACTGACTCCCAGCCCTGGACTGGATCCCAGTGTGGTCCTTTCCCACTGACTCCCAGTCCTGGAATGGATCCCAGTGTGGTCCTTTCTCACTGACTCCCAGACCCGGACTGCATCCCAGTATAGTCCTTTCCCACTGACTCCCAGCCCCGGACTGGATCCCAATGTGGTCCTTTATCGCTGACTCCCAGCCCCAGAGTGGATCCCAGCGTGGTCCTTTCCTACTGACTCCCAGCCCCGGACTGGATCACAGTGTCATCCTTTCCCACTGACTCTCAGCCCCGGACTGGATGCCAGCGTGTCCTTTCCCACTGACTCCCAGCTGGAATGGGTCCCAGCGTGTTCCTTTCTCACTGACTCCTAGCCCCGGACTGGATCTCAGTGTGTCCTTTCCCACTGACTCCCAGCCCCGGACTGGATGCCGGCGTGTCCTTTCCCACTGACTCCCAGCCGGACTGGATCCTGGTGTGTCCTTTCCCACTGACTCCCAGCCCCGGACTGGATCCCAGTGTCGTCCTTTCCCACTGACTCTCAGCCCCGGACTGGATCCCAGGGGGGTCCTTTCCCACTGACTCCCAGCCCCGGACTGGATCCCAGTGTGGTCCTTTCTCACTGACTCCCAGCCCTGGAGTGGATCCCAGTGTGTCCTTTGCCACTGACTCCCATCCCCGGACTGGTTCCCAGTGTTGTTGTTTCTCACTGACTCCCAGCTCCGGACTGGATCCCAGTGTGGTCCTTTCTTACTGACTCCCAGCCCCGGACTGGATCCCAGAGTGGTCCTTTCCCACTGACTCCCAGCCCCGGACTGCATCCCAGTGTGGTCCTTTCCCACTGACTCCCAGCCCTGGACTGCATCCCATTGTGGTCCTTTCCCACTGACTCCCAGCCCCGGACTGCATCCCAGTGTGTCCTTTCCCACTGACTCCCAGCCCCGGACTGGATCCCAGTGTGGTCCTTTCCCACTGACTCCCAGCCCCGGACTGCATCCCAGTGTGGTCCTTTCCCACTGACTCCCAGCCCCGGACTGCATCCCAGTGTGTCCTTTCCCACTGACTCCCAGCCCCGGACTGGATCCCAGTGTGGTCCTTTCCCACTGACTCCCAGCCCCGGACTGGATCCCAGTGTGTCCTTTCCCACTGACTCCCAGCCCCGGACTGGATCCCAGTGTGGTCCTTTCTCACTGACTCCCAGCCCCGGACTGGATCCCAGAGTGGTCCTTTCCCACTGACTCCCAGCCCCGGACTGCATCCCAGTGTGGTCCTTTCTCACTGACTCCCAGCCCCGGACTGGATCCCAGTGTGGTCCTTTCCCACTGACTCCCAGCCCCGGACTGCATCCCAGTGTGTCCTTTCCCACTGACTCCCAGTCCCGGACTGCATCCCAGTGTGGTCCTTTCTCACTGACTCCCAGCCCTGGAGTGGATCCCAGTGTGTCCTTTGCCACTGACTCCCATCCCCAGACTGGATCCCAGTGTTGTTCTTTCTCACTGACTCCCAGCTCCGGACTGGATCCCAGTGTGGTCCTTTCCCATTGACTCCCAGCCAGACTGGATCCTGGTGTGTCCCTTCTCACTGGATCCCAGTGTGTCCTTTGCCACTGACTCCCAGCCCTGGACTGCATCCCAGTGTGGTCCTTTCCCACTGACTCCCAGCCCCGGACTGCATCCCAGTGTAGGCCTTTCCCACTGACTCCCAGCCCGGGACTGGATCTCAGCGTGGTCCTTTCCCACTGACTCTCAGCCCCGGACTGGATCTCAGTGTGTCCCTTCCCACTGACTCTCAGCCCCGGACTGGATCCCAGCGTGGTCCTTTCCCACTGACTCCCAGCCCCGGACTGGATGCCGGCGTGTCCTTTCCCACTGACTCTCAGCCCTGGACTGGATCCCAGTGTCGTCCTTTCCCACTGACTCCCAGCCCCGGACTGGATCCCAGTGTGTCCTTTCCCACTGACTCTCAGCCCCGGACTGGATGCCGGCGTGTCCTTTCCCACTGACTCCCAGCCGGACTGGATCCTGATGTGTCCTTTCCCACTGACTCTCAGCCCCAGACTGGATCCCAGCGTGGTCCTTTCTCACTGACTCCCAGCCCCGGACTGGATCTCAGTGTGTCCTTTCCCACTGACTCTCAGCCCCGGACTGGATCCCAGCATGCTCCTTTCCCACTGACTCCCAGCCCCGGACTGGATCCCAGTGTGGTCCTTTCTCACTGACTCCAAGCCCCGTACTGGATCCCAGTGTGGTCCTTTCCCACTGACTCTCAGCCCCGGACTGGATCCCAGTGTGGTCTTTTCCCACTGACTCCCAGCCCCGGACTGGATCCCAGCATGGTCCTTTCTCACTGACTCCCAGCCCCGGACTGGATTTCAGTGTGTCCTTTCCCACTGACTCCCAGCCCCGGACTGCATCCCAGTGTCGTCCTTTCCCACTGACTCTCAGCCCCGGACTGGATCCCAGCGTGGTCCTTTCCCACTGACTCCCACCCCGGACTGGGTCCCAGTGTCATCCTTTCCCACTGACTCTCAGCCCCGGACTGGATGCCGGCACGTCCTTTCCCACTGACTCCCAGCCCCGGACTGGATCCCAGTGTGGTCCTTTCTCACTGACTCCCAGCCCCGGACTGGATCCCAATGTGGTCCTTTCCCACTGACTCCCAGCCCCGGACTGGATCCCAGTGTGGTCTTTTCCCACTGACTCCCAGCCCCGGACTGGATCCCAGCATGGTCCTTTCTCACTGACTCCCAGCCCTGGACTGGATCCCAGTGTCATCCTTTCCCACTGACTCCCAGCCCCGGACTGCATCCCAGTGTCGTCCTTTCCCACTGACTCTCAGCCCCGGACTGGATGCCAGCGTGTCCTTTCCCACTGACTCCCAGCCTCGGACTGGATCCCAGTGTCGTCCTTTTCCACTGACTCCCAGCCCCGGACTGGATCCCGGTGTGGTCCTTTCTCACTCCCAGCCCCGCACTAGATCCCGGTGTGGTCCTTTCCCACTGACTTCCAGCCGGACTGGATCCTGGTGTGTCCTTTCTCACTGACTCCCAGCCCCAGACTGGATCCCGGTGAGGTCCTTTCTCACTGACTCCCAGCCCCATACTGGATCCCGGTGTGGTCGTTTCCCACTGACTCCCAGCCTTGGACTGGATCCCAGCGTGGTTCTTTCCCACTGACTCCCAGCCCTGGACTGGATCCCAGTGTGGGCCTTTCTCACTGACTCCCAGCTGGACTGGATCCCAGTGTATCCTTTCCCATGACTCCCAGCTGGACTGGATCCCAGCGTGGTCCTTTCCCACTGACTCCCAGCTGGAGTGGATCCTGGCGTATGCTTTCTCACTGACTCCCAGCCCTGGACTGGATCCCAGTGTGGTCCTTTCCCACTGACTCTCAGCCCCGGACTGGATCCCAGTGTGGTCCTGTCCCACTGCCTCTCAGCCCTGGACTGGATCCCAGTGTTGTTCCTTCTGATTGACTCTTAGCCCGACTGGATCCCCGTGTGGTCCTTTCCCACTGACTACCAGTCCCAGACTGGATTACGGTGTATCTTTTCTCACTGACTCTCAGCCCGGACTACTTTCTGGTGTTGTCCTACAGCCTCATCCTTAGAATTGCAAATTTCCAGAACCTTCCCTTTGGTGGCTCATAGTTCTGACTTAGGGAAACCCCGGTGTCTGAGGTAACTTCCCAGGTGTTCTAAGCCCCTTCACTCCCCTGGGGAAAGGCACTGAGGCCTTTTTTTTTCTTTTTGTTTTAAAATCCTCAGCCCCAAGGGCAGTGCTATGCTCAGGGGATGGTCTGGGCTTCCGCCTCCAGAGCTGGTTCCCAGGTGAAGGTGACAGTGACTCCCCCAGGTCTGGCTGATTCCCTTTCTCTGCATCTGCACAGACAAAGGAATCTTGGCCGGGGGCTGGTTTTGTCAGGCCCTTTTTGCCAAAAAAAAAAAAAAAAAAAAAGACAAAAGAAATCTTAAGGCTGCACATGGCTTTTGGAGAGTCCGCTATCCCATCTTCACAGGTGGCGCCTGCAAAAGTCATCATCCTTTGTAAGGCTGCCATTGCAGAGGGTGAGATGCAGGAACAGAAGGGGAGGCTGAACCCCCAGCTTACCTCTGTCTTTCTGCTTTGTTCTGTTCTTCTTTCCTTCTCATTCTCCACTCCTGCCTGGAGTCTCATTCCCCTGTCTTGTCTGTTTATTCCTTCAATGAGCATCTCAACTCCTCAGCCACCCACCTCCTCCACTGCCATCACTTCCAACCCATCTCCTGCCAGTAGATGCCTTACTCCCAGCTCCCCCTGACCCACCCTCACCCCCATTCTTTGTACTCTGTACATTTACCACCCACTGGCAAACTCAAGCTTCCCTTAGTGTACCATCTCCCCATGCCCAACTGGCCATGCCCCTCAGTATAGAAGAAGAAACTGAGATGTTCTGATTACATTCACGGGCACTTCACCATGACTCCAAGGTCAGTTCCATTAGTTTCATTTTCCAGATGAGCAAACCGAGAGGGAGGGAGGCAGTCACTTTCCAAAGTCAACCCAGTTATCAACAACAGTCTGGGTTCTGTATCAAGAATTTCCTGGCCTGAGTTTAATGCCCTTTCCATTACATAACAGCTTCCAAGGGCCAGGGAGATAATATGGCTGGGATGGTCATGAGCTTTCACTTAGAAACAAAAAGTGAAAGACTGCCCGGAGGAGCAATTTCTGTCTGTGACTTAGTAATATATTATGAGCATTCTCTCCCAGGCTGGGCCTTTTCTTGCCCACTGGGTATTCCCCTCAGGGGCAGCAGGGGATGAGGGGAGCAGAGGCCTCTACTACCCTACTTTACCGTGGCACAGTGGGGAGTACCAGCTGTTAGACAAGGGAGCGCGGATGACCTGGCCAGCAAGCACCTCAATTAGCAAATGCATTTTGGTTGTTGAATTCATTAGTGCAGATTAATTGAAAATGAGAGGTGGGGCTGGGTAGAATAGCTTAATCGCACAATTGGAAAAGCCAACCTCCTGGCCTGAGAGGTGCAGGCAGCTCCTGAGGCTGCATTCTAAAACCCTGTTTTCTCCTCCTCAGTCTCCTCCTGAATTCATGAACCTAAAGTTTTGCCAGCCCAGCAGAAAGGCTCTTCCTTTAATGCCTTTCTTCTTGAGAGTTTGGCCACTTAAACCAGGCCCCCTTGAAAGTGGGCTCTGTTTGAGCCCAGCTTTCATTTCCGAAAACCCATTTTAAGTGGCTTCTGTGCTTGCATGGCACTTAACACTTGCATTAATGACTTGTGTCATCACAGGCACCCTGTCTTACAAGCAGCATGGCTTGGCCCACCTTGAGCATGGAATCAGAGATGTGGAAATGTTACATGCTTACATCAGAAAGAACAAGGACATTAACACCCACCAATATAGGTTTGAATCTTAGGTCTGTTGCCTACACACTGTGAGATCTTTCTTCTTGGAGCATCAGTTCTTAATTGTAAATGGAGATGATAATGTGTAACTTTAGAATTATCTTTGGGATTATGAGAAAGAAATAAGACAACAGATGTGAATTGTGAAATCTGTAGTCCTCCAATTGGCATATAATAGATCTCAGCAAATGCGTCTTCTCTTCCTCCTACCCCTTTTGGCCCAAAACAGGTTTGCAAATACATTTAAATATTACACCTTCCAACTCAGGTTACATTCTCCCCTTGTTCTGTCTTCACTCCTTCCTGCTTTTTCCTGTCAATGCATACAATTCAAATGCCTTAGGAACGGTGGCCAATTGTGACAGCTTGACTCCATGACTTTGTTATTTATGGTGAACTTTACCCTGCAATTTAAGAAATAGATTCATAGGAAGTGGCAGCATTGTTCCAGGGTCCCATGGCCTCACATTGACAGAAATCCACATTCCGTGACACTAGGTGCTAATTACTTTATAAGAGTTACCTGACTCCTGACCATGTTTTTTTTGGGGGAGGTATATGTTAATTTAAGCACTGCTTAATCTTCTGTAATAGAACAACACTGTGGCTTAATACAATACCTCCTTATTTCTTGCAAAGGAAAAGTCCAGCCTTTGGGGACTGGGTCAGGAGGTTCTTTTCCATGCATTAGGGACTTGGCTGAGGAGGATCACTCAGTGTTAACACATGGCTTCCAAGGTGGCCCTAGGTGTGGAAAAAAAGGTTGTCAAAAAGGGAAGAGAGAGAAAGAGGAATAACTTTGGCGTTTCTTAAAATTTTTGTTTTATTTCCCATCCTGCTTAAGTTATCCTTTCTTCTTCTTCCTATTGCTTTGGTCAAAACTCAGGAACGTGGCGACGCCCAACTGCAGGGGAAGCTGGGAAATGTAGTCTACTCCCAATAAGAGTGGAAGGGGTTTGGTGAACAGCTAGCCAAGTCTCTATCAAAGGGAGGTATTCATATCCACATTTTACAGGTGTGAAAATGAGTGGGTACCAAAAGCAAACAAGGGCCCATTTCTGAATTTGGGCACTTTTTCCATTTCTTTTCAACCTTCTAGAATTATGTTTCTAAATTTCCAAGTACACATCTGAAATAACATATTTTTACTAAATAAAAAGATCACATTCAGGCAAAAGTTAAATCAGAAAAAGTTAATTATAGTGATTCTTCTCAAGATAGAATATGTGTTAATAAACAAGTGGATGTAAGACCATAGACTTAGCGTGGTATACCCAAACTATTAGTTTTTGCTTATTAGTAAGATATTTTAAATGTTTTACTATTGAAAAAAAAACCTGAATATATATATAGAGGAATCCAAAATTGGTCTGAAATTTTAAGGTTAAAAATGGCACTTCAAATAAAAAACGTGCTTGCAGTGGGCACTGCCAGACCCTTGGACACCTAGGAGTTCAAGATCACTCTTTTTAGTTTTAGTGATGGGAAGATTTAAGATAGTTTAGATTTTTTTAATGAAAAAATTACGTGATACATTTATGTGTAATTTCTGAGTAATCTTTACTGTAATTATTCTAAGTATCAACTTATGTTTTGGAACTCACACAAAACTTTATTTTAGTTGTTTATGTTCTACCCATTTCTGGACCTCAGCTTTGTGAGTTTGGGGATTCTAAAGACTCAAAGCATATCTCAGCTGACAGATTACCTCCTCCTTCAGGGATAGTGTGTTCCTTCCCCAAATCGGAGAATATCCTGTTTTATTTCTATTTTTTTCTTTTCTTTTCTTTTTTTTTTTTTTTTGAGACGGAGTCTCGCTCAGTCACCCAGGCTGGAGTGCAATGGCATGATCTCGGCTCACTGAAACTTCCACCTCCCGTGTTCAAGAGATTCTCCTGCCTCAGCCTCTTGAGTAGGTGGGTTTACAGGCATGTGCCACCACACCTGGCTAATTTTGTATTTTTTAGTAGATATAGGGTTTCTCCATGTTGTTCAGGCTGGTCTCGAACTTCTGACCTCAGGTAATCCACCCATCTCGGCCTTTCAAAGTTCTGGGATTACAGGTGTGAGCCACTGTGCCCAGCCTATCCTGTCTTATTTGTTTAGTTTGGAGCTACGTTCAGCTTTTTCTGAGTGAAAATCCTCTTTCTGCTCCACTGGGAATAATAAAACCTTGTATGCTTTTCTTACCATATCAAAAGAACATCACCCCAACTCCTCCTATCTGCTTTCTATATTGAGTTAACCAATTTAATCTGCATATAATGACTGAGGCTAATTAATAGTTTTCCCACAGCTGGTTCCCTCTAGAAACATTTAGCAACTGCCTTCTAGTAGAAGCTGCCCCAGAAAGAAGAGTTCAACTTAGCAATATCTCTTTATAATAGAACAGCGTGTTTTCACAGTAACTGCCTTTATCACCAAAGGCGAGAATGGCTCAGTGGTATTGTGGATCAGCAAACATCTGGACGTGTGACTCAGAAGATGGTGGTGAAAGTCCCTTCCCATCTATTATTTATTTCTTTACTTCCTGCTTATTTATTTCATTCCATTGTTCTTTTTCTTTTGCAACTTTTTCCTTACTCCTAAGTGACTTCGCATCTGATAATATCTCCACCGAATTGCATTTTAATGTTTTTCCTATTTTTAAACTCTCTGTGGACCTTAGGTCCACAGAATTGGATCAGTCCTATCCTTAGTACATCACTCAGTTTCATCATGGGGATTTATTTCATTATTTTTAATAATATAATGAGCACTCGCAAAACCATCAATGCAAATAAAAGCTCAGCCATTGATAATAAACCTAATCTAACCATAAGGGTACCTCCGCCCCTTCACTTTTTCTAGTTTCTTCCATCTGAGGCAAGTCTTATGCTGAATTTTGTATGCATCATGTTTTTGCTTTATTTAAAAAATGGTTTTATTTCACCTCTTTGTCGTCCTAAAAAGTCTATTTTGATTTTAGTTATTTTAGACCATAAAAATGATATGGAGATTTATGTAATCTTTGGGGGGTAACTTTCCCATTTAACATTAAATTGCTAAGATTTATCTCTATTTTCACAAATTATAGCTTATTCACTTCCTCTGTTTATAATATGCGATCATTTCACCCTTTTATACTTGGTTCATTCATTCTCCCATTGATGAGCATTTGGGTAGTTTCAACTTTTTTTGCTAAGATGAACAGTGACAATATGAATGTTTTTGTATCTATTTCCTATTGTATATGCTCATAAATTTCTTTTGAGTATTTAGTTAGGAGTGGAATTGCTGGGTTATAGGTTGTATAAATGACCAAATTTAGGAAATATCACCAAACTGTTGTTTAAAGTACTTGCACTTTGAAAAACCATTGATGGACAACCATTTATGCAATTTATTGCATCAGTCTCAGTTGCAATGTGATCCTATGAATTCACATCTTTTTTTATACTTGATTTTTCTAAACTTGTATGTATTTTGCCAGTTAATTAACTATAAAATGGTACCTCATAGTGGTCTTAGTATTCATTTCTATTATTAAATACATCTTATGATTTGTAGCCATGCATTTCTTCTGTGAAATGTCCATTTGTACATTTGTCTGTTTCTCTAACTGATCATTTGTACTTTTTCTATTGATTTGAAAGAATCTTATTTTCTATATGTAAAGTGTTTGTTGGAGCTGAATAATAGAAATATCTTCTCCCAATTTGTAAATTTTTTTCACTTTCCTTAAATAATATTTTGAAGAATATATATATTTTAAGATGGAGTCTCGCTCTGTCACCCAGGCTGGAGTGCAGTAGTGCGATCTCAGCTCACTGCAATCTCTGCCTCCTGGGTTCAGGTTGATTCTCCTACCTCAGCCTCTCAAGTAGCTGGGATTACAGGCACTCACCACCATGCCAGGTTAATTTTTGTATTTTTAGTAGAGATGAGGTTTCACCATGTTGGCCAGGTTGGTCTCAAACTCCTGACCTCAGGTGATCCACCCACCTCGGCCTCCCAAAGTGCTGGGAATATAGGCGTGAGCCACTGGGCCCGGCCTATTTTGCTTATTTTCTGTTCAAATCTATCAGTTTCTCCATTTCTTTGCTTCTAGTAAAATATCTAATACAATTTAAAAATTATCCTTGTAGAATCTTGCATGTCTTTTGTTAAATACATTCTTAGCTATTCTCTGATACCATTATAAATGGTGTTCTGTGTTTATATTTTCCAGTTGTTTCTTGATGCATTATCAATTGATGTTATTATATATCCAGACACTTTGCTAAATACTCCCATTCTTGTCATTTATCCATATATTCTTGCAGGTTGTCCACTTAAAAAACTACATCCTCTACAAATCCTTATGAGTCTAATTTCTTTCTTGATTTATTTTGCTGTCTAAGATTTCCCCTGCAAGCTGGAGTATAAGTGGGAATTGTAATTATTCTACAATCTACAGATATAGGATCATATTTTACCTAGATTTTAAAACAGATATTCTTCATAAGAAAGTTTTTGTTTACTACGAATTTAATGATAATTTATTATGAGTGGATGTTGAGTTTTATGGAATTATTTTCCTGTATTAACTAAAAAATTTTATATGTATTCCTATTAATATCTTAATGTGGTGAATTATATTTCTTAATTTTCAAAGTATTAAATCATTATTGCATACATGGGATAACATCAGTTTGGTCAAAGTGTATTTTCTTTTAAATATGTTTTTAGGTTACTTGGACTTTTTAAATATTTTAAAAACTATTTGCATTCATATTAAAAATGGAATGGCATGACATTTTTGCTTTCTGTGGTTTTAGTATTTGGGCTATTCTGAACTCATAAATAAGCTGGGGAACATGCCCCCTTTCCTATTTTTTGCAAGTATTTGAAAAACTCAAAATTGTTTATTTCTTAAAAATTTAGAAAAATATTAATAGTCAAATATTTTATTTGTGGGAAGATTTTAAGACACAGTTTTAATTTCTTTAATAGTTCTAAGGCTGTTTAATGTTTTAATGTCTTTTTGAGTTGTTCTAGTTCATTACTTTTTTTGTAAGAGTTTATTCACTTCATCTAAGTTTTCAAAATTACTGGCAAGCAGTTGTTGGTAGTATTATTTTATTATCACTTACATTTTTTCCTAATTTTTTTTATTGTGGCAAAATACACATAACATAAAATTTACCATCTTAATCATTTTAAGTGTACAGCTTAGCAGTATTAAATACATTTATAATGCTGTGCAAACATTACCAGCATCCATCTCCCATAGTTCTTTTCATCTTGTAAAACAGAAACTCTGTACTCATTAAACAATAAGTCCCTATTCCCCTCTCCCTCAGCCACTGGCAACCACCATTATACTTTCTGTCTCTGTGATTTTGACTACTCTAAGTATCTCATATAAGTGGAATCATATAATATTGGTTTTTTCGTGACTGCCTTATTTCATTTAGCATAATGTCCTTGAGGTTCCTCAATGTTGTAGCATATGTCAGAATTTCTTTCCTTTCTGAGGCTGAATAATTGATTATGTGTATATACCACAATTTGTTTATGCATTCATCTGTTGATGGACATTGGGTTGCTTCTGTGTTTTAGCTGTTTTGGGTAGTGCTGCTATGAACATGGGCATGTCATTTAATCTCTTTATCTCAAGTACTTTTTTGCAGATTCTCCCCTTTTTTAGTCGCAATATTTTTCACTTGTGGTTTCTTTCATTTTCTTGTTAGTTTTCAGAGGCTTCTCAAGTTTTTTGTTTTTGACAAATCAACTTTGGCTTTGCTGACATCCTGTATTATACGTTTGTTTCCTATTTTGTTAACTTCCATTAGTATTTTTATTATCTCTTCCATTTTATTTATTATTTTTGGCTTATTGTTTTGTTCATTGAAATAACAAACAATTAGCTCATTAATTTGAGGTTTCATTATTTTCCAACACAGGTGTTTACATCTTGAATTACTATTTTGGCTGTACCCTAAGGTTTTGATTATCATTATCATATGTTATCAATTGTTAATACATTATCAATTATTTTCATTGTCATTCAATTCTGAATCATTAAACATTTTATTATGAAACAGATGCAAAAATCCTCAACAAAATACTAGCAAACCAAATTCAACAAGACATTGAAATGATCATTCACCATGATCAAAGGAGATTTATCCCTGGGATGTAAGCATAGTTCAACATAGGCAATTCAGTAAATGTGATACATCACATTAACAGAATGAAGGACAAATACCATATGATCATCTCATTAGATGCAGAAAAGCATTTGAAAACATCTAATACCCTTTTATGACAAAAACTCTCAATAAATAAGGTATAGAAGGAATGCACCTTAACACAATAAAAACCATGTGGGGCAGGTTCACACCAAACATTGTACTCAATGGTGAAAAATTGAAACCTTTTCTTCTAAGATCTGGAACAAGACAAACATTCCCACTCCTTCTTGCCACTTCTACTCAGCAAAGTATTGGAAGTCCTTGCCAGAGCAGTTAGTCAAGAGATAAAAGTAAAATGCATCTAAATAGGAAAGAAAGATGTGAAAGTGTCACCGTTTGTTGATATGGTCTTATATATAGAAAACCCTAAAGATTGTACCAAAAAAACCCACAAAAAAACGGATAGAACTAATAAACAAAGACAGTAAAATTGCAGGATTCAAAATCAACAATAAAACAAGTAGCATTTCTATACAGTAACAATGAACTGTCTGAAAAAGAAATCAAGAGAACAGTTCCATTTACAATAGCTTTAAAAAATACTTAGAAAAATAAATTTAACCAAGGAGGTGAATGACTACAAAATGTTATTGTAAGAAATTCACAAAGATGGGGATATATTCTGAGAAATGCATGGTTAGGCAATTATATCGTGTGAACATCATAGAGTGCACTTACACAAATCTAGGTGGCATAGTCCACTACATACCCAGGCTATATGATAACAGCCCATAGTTCTCAGGCGACACACCTGTGCATCATGCTACTGTACCAATTACTGCAGGCAATTGTAACACAGTTGTAAGTATTTACGTATCTAAGCATATCTTAACATACAAAAGGTACAGAAAAAATATAGTATTATAAACTTATGGGACCACCGTCATATGTTTGGTCCTTTATTGACCTAAACATCACTATGTGGTACATGACTCTACTTCAGGTGATAGGTACATGTTAATTAGATTGATTTAATTATTGCACATGGTATTCATAAATAATAACATCATTTTGTACCCCATAGATACACACAACTATAATTTGTCAATTTACAATTAAAAGATAAAAATATAAAAACTTACATAAGACATAATTTTTACTACAATTTCTTCTTTAACTTATTAACTAAGCACAATGCATTTCTGAATTTTCAAATTTCGGGAAATTTATTTTTTTTGTTTATATTTAACATAAATAAGCTACGATCAGAAACCCAGGTCTGTATGATACAGTTTGAAATTTGTTGAGGGTTTTCATGTGTGCCTAGGAAATTTACAAATTTCGTTTGTAAATTTTTATAATTTCCACATATATAATTAGGGAGTGTCATGCCCTCATATTCAAAAGACTCTTTGGCTAAATATAATACTCAAAATTTTATGGTTATTTTTCTGAATACTTTGAAATTATTACTCTATTACTCATAATTTTATAAATATTTTATATAAGCTTGAAAATGTACATTATAAAGTTGTTGAAGACACTACATATGTCCATTAAGTCAAGTTCTTTGTGTTGTACATATTATCTTTATTCTGGATAATCTTCCGTTATTTCACCTATCAAGTAGAGAGGTATGTTGAAATTTCCTACCATAATGGTGATTTAATCAAAAACTTTTTAGCAGTTTTATCACTTTTTCTTTGTATACTTTGAGAATATTAAAGCAATAAAGTTTTAAGAATTGCTAAATGGTTTTGGTGTATCAAAACTTTTAATCACTATGAAATAGCTCTCATCACTAATAACTTTTTTCTAGTAATCTTGTTTAAATCATATTAAAATATCTATATAATCTTTCTTTAGATTTTTCCTGATACATTTTTCCATTCTTTTTCAACCATTTTTTTCTTTAGAATTTCTGTTTTAGACAACAGATGCCAGTATTGAAAAAATTCAACCTGCCAATTTTTGTTTAATAATTGTCTAAAATACATTTTAATTATTTACATATTTGGGCCTATTTATAAAATTTTGATATTTCAATCTGTCCTGTATTTTCTGCTTACAAAAGATTTCATCACCTTACTTCACTCCTCTTTTGCAACATCTGGAATTTTCTCTCCTTTATTTAGGAAGTTTGTTCAGAACTGTTTTCAGTGTGGGTCTTTCTACAGTCATTTATCTGAGCCTTTGCCTGCCTAGAATATTATTTGTCATGCCATCATATTCAAAGGACTCTGGCCAAATATAATATTCTAAATGTTATGGTTATTTTTCTGAATACTTCGAAATTATTACTCTATTATCATCTTGGATTCAGTGTTGCTTTTTATAAAATCTGTTTCTTGTTTTTAGATTTTTGTTTTTTGAATGCTATATGCTCTTTTCCTTTGTAAATTTTTATAATTTCCACATATATAATTAGGGATATATCCTTAAACTTTTTAATAGTATGTCTGAATGTGGGCTTTTCCTTATCTCTTCCTTTATGGATTTTTTTTTATCTGAGATCTTTATTTAAAAGACAATTTTAGAAAATATAGCTCACTATTCAAATATTCAAATATTTTCTCTTTTCTATTTGTTTCTCTCTCTTTCTGGTACTTCTTTTTAATTGAAATTTCAGCACTTTAACTTCTATTCTCCATTTCTCTTAACTTCTTTTATATTTTCTATTAGTTTGCCTTTTCATTCTTCATTCATTCAGTCTGCTATCTCCTATCTTCTTTTATCTCTCTCTCTTTTTTTCTTTTGTGGGACCGAGTCTTGCACTGTGGCCTGGGCTGGAGTGCAGTGGTGCAATCTCGGCTCACTGCAACATCCACCTCCCAGGTTCACATGATTCTCCTGCCTAAGCCTCTCGAGTAGCTGGGATTGCAGGCACACACCAACACACCAGGCTCATTTTTTGTACTTTTAGTAGAGACAGGATTTCACCATGTTAGCCAGGGTGGTCTCAAACTCCTGGCCTCAAGTGATCTGCCCACCTCAGTTGCCTGAAGTGCTGGGATTACAGGCGTGAGCCACTGGGCCTGGCCTCTTTTATCTCTCTTAAGAAAAATTGTCTGAAACTTGGAACTAAGGCAAAGGAAAAGCGCAAGTCCTTTTAGTGTCATACTGGAGCATTGTTTAGTTCCGTTCAAAGATTATCTAACTCTTAGGATAATTGCTTTTGACTTATTCCTTATAACTGCTTAGGGCTCATATTGTGTGAAGCTACAGGTTAATCTGTCAATAATTGATACATAAAAACTAATTTCTGTCTAGTAGAAAAGAATACCTTAAAGGTTTTATTTTTGTTTTCTTTTGCTCTGTAAGACATTAACTGATTTGGTGTCTGATTTAGCAATCATATTCTAGTAATCTGTCTTCCATTGACTATACATATATACCCCATCTTTCAAATTCTCATTTGAACCAACTTTAGCATTCTTTTGGAGTTAAATCTGAGTTAAAATACATTTCACTATGATTTGTATGAGAGTCATATCTTTAACTGTTTGAAAATTATTCTTTGCAACCTCCTTTTAAGTTTTTTTGGCTAATTTAAAATGATTGGCTTTCTAATTATTTTGCTTCTAATTATTTTACTTCCAGTGCACACAATAACCTAACATGTTTTTGTTTTGAAATGATTGGGCCTTACAATGTCTTTTTATTTTGACATACATGCCTTTCCCTCACCAACAGAGATACTGGGTATTTTGTAAGGAAATGAGTATTCAGGGAAATAGACCCTGTAACTGTGAGTCCCTGTGAGCTTAGTGTGGATGTAATGGAGAAGATATGCCTGGGGAGGACTGTCCAGCACCAGAGAGCTGGAGTGACACCTCCACCCCGGCCCCTAAATAACTCCTCAAGTCACCCTGTCACCTTCTTCTGTCCTTACGCTGGGGAGAAGCAGTATCAGGAGGGAACCCTCCTTACATTTGCATCCTGACTCACCTGCACTGAGGGTTTAGATGAGGAGGGTAGCAGAGACTGATTTTACCTAGATCCACCTGTTTTCGTCAGTCTGTCTCAAGCATAGGGCCTCTGGGATGCCATCACTTGCTTCCTGAAGGTGCTGGATTCAGAGCTTGAGTCCTTCCAGGTGTGGGGGCCATCGCTGTATGTCCCAGGAGGATGCTGGGGGAGAGGGAGCAACAGAACTTTAACGGTTCGTTTTCTTCTTCCCCGCTCCCCACAGCCCTCTCTGGTCCTCTTGTGCCCTGTTTCTCCTCTGCAGCTCCTCCAGGGTTGATCTTAGGGAGGGATCCAGATGTCCTAATGGTTTACCATCTTGGAAGGAATGACAATCAGCACTGGCACCTCAAAGTGGGATCCTGCGGCCCACTGCCTTCATGGGCAGATATTCCTAAGATACGACTTATCCCCGGGTCCTGGGATTCGGGTGTGCTGTCATAGCCTTGCCTATTGCTTTACTCCTGGTGCCTTGTGAGACCTCCACTGTGCCGAGTTGTTCCCCCAGCTCTGGCTGTAGGGGAAGGAACACTGCTCTCCACTAGTCCAGTTTGTCTCCAAGGTGGTGCAGTTTCTGTCTTGAATTTCCCACACCACAATGATAGCACGTTGAATGGACCTGCCTCAAAAAAAATCATGTCCGACTGGAATCTGTGAGTGTGACCTTTGGAAATAGGATCCTTGCAAAGTAATGAAATTAAGCATCTCAAGATGAGATCATCCTAGATTACCAGGGTGCACTCTAATTCCAGTGACGGTGTTCACATAGGAGAAGAAGAGGGAAAACAGGCACGGAGGCAAGGCCACGTGGAGACAGACAGCGTAGAGTGATGCTGCCACAAGCCAAGAACACAGGGGCCTAAAGCGGGAGACAGAAAGAAGGATTCTCCCCAAGCCGTTGTAATAAGCACAGTCCTGCCGACATCTTGATTTTAGCTTTTGGCCTCCAGCACTGCGAGATAACAAATTTCTGTTGTGTTAAGACAAGTTTGTGAATCTGTTCAGCAGTCATTGGAAACTAACTCAAATAAGAAAGACCAGGCTGTAACCTTTAAGTGTCTTTAGTAAAAGCCTGAGGATAGGCCCAGCGCGGTGGCTCACGCCTACAGTCTCAGCACTTTGCGAGGCCGAGGAGTTGGGCAGATCACCTGAGGTTGGGAGATTGAGACAAGCCTGGCCAACGTGGTGAAACCCTGCCTCTATTAAAAATACAAACAATAGCCGGGAGTGGTTGTGCACTCCTGTAATTCCAGCTACTCAGAGGCTATTGCACAAGAATCGCTTGAACCTGGGAGGCGGAGGTTGCAGTGAGTCGAGACCACGGCACTGCACTCCAGCCTGGGCAACAGAGTGAGACTCCGTTTCGGGGTTTGAGGGGGAAGTCTACGGATAATGGAAGGAAGAAGAGTATGGAGAATAATTTGTAAGCACAAAATAGGCCCAGAGCCATCCTGGGACCCTCCCAGGACTGTCCCACACCAGGGATACTTCCTGCCTCCCTGTGGCCAGAGCGGCATTTGGAAGTTGTCGGGGTGTGGAGATACTGGCCCAATTTCTACCCCTCAGCCTAGAGAGAGGAGGAAGTTCTTTTGCTCACAGCTGACCAAGACTGGCCTTTCAACCCCTCCCAGTCCCAGGATTGACCTTTCCCTTGTTTCAAGAGAAGCTTACTCCCACCTGCAAGCTCTGAGCTCCAATACAACCAATCATCAAATTACCCAAAGGTAGGGTTTTCTAGCCTAAATAGGGGCACAACACCCTGTCCAGGTGAAGCAGCTCCAAGTCAGCCCACTGCAGTTTGAATTTCCAGGTTTCAAAAAAAAAAAATCTCAAAATTGGTGTCACTTGGGTTCATCTTGTTATACTGAGTTCATCTTAAAATGCTTGAAACCTGAGTTTGTAGGAATAGATGCTCTTCGTGAAATCAGTTTTGCTAACAATTACAGCTACGTGAAGTCAGTGCATGAGTGAAGACTTGGAGGGAATCCAAGAATTGCTAATGATTTTGTTAGGCTGGGAAGAGTACGTTAGGTTTAAGGTGATATTACAGGTGAGAGTTTTGGTGTTTATCCTGTCTTGACTTTTAGAGTGCACAATGTTGTTTTTATGGTAAATAAGTATAGACAAAGTTCTGGTGCCGTAAGAAAATTTAGGGGGAAAATATCAGTTTCTAGGGACCAGTTTCTCTGCTGAGAGAAACTTACAGTTTATGTGCATTTCAAATAGTTAATCTGTTGGGGAGGAGAAATGCTTTTCTCTCTTGTTCATAAAGAGGAAACATTTTTTCCCAAATAATTAAAAAAATCGGTCATGAAGAATCCAGGCTGGGTGAGATGAGGGAGGGAGGGAGAGGGAGAGTGAGAGCTGGGGGGAGAGGGAGAGTGAGAGCTGGGGGGAGAGGGAAAGAGGGGAAGAGGGAGAGGGAGACAGAGAGAAGGGAGAGGGAGGGAGAGAGGGGGAAAGAAGGGGGGAAGAGAAAGGGAAATAAAGTGGAGGGAAAAAGGGAGAGGAGAGAAAAAGGGGGGAGATACAGACAGGGAAAGAAAGAGGGGAGAGAAAGGAGAAATTAGAGGAGAGAGAAGGAGAGAAAGGAGCGGGGAGAGATACAAAGGAGAGAGGGAGAGAGGAGCGGGGGAAAGAAAGCGGGTAGAGAGAGAGGGAAATAGAGAGCAGGGAGAAAGGGAGAGAAGGAGATAGACTGGGGAGAGACCCAGAGGAGAGATGAGAGAAAGGGGATTAGGAGAGGGAGGAGGAGAGGGAAAGGAAAGAAAGAAGGGGGAAAAACCGGGAGAAAAAGGGAAAGAGAAGGGATAGGGGAAAGAGGAGAGAAAGAGCCGGGGGGAGAGGGGAGGGAGAGAGAAAAAGTGAGGAAGGAAAGAGACACAGGAGAGAGGAGAGGGAAAGAAGGAAAGAAACGGGGAAGAGAAGGAGGAAGAGTGGGGGGAGGGAGAAGGAGAAAAATGATGAGTAGGGGAGTGAGAAGGTGAAAAAAAGGAGAGTGAGAGAGGGCAGGTGAACACCAGGCCAGGGAATGGGGGGCAACACGAAGACAGCAGAGAGGGGCCAGGGGAGCACCCAGGTCGCAGCCTTTAATTGCCGCCCCTCCCCACCTTGGGCCAGGGCAGAGGAGGGCGGCAGCAGGAAGCTGTGCAGAGCCCAGCAGGAGGAACCTGGATGCCCCCAGGCACTGGGGCAGCGGCTATCCCCACCTGGAACACACTTCTTCATCTCCGCCTGTTGGCGTCCCAAGGGTCCGGTAAGGCTCGCCCCAAATGGTAGCTTTTCTATAAAATCTTTATTGATCAGCCCTCCCCAACACACACACATGTAGTTTGCAAGTTTCTTAAATATTTATTCTATTCTGGCCTGTATGTGCCTCCCTCTTTCCTTAGCCTCTCCTTTCAGACCCTCTGCAGGCTTCTAGTGTTGCCTTTTACAATCGTTCAGGGCAACAAATGTATGCATTTTCAGTGCCTACATTGCGTCTTCCATGTTGTCAAGAGGAATATGTTTATAACTAATTTGAAGCCCAGTGATGAAATGATAGTTAGATTATGCTGTGATAATAACAGAAATCAGTGAAAAGAACATCAAATTATACTTATCTCTTCATTTGTTAAGCACTAGGTTTAGTGTATATGTTTTAAAAATCAGTTACAACTTAGACAAAGCTGTATTTTATAGTCAAAAACAAAAAAGTACTTGCTGGGGACAAGTTGCTCACGCCAGTAATCTCAGCACTTTGGGAGGCTGAGGCAGGCAGATGACTTGAGGTCAGGAGTTCGAGACCATTGTGGCCAACATGGCAAAATATCCGTCTCTACTAAAAATTCAAAAATTAGCTGGGCATGGTGGCATATAATTGTAATCCCAGCTACTCAGGAGGTTGAGGTGGGAGAATTGCTTGAACCCAGGAGATGGAGGTTGCAATGAGTCAAGATCGCACCACCGCACTCCAGCCTGGGAGACAGAGCAAGACTCCATCTCAAAAAAAAAAAAACAAACAAAAAAAACTACCAACAAAAGATTGAAAAGCCATGCCACTCTTTATTATCCGTGCCTATCGTCAGAATCTGTTTAGGCCACATGGCTGTAATGTAGTCACCTCTACATGTGGATTGTGTTTTATTTTTTCGATTGCATATTCTTCTTCTATATATATATATATTTATTATACTTTAAGTGTTTTAATAACAGGCAATATGAGGGTGTGTTAAATGATCATAGAAAGCCTTAGTGTTATCATGTTCTGTTGAAAAATGCTGTTGTCTAAGGTTCATTTAAACTGGAAGGGCTCATGATTCTGTATTACTGTTATTTAGATAACAGTCATAACATTTGTTGTTGCTCCCTCAGTGTTAGATACTGTTCTGAATGCTTTGCGTGTGTTTGTTGGTTCCATTTTAATAACCACAGGAGGAAATTCAGTCCTTAGGGAGGGGCCACAACAGTTGCAGCCCTGATCCAAACCCATGCCATTTCCCTCCATGTCTTCAACGCGATGCTCTCCTGACTCATCATACCTTGTTTCGTTCCAAAAATGTTTTGAGGTGAATGACTTTTTACTATTAGGCTGGCGCAAACATAATTGCAGTTGTTGACGTTAGTTTTAAGGGCAAGACGCGCCATTACATTTGCACCAACCTGGCAATGACTAGCCAAGTGCAATGGCGTGTGCCTGTAGTCCCACTTACTCAGGAGGCTGAGATGAGGTGATGGCTTGAGCCCAGGAGTTTAAGATGACCAGACTGGGTAACATAGCGAGACACCATCAAAAAAAAAAAAAGACATGACAAAAAATTGAAAGCAATGAGCTATATGAAAACATGGAAACATGGTTCCTTCTCTATAAGCCTGTCTTTCTGAGAAGCTACGAGTTGTATGAAGGTAGCGCAGTAGGGGACAATGTGCAGAGGGCCTGCTTGAAGCAGCTCCATACTTAGCTGACTGTGTGACCTTGAGCGAGTCTCTGAACCTCTCTGAGCTTTATTTTCTCAACCTGTAAATGAGTGGTTGTAAGGATTGAATGAGTAAATATGTGTCAAGTATCCAGCACAGTGCCGAACACAGAGAGGACGATAGCCAGGTTTGTTGATGTTCAGTGAGTGCATTGAACTTCACTGTGCCCCAGAAATTCCACTGGGCTCTGGGGATGGAGCCCCTAATGCAGTGCTTGACCTAGTGTAGTTGATGAAATCATTTTAACAAAATGTAATAAAAAACAGTTTGGGAGAATTGAAGAAAGTGTACCTGTCTTGATCTGGATGGAAAGAACATTACAGTCGTGTGTCACCTAACAACATGGAGACGTTTTGAGAAATGCACTGTTAGGCGGTTTAGTCATTGTGCTAACACCATAGAGTGCACTTATTACACAAAGCTGGATAGAATGCCTACCACACATCTAGGCTATGTTGTAGGTGGTATAACCTATGGTATAGATGGTAAAACCTATTGCTCCTAGGCTATAAGCCCATACAGTATGCTACCATACTGAATACTGCAGGCAATTATAACACAATGATAATTATTTGATTGTCTAAATGTATCAAAACATAGAAAAGGTGGAGTAAAAATACAGTATAAAAGATAAGAGGCCTGGCACTGTGGCTCATGCCTGTCATCCCAGCACTTTGGGAGGACTAGGTGGGTGGATAACGAGGTCAAGATATCAAGACCGTCCTGGCCTATGTGGTGAAACCCTGTCTCCACTAAAAATACAAAATTAGTTGGGCGTGGTGGCACATGCCTGTAATCCCAGCTACTTGGGAGGCTGAGGCAGGAGAATGCCGTGAACCCGGAAGGCAGAGGTTGCAGTGAGCTGAGATTGCACCACTGCACTCCAGCCTGGGTGACACAGTGAGACTCCATTTCAAAAAAATAAAAATAATGGTACACCTGTATAGGGCAGTTACCAGAGTTTGCAAGACTGGAAGTTTCTCTGGGTGAGTCTGGGAGTGAGCAGTGAGTGAATGTGAAAGCCTAAGGCATTACTGTGCACTACTGTAGACTTTATAAACACTGTACACTCAAGCTACACTAAATTAAAAAAAAATTTTCAATAGGAAATTAACCTTAGCTTACTATAACTTTTTTACTCTATAAACTTTAAAAACAATTTAAACTTTCTGATTCTTTTACAATAATACTTAGCTTAAAACACACATTGTATAGATGTACAAAAATATTTTCTTTCTTTATATCATTATTCTATAAGCTTTTTTCCATTCTAAAAAGTTTTATTTTTTTAACTTTTAATTTATTTGTTTGTCTTTTTGAGATGGAGTCTCTCTCTGTCACCCAGGCTGGAGTGCAGTGGCATGATCTCAGCCCACTGTAACTTCTGCTTCCCGGGTTCAAGCAATTCTCCTGCCTCAGCCTCCCAAGTAGCTGGGATTACAGGCTCCTGCCACCATGCCCAGCTAATATTTCTGTATTTTTAGTAGAGACAAGGTTTCACCATGTTGTCCAGGCTGGTCTTGAACTCCTGACCTCAGGTGATCCACCCACCTTGGCCTCCTAAAGTGCTGGGATTACAGGCGTGGGACACCGTGTCTGGCCTTTCAAAAAACTTTTAAAACATTTTTGTTAAAAACTAAGACACAAACAAACACATTAGCCTAGGCCTATGCAGGGTCAGGATCATCAATATCACTGTCTTCCACCTCCATATCTTGTCCCAGTAGAAGGTCATTAGGGTCAATAACATGCATGGAGCTGTCATCTCCTATGACAAAGCCTTCTTCTGGATACCCATAGAAGGGCCTGCCTGAGGACATTATGCAGGTAAATATTTTAAGTAGAAGGAGTATACTACTCTTAAACAATAAAAAGTATAGTATAGTAAATCCATAAACCAGTGAATGATAATAGTCATTTATTAAGTATTACATACTGTACATAATCATATAAGCTAGACTTTTATATGACTGGCAGCACAGTAGGTTTGTTTACCTGAGCATTACCACAAACATGTAAGTAATGTGTTGTACTTTATGATGAGAACAGCAATGTTACTAGGCGATAGGAATTTTCCAGCTTCATTATAAACTTATGGGACCAATGTCATTTGTGTGGTCCATCATTAAGCAGAAGGTCATTATGTGGGGCATGACTGTCGTTGGCTGTACTTAGATGGAAGCAGATTTTATCTATGTGGTACAACTATCCATCTCATGTCTGGTTTTCTCTGTTACCAAGCCAAGGCAGATTTCAAAATTAGAGATTTATTAGTTTGGGTCAATCATTGAAATTTTTCCCCCATGGGCTTCTGTAAAATGATAAATTAACTTGGTGTTTGCATCAGTTTTCTAATGATATTTTGGTGGCATCTTGCATAGCAGAGCTTAGGGACTCACACCCAGAGATGTAATTAAGTAAGTCTGAATGGGGCCCAGAAACAGCTCAGCTGATTCTGAGGCTAGGGGCACGCAGGCAGTATACCCTAGGAGGCAACAGGCTGAGGGTTGTGGGAAAAATTGGTGGCCCTTTTCACCTGAGGAAAAAAAAGCTCATGAGGGAAGTAGGTTTATGAGCAAGAGCAGGGGCTATGGGGAAATGTCCATTGACCTTCTATCTATGGGCCACTTTTTTCCTTGGGTGGCTTCTCTATTCTTGTTGGGATGAAGTTCCCTTGGAGGATCCAGGACCCAGGGACCCCCGGGTCCCCATCTGCCTTCCAACCTGTTCTTTTCTGTGTTCTCTCTGAGCTCTGCCACCTCATGTCAGTCCCCAGCCATGTGGCTAATGAGAGGCCTATTCAGACCTCATTAGGAGATCAACTTGGTTTCTTCCGTTCTCAGAAGCTAATTATGTCTCTTTCATTAGTTCAATTTTGGCAATTAATGTACTTCCGTATACATAAATGGCTGTTTGTTTTCAGGCTAAGTGACATGTGTGCGGCTGTCCTTTCCTCTCCTGACACGTGTTAACCTTTCTGTCTTGTTTCCCTTTCCTTACAAACAGTACCTGAGCTGAGGTTCTAGATTTAAGCAACTGAAATTAACACAGCACATTTAATAGCGAAAAAGGACTTTGGTAGAAATACTGGCCAGCTCATGGGATCAGACGAAGTGCCCAAAACTTGATCCCCAGAAACGAGAGGAAACTCTGGGAGCCCAAAGTCCTCTGAAACAATAAGGGCATTTTAATCTCCCATTTAAAAGCATTGCCAGGCAGGGTGGCTGCAGAGTTGGTATAATCAGAAATCATGTTGTCATCTTAACACTGTGGCTCATTTTCTTACCTGCCCTCCTCACCGCCCCTTCCCCATGGTTCTCAGATGGGTCAGGTGGGCCGGGGATGATGTTCCAGCAACCACTTCCTGAAGCTGCAAAGAAGGTGTTAAGTTTAGTCTAAAGCTGCCTCCTGACATATTTTAAGTTTGGCCTAAAGGTTTCTCTGGCCATAGTGAGCCATGGTAATTTCCTCCACCATGTAGCTGGATGTGTAACTCAACCTAACTGGATGTGTAAACAGACTATAACCTCCTCTCCTACTCTCTGTCTGATTGCACAGAGTTTCAGCCAATCACAGGTGGCCAATTGTTCGAACTAAGTTCAAATAACATAATTCCCGAGCTGTAACCAATCCGGCTGTTTCCATATCTCACTTCCGTTTTCTGCTTATCACTTTCCCTTTTCTGTTCATAAATTTCCTCTACTACGCAGCTGCACTGGAGCCTCTCTGAACCTATTCTGGTTTGGGGTCTGCCCAATTCACAAATCACTCTTTACTCAAACTCTTTAATTTGTCCAAGGTTTTTCTTTTAACAGAAGGATTTTCTCTCGTACCTTTCTCTCTCTCTCCTTTTTATCCTCCTTTTTTTTTGTTTTTCTTTTTGTTTTTTTTTTAAATATTACCTGTTAGAAGTCTTTTTAGGGGTCTCTGAGCAGACACTCTGATGTTTCCTTGGTCAGGATTGCACCATTGGCCCACTGTCTACCCAATCTTTGCGGATGGTTGTGATACTGCAATAGTGTTTCAATCCTAGGGGTTGGGGAAGGGCTCGGACCCCTCTATAGCACAGAGCCATGGGCCATATGATAAACGTCAGGTCTCTAGAAAGAGAAAAGGGAGGAAAAGCTAGTAAGTGGGGAAAGCTAGTATGTGTTTGCCACAGCGACTTCTCAAGAGTCACAGAGAATGAGAGAAGGACCTTCCAAAAGTGGAAAGGAAGCTGGGGAGATATCAATTGCAGATATCCACTGTCAGCCACTGAAAATTCAGATTCCAAAGTTTTGCCAATTTTCATGCTCAAAAAATCAATTACGTATGTATAGAATAGGGGTAACCTGCCAATGCTGCAGCTTCTAGGGACAGATAAGGGTTTTTAGATTAATTACATAATCAAAGTACTAATTCTGTGATGCAGACCTTGGCTGCAATACAGGTGAAGATCTACCAGCTCCCCAGAGGGGCCAGGTTCTCTGTTTTCTGCACCTGTCAGCCCATATTAAGAGTGCAGGGAGTCATTATGGGTGCCATGTTTCAAAAGGACACTGATGACTGCAGCAAACAGAAAGCTGATCAACTTAACAGCAGGAGGAAGAAGAAACAGTGTAAGCTTAAGACTGGGACCTGGTCTGGTGGCTAATGAGCAATGCTAATTTCAAGTGCAATAAGTCCTCACTTAATGGCATCAGTAGGTTCTTGGAAACTATGACTTTAAGCAAAATGATGCCCAACAAGACCCATTTGTTTTCCTTATCCAATGTTATGGTGAAGCATTGAATGAAAGAGCATTATTTGAGTACCTGTGATATAATATGTTGTTTCACTTAAATTAGCAGTTTTGAAGAACCTATAGAAAACGTTAAGGGAGGACTTGCTATATCTGAAGGGTGACTACAAGAGAGGGGTTAGATTTGTTCTGTTTGGAGCTGGAAGATGGAACAAAGACCATGGAGGTTAGCAAGAGGAGATTTCAAAATCCAGCAAAAAAATTACCAAAAACTTTACATAGCCTTCACATTTCACATAACCTTCCCTGTGAACACCATTCCCATTTCAGAAAAGGAAACTAAAACTTTGAGTAAATCTGTCACTTACAGATAATGTAGTATAACATTTGGCTAAAATCCTTGTGTCAGGCCCATGGGAAGCATGGTTTAAGAAGGAGTTTAGTGAGACAAACTAGAGCCCCATTACTGTGGTTGACCTCAAGGCTGCAACTAGTATTCCCTCCTCTTCTTCTACTGTCCATTCTAAACTATCTCAACCTCAGCAGTAACTTCAGAAGATATTGGGGGGCTTACTGGTGGTGTGACCCACACCTTCATTCCTGAGGTGTCTGAGTTTCTAGAACAGGTGGCTATACAAGGAGTTTCACCATTACAAGGGAGCATGGAAGTACCAGGAGGTACCCAACTGAATCAGCTGGGTTCTACACATATTCCTCAATGCTGCTATTGTATGAAAGCACCACTACTCAGGGCCAGTGGCCCAGCAGTATATTGACTGGTCTCTTCCTGGGACATGGACACAGGGAAACGAAAGGGCCCTGGCAGCAGCCATAACTTGTATTTCAATGGGATCTGTTTTGTGTGCTCTGGAAGTTGTATGTCCCCTTTGGATACCAGGACCTGCAACTCTTTTAAAAGTTTCAGGGTTTCAGGGACAAGAAGCATAAAAGTGCCCCAGGGGCTCATTGGGACTACTCCTGCTGTCTTGGTTCCTGAATCCGTGTGAGCTTCCTGTTGGGGTACCATAACCTAGAGTGGTCTCTGATATAATGTAGATCCAGTACCCTGAAGGATGGTGCCCCATCCCTTGTGTGTTGCCTCTGAGCTGGTACATCAGCTGGGCCTCTAAAAGGCCATTCCAACATTTTATGAGGCCAGCTGATTTCGGGTGGTTACAGGTTGTCTTAGTCCATTTTGTGCCACTTAACAGAATACCTGAGACTGGACAACTTACAATGAACAGAAATTTATTGGCTTACAGTTCTAGGGGCTGGGAAACCCAATATAAGCTACCAACATCTTGCAAGGGCCTTCTTGCTGTGTCATCACATGACAAAAGGTGAGAGGGTAAGAGAGAGGAAGAGGGGGCCAGACTTGCCCTGTTAAAACAGCACCAATCTCATCCATGAGGGTGAAGCCTTTGTGCCCTAATCATCTCTTAAAGGTCCTACTCCTTAATACTGTTGCAATGGCAATTAAATTTCAACATGAGTTTTGGCAGGGACAAACATGTAAAATCATAGCATAGATCTGCTTCCACACCTCAGAAGTGGGTCTCCTACTTGGATGTTAATGCTGCATGAGATTCTATGCCTGTAGATCAGACATCTACTTGGATAGTGGCACCAACTGAGGCTCTAAGAGCAGAAAAGGCAAACTCACACCCAGAATAAGTTTCTGTCCTCATGGGTATGCTGGCTTTTTTTTAAGGATGTGTTGGGCCAACTATAGTCAATATACCACCAAGTGGCTGTTGGTCTTCTTGGGGAATAATGACATATCAAGGGTTCAGCATTGGTCTCTGCTGATGACAGGCTGGATGTTCCAAGGCCACAAGACCTAAATTCATCTTGGTAAGTGGGAGTCCATGCTTCTGGAACCCTGTGTGGCCTCCGTTTCTGCCACTATAACTACTCCATTTATGTGCTCATCATGCTAGTTTCAACGTGGCCAGTGATGAAGGCTGCCTAATGCAAGATGACTACATCATTTTCACTGTTCACTTGGTCAGTGTATCTTCTGTTGTGGATGTTTTCTAATGTGTATTGATTTGTGGTACAAAAATACTCACACTTTGTGCCCACTCCTGATGTGTTCATTCACATACCTTTACCCCAGACCTCCTTGTCAGTGATCTTTCAGTCTCTTCTGTTCTAGGCTCCATTGGCCACTGCCCAGTAATCTGTACGTATCTTCACCTTGGGTTGCTTCCCCTTCCACACAAAGTACATGAAAAGGTGTACCACATATCCACATACTGGGACAATTTTTCTTCTTCACTGTTTTTTAGGATAGCCATGAATAAAGCTATAACGTAGCCATCACTGAGTTTGGCTTCCACACATATGCCAAACCAACTGGTCCATAAGCCAAGCTTGGGGTTTTGTGCTCCTCCTACAGCTGGTCATACTGGACCCCCACATGGCTGGTGTGACTGTTGTTGCTGACATGGTGTTCTGGGCAAACTGCTCACACAGCTCATGTATGACCTCAGAACTTGCTTAGGCTTGATCTTGTGGTGATGGCTGCTGGGTACTTCTGACTTTGACTGGCAGGTCCAGGAGAACCAGGTCGTGGTGAGCAGTGCTGGAGGATACATGATAACTTTGTGCCTCATGGTCAACGAAGCCCAGCATTATGCTAAGAGCTATTTCTCAGAAGGTGTATAATTCTCTGTTGTAGACGGCATGGCCTAGTTACAGATCCCAAGAACCTATGGTATGGGTTTCTTCCAGGGCCTTTCTAAAAGCTCCATCCAGTGTATTTTCCCACTACTGACACCTCTAGCACCTCAGGATCTGCGGGAGTGTATGGCCCAAGTGCAGGGCTGCTTGCACAGCAGCCTGAAACTTCCACAGAGCCCTTTGCTGCTCTTTGTCCTACTTGAAGCTGGTAGCTGTCATATTACCCTGTGTACTTGTTGGAACAGTATTCCTAGGTATGGAATGCATTGCTTCCAGAACCTAAAAAGCGTAGCCAGGCACCATGGTTCCTTCTTACGGTTGAGATTCAGGATTTGGTCATTTGTCTTTGCGTTGGAGAGGATATCTTGGCACACCCCTGATCACTGTGTACCCTAAAAACATCACTAAAATGGTAGATCCCTGACTCTTCATCAGCCTTATCTATCACCCTCAGGAACACATGAGCCTTAGGAAGACCTGCAGAAGAGTAGCTCTTGCTTATCCCGTTCAGTCAGCATGATCCCATCAATGTAATGGGTGAGTGTGATATTCTGTGGGTTGTCCAGGCAGTCCAGGTCTCTTCAGATAATATGGCAGAAGGTAGGAGAGGTAACACAGCCCTGAGGCTAACCCTAAAACAATTATCGTTGTCCATCCTATGTGAATACAAACTTTTTGATTCTCTTTTCAGATCAGAGTGGAAAAGAACACATCTGCCTAATTAATGGCCACACACCATGTACCCGAAACCATATTAATCTGTTGTAATAAAAACCCTATGCCTGGGACAGCAGCTGTGATTGAGGCAATGATTGGGATATTAGTTTGCATCCAGTCTCCAGGGTCCATCTAATTTCTGCAGAGGCCACAGTGTCACACTGGAGGTAGATAGGGCCCACTCTTCCTGCATTTTTTGCCTTTAAGGATGGCACCAATCTCTGTCATCGGCTCCAGGATGCAATATTGTTTTTGATTTACTGTTGTGGCCAGTGCCAGAGCTGTTTCAGAAGTTCCCAGTTGGCCTCCCCCACTATGATAAAGTTTTCCTCACAGGCAAGGACCCAATATGGTGGTTACTCCAAATGTCAAGTATATTAATTCCAATTACATACTAGTGGCCAGAGGAAATGACTACTGGGTGGGGCTCAGAGACCTTCCTTGGGTCAGACTTCAACCAGGATTCCGTTTATTACCTGGCCACTCTAAGTACCCACTCTAACAGGAAGACCAGGTTAATGCTTTGCATATTTGAATATCAATGCTAAGGTCAGACCCTGTGTCTAATAATTCTCAAAATATTTCAGTTTCCCCATTTCTCCAGTGTACAGTTGCCCAATTAAATGGCCACCCGTCCCTTTGGGAAAGAACTGAGGGAATCATCACACTACAGTTGGTCCTTAAACAACATGGATTTGAACTGTGTGTGTCCACTTATATGTGGGTTTTTGTCAATAAAAGTTACATGGGACGTGCCTGCCTTTTCTGCCTACCCTTCCATCTCCTCTACCTCTTCCACCTTTGCCACCCCTGAGAAAGCAAGACCAACCCCTGCTCTTCCTCTTCATCCTCAGGGTACTCAACATGAAGAAAATGAGGGTGAAGACCTTTACGATGATCCACTTCCACTTAATGAAGAGTGAATACGTTTTCTCTTGATTACTATTTTCTTAACATTTTCTTCTTCACAGCTTACTTTATTGTAACAATACAGATTATGGCCAGGAGTGGTGGCTCACACCTGTAATCCCAACACATCGGGAAGCTGAGGTGTGAGGGTCCTTTGAGTCTAGGAGTTTGAGACCAGCCTAGGCAACATAGGGAGATCCTGTCTCTACAAAAATTTTAAAAAATTTTAAAAAATTAGCCTGGCGTGGTGGTGTACACCTGTGGTTTTAGCTACTTTGGCGACTGAGGTGGGAGAATCACTTGAGCCCAAGAGGCTCAAGTGAGCCTGCAGTGAGATGATACTGTGCCACTGTACTCCAGACTGGGTGACAGCATGAGACCCCATCTCAAAAAACAAAAACAAAACAAAAACAAAACCCCAACAGAATATAATACATATAAAATACAAAAATATGTGTTAATCTATGTTTATGTTTTCAGAAAGTCCTCCAGTCAACAGTAGGCAATTAGTAGTTATGTTTTGGGGGAGTCAAAAGTTATACATAGATTTTCAATTGGACACGGTGGGGTGTTGGTACCTGATATGGTTTGGCTGTGTCCCCACCCAAAATCTCATCTTGAATTCTAATCCCCATGATCCCCATATATCAAGGGCGAGACCAGGTGGAGGTAATTGGATCTTGGGGGTGGTTTCCTCCATGCTGTTGTCGTGATAATGAGTGAGTCTCACGAGATCTAATGGTTTTATAAGTGTGTGGCATTTCCCATTCTTGCACTCACTCCATTCCTGTTGCTTGTGAAGAAGGTGTTTGTTTCTTCTTTGCCTTCCACCATGAGGCCTCCCCAGCAATGCAGAACTGTGAGTCAATTGAAGCTCTTTCCTTTCTAAGTTACCCAGTCTCAGGTGTTTCTTCATAGCAGTGTGAGAACGGACTAACAGAGTACCTATAACCCCCGTGTTGTTCAAGGGTCAACTATATATTCTCGCCATAGTACTGCAGGGTCCTTCCTTGTCATTCAGTGGGTTTTGGACCTGCATATTGGCTCGGGTTTGAGAACTGACTACAAGGTTGTGACTTCTTAGGGTGACCACGGTCAGCCACCACCTCCTCTGTGGTTGCCTTTTTGGGAGTTTTGATGATAAGCAGCATCCTGTTGGCTGTATGTCTTTTTTCCCTTATGGACACCATGCTGTATAAACTGTCTCCATAATGCCCTTGAGTCAAGCCTCCTAGTCTGCCTTTAAGGTCCTTCCATGGGTCACAGTCTCCTGGTGGTAGGTCACTGACCTTCCATAATATATCCCTGCCAGTATGTCCACTTTCTCATCCTCCTTATTCCCTCCTCTATTTTCTTCCAGAACAACTCACTTCCATTTTACCAGTGTTGACTCTTTCTTTCTCTAGGCTTCTAAGAGATCCCCTCCCCCACTTCCTAGCAGCAGACGTCCTGTTAGGATGTCTCCCAAGAAAGAACCCCCAAGGCAATGAATCCCTTCTTATTCAGCCTTACATTCTGACCCTCTTGTTCAGGCACCCTTAAAATCGAAATCTAGTCATACTTCTTTGACTCCTGCCTGCAACTGCTAGCTGAATCTTGGAACATCTTTGGTGCAGTCTTTTTCCTCCCTTATTATGCTCAGTATATCTGTAGCCAATTAATCCTAGTTATCAGCCTAGCAGCCAGTACTTGCATTTGTGGGGAGCAGGTTGAGGAAGCTCCTGAGGAAGGCACCTGCTGCTTTTCAGGAAGGAGTCCCAGTGAAAGTGCTATCTTCTTGTTAGGGAAGAGTGAGAACCTTCCCTAGTTTCTGTAACTCTGAGGATTTAAGGCAGCCTGGAGGACTAACATCTTCATTTCTCAGTGCCACAGGTTTTCCCCAGTAGGGTTCTGATCTTAGATAAAATACCTTCCTTGTCTGAGCACTCAAATGTTGCTCAGCTGTGTATGCTCTTCCATAGCAGAGTATAAGAGCACATGCACCCCTAGCCATTAACTGCTTGTTTCTCATCATTCCTTTGCATGACATCAGTACAATTTAGCAGTAACCAACCAATTCTAGCCTCTTTGTAGACAATGTTTCCACATATTTTGAAATGCATGGATCACTGTGTGTGCATTGGTGCTTCTGTCCACCAGAACATTTTTCTTCACCTGCAATAGTGTTCTCGTCTACTGAGATGTTTTCCTAGCTCAGCCCCAGTGGAGTTCTGAGCAGTTGGGCCATCCTTTTTTACTGTGGCCTCTCCTTGCACCACTTCCCATTTGGGATCAGGAGTGTGGTGAATGGGCCAGTCCAAAGTCCTACACTCACTGCCTGTTTGCTAAAAGCTCGCTCTCGGTACCACTTGTGTTTGTTTGGGTCTTCTTAAAAGCAGATGTCAAGACGAGATTAGACATACGATATATGATTGAGGAGAAACACCTGTGAGGGGGAAAAGGGGAGGAAGATGAAGCAGGAAGAGCAATCACACTATGCTGTAGGTCCCTATGAGTTTCCTATTGCTGCTCTAAGTATCACAAACTTAGTGATTTAAAACCACACGAATTGATGATGTTACAGTTTTGGAGGTGAGAAGTCTCACTGGCTAAAGTCAAGATATTTGTGTGGCTGTGTTTTTCCTGCAAGCTCTAGGAGAGAATCCCTCACCTTTTCCAGCTTCTGGAAGCCATCTGCATTTCTTAGCTTGTGGCCACTTCCATCTTCAAAGCCAACAGTCACATCACTCTGACCCCTGCTATCATTGTCACATCTTCTCTGACACTTCTCCCATGTCTTCTAAAGGTGATTAAATGAGGCCCATCAGAATAATCCAGGATAATCGCCAGCAGAAGATCCTTAACTTAATCACATCTGCACAGTTCCTTTTTACCATAGAAGGTACATAGTCACAAGTTCTGGAAATTAGGATGTGGAAAGTTTGGAGGCCTTTTATTTAGCATGCAACAAAATCTTTCCTCTGTAAAGTAGAGAGGGAAGGAATAAGTGGACAGTAAAGATCTCAGACTGCAGCACACTTTTTAAAAAGTTTTGCCTACGGCAAGGGGTGTGGGTCCTTGAGCTAAAGTTGCCTATCAGAGGAGACATGTGATTCCCAGGAATGGAACTAGCTTGAGGTCATTGCCTCTCGCAGTCACTGTGTGGGTGATGGATAGCTGGGTTTCCTGTCCATTATGTTCCCCACTGCAGGAGATTTCACGGCATATGTTCACGGCTGCCATAAATCAACGACTCCTGAATCAGAACTACCTGGGTTTTCATTTTAGCTCTATCACATAGTTAACTGCAAGCACTTGGGGAAATCACTTTTACTGTTCTGTGCCTCGGTTTCCCCATCTGTAAAATGTGGATGATATTGGTACCGAATTAATTAACCTGATAGATTGCAATAGGGTTGTTGGGAGGAATAAATCGGAATAGTACTTTCAATGAATGTTATCTAAACATATCCATTGCTCATGGCAGAATTGTGACTCAAACTCTGTACCTGTGATGATAATTTTCTGTGCCCTTTTTGGTACACCACATTGCTATGTTGAAAAGACTTCATAATGGGACAGTTATAGGTCCCTGTCTCTGTTTCTTTCTAAGTAAAGGCTTGCAGACCACCTGGAAAAAATACTGTAGGTGAGATTCTTACATTGGGTAGGAATAGGACAAGATGGTCCTTTAGTCTCTCTTATGCTTAGATTCTATGATGTCATGACTCCTGACAAGAGAGAAGCCTGCCTGATACAGGTGGGTGGGCTGCCCTGTGGGAGGGTCCAATACCTGGTTAATAAAGCTGCTCATGTTGAACTTGTCACTCAACTTGTCTGAACATTGGTTCTAGTCAACTTAGACAATCATACTTTCCCACTTATTTCCTTGTTGGGCTGTGGTAATGAGTAAGAAAATAATACCTGCCCTTCCCCACCCCACCTAAAATTAGCAATATATGAAATCCTTTTAGAAAAAGAATACCTTTGCACTCCCTCCTCTCTAATTGTTGACTCAAAGTATTTTTAATTATATCTTACATATTTACAAACATGAAACTAGGAGTAAACTCCTTATGCTTGTATTGTGATAGTCTATAAAAGCAAATCAAATTTATAAGTTAAATATAAACAAATCCACAAAACCAATAGAGTTCAAATAAACAAAACAACATGCAATGGATTTTTGAAAATGAGAATGAATTATTACTTGCAATCATGCTGGCTGCCTTAGTGTCAGTTGTTTTCAATGACAGTATTTAGCCTCTGTTTGGTAACTAAGCATAATTTCTTCTTTTCTCACTAGTTCAACACAATTAGTATGGTAATTCTTACTTGTGATTACTGTATTAAGACAAATTTAAGCTTGGGCATGAAAATGATGTGCCATACTACTTTGTAGTATCTGGTTGTATGAAATATGCTTTTTATTTGTTTTAGATTATGAAGATAAAACATTCAAAATGAATCTTTTGAGAAATGATTGGAGAAATATTCAAAGTGAAATTGTTGGAGAAAACGTGGGAATCTCTGGGAATATCCATGATCAATCACAGAGATAATGAGTGTGAATACACTCTCCCACCATTAAAAGGAGTTAACAGTTGCCAGGAGCCATTACTGAGACAAGATTGAAAGCTAAAAGCAGCTACCTTAAACCACATGAAGTACTGCTACTTGTCAACCCATCTCCTGCCAACATCCCAACAGGTTAAAAGGCTTCCATTTTCTCTTAGATTGCTTTGAATTCCTGGTCAGACTGCTGGAGACACATAGGAGGCTGCAAGGATAAAGTAAGGAAAAGTAAGCCAGCAAGGCAGCATTTCTGTAAGGGAAGAGCAGACGGGGAAGGGGAATGGCAGGTACTGAGTCAACCAGTTTTCTGGATCCAACTTCACCTGTCCCATTACTCTGCAGGCAGGACCATGGTTTTTCCTCTTTCAGCCAAGTACTAACTCTGGCTTCTCAGGGGAGTCTTATTTATAGACCTAGAATAAGTTGATTACAGGGCTCCATGGGATCTTTAAAACTTTTACTACAAGGTTAACAAGCCTAATGACGACTTTTGTGCTCTGTTTCTGGAGAGATAAAAGGGAAGAAGCTTAAAGGCTGTTCTTTTCCCCTTTATTTCTTCCCCTCCTCTCTTTTCCTAATTTACTTTCCTTTTCTCCCTATTTTTTTTCTCTTTTTCTGTCTCTTCTTATGATTTTCTCTTTGTTAAGTACATAGATTTCCTAGGTACTTGTTTCTCTCTCTTTTTTTTTTCCTATTACTCTTTTCCCAGCCGTCACACTTGTGGTTGGTTAATTATCTGACTGCTGAATAAAGAAAATAACAGGCTGGGTGTGGTAGCTCGCTCCTGTAATCCCAGCACTTTGGGAGGCCTAGGCAGGTCGATGACGAGGTCAGGAGTTCAAGACCAGCCTGGCCAATATGGTGAAACACTGTCTCTACTAAAAATACAAAAATTAGTCGGCCGTGGTGGTGCATGCCTGCAATCTCAGCTACTTGGGAGGCTGAGGCAGGAAACTTGCTTGAACCCAGCAGGCAGAGGTTGCAGTGAGCTGAGATCATGCCACTGTACTATAGCCTGGGTGACAGAGCAAGACTCTGTCTCAAAAAAAAAATAAAAATAACTATTATAAATGTTATTTCATCATGTTTGTATAATGTTTTTGAATTTACAAAATGCTTGTATGTATGTGTGTATGTGTATAAAATATATAATTTTGTATATATATATCTCTTTTATGTAAAATCTTGTTTTATCTTTGCATTGACCTGTGACATAGTTGTTGTTTTCTTGTTTTACAAATGGGAAACTGAGGCTCAAAGAAGTAAAGGGCTCTTCTTCCCCTTTCCTATCTCCTTTAGCACCTTCCTTTCTCCAACAACTCAGTCTTCAAAACACAGGCAGGATCAAGTGTGGTAAGGATATGTGCCAGGGTAGGGAAGCTGCAGTGGCTCAGTGTGGAGCATCAGAGCTTGACCAAGTTGCTCAAATATATTGAGTAAATACATGCAATATTCAACAGAAAGTGTGACTTATGTTCAGGCAAACATTTCAGGCAAACACATTTGACAGAAACTAAGTCTAAGTGGGCTCAGATATGGGGTATTTAACAGAAAAAGACTTCAAAACAACTTTTATAAACCTTTTAAAAATTAAAGGAAAGAAGTGATGACAATAATTCACAAATAAGGAATCTCAATAAAGGCAAAACTTTTTAAAAAGAACAAATGGAAAATCTGGAGTTGAAAAATATAGTTGAAATGAAAAATTTGTTACATGGGCTTAATAGCAGATTTGAGATGGCAGAAGAGAGTATCAGTGGCCTTGAAGATAGGTCAATAAAAATTCAATATACATATTTAAAAATAAATAGAAAAATGAGCAGAGCCTTAGAGGCCCAAGAGACAGCTTCAAGCATACCAAGATATAAAAAATTTCAAAGAAACATGGCCCAAACTGCTCAAATTTTGTATAAAACATTTAATTATGAAATGAAGAAATGCAATGAGTCCCAAATAGGATGAGCACAAAGAGATAAACACTTAAACACATTATATTTAAAAGGTTGAAAGCCAAAGACAAGGAGAAAATCTTGAAAGCTACAGGAGAAAAATGACTCATTATATACAGAGGAACAACAATATTTTAAACTGCTGACTTCTCAAAAGAAACAATAGAGGCCAGGAGGCAGTGGAAGGACATTCTAAACATTGGGAAAAATATTGTTAAGGAACAGTTTTATATCCGCTAGAAGCATACTTCAAAACTGAAATTAAAACATTCCCAGGAAACAAAGACTGAGAGTAGCAAACAGGAAACACTAAAAGAAGCCTTCAGACTAAGAAAATGACACATAACTAAAATCCACAGGATGAAATGAAGAGCACTAGAAATATGTGGCTAAATATAAAAGATTGTGTAGATACATTTTTTTACTTCTGTTTATTTAAAAGAACATAAAGCAACACTCACAACACTGTGTTTTGGGATTATAACATGGATGTAACATATATGAAAATGACAGCACAGGGGATGAGGGGAAAATGGAGCTATCCTGGAGCAAAGTTGTGTTTTACTCTAAGTCAAAATTAACCTGAAGTATGCTGTAATAAATTAAGATGCATATTATAATCCACAGAGCAAGAAAATAACTGAAGAATATGTTGTTAAATCTACAATGTAACAATTGGAAATGTTAATTCCTCAATAGAGGAATTGAATCAGATTAAAAGCAAAAGAATTGAACACAAAGTACTTAAAAGAAGCATTAGAAGGGGGAATAGAAGGGGAAAAAGATATAAAAATATACAAAACAAATATCAAGATGGCAGATGTAAATCCAAACATAATTACATTAAATTTGAATGAACTATATGATCCAATCAAAAGGGAAAGATTGTCATATTGGATTAAAGTAAGCAAAGTACAACTATATGCTACCCATGAAAGACATATTTCAGATTCAAAAGCAACGAATTTGAAAGTAACAGATTGAAAATATAGTATGCAAATAGTAACCATATGAGAGCTGGAATGGCTATATCATTATTGGACAAAATAGATTTTAAATATTAGAGAAAAAGCCATTTCATAATAAAAGGTCCAATGTATGAGGAAGATACAAGAGTTAAAATAGACATGCACATAACAAAAAGGCCCCAAGTATATTAATCTAAAACAGAATTGAAAGGAGTAGGCAATTCAACAATTAGAGATGGAGATTTCAATACCACATTTACAATATTTGAAAAAACAGATGAAAAGTCAGCCACAAAATAGAAGACTTGAATAACCTTACCAATCAATGTTACATAACTGATATTTATAGAACATACCAACCCAAAAGAGAAGATTATGTATTCTTTTCAAGAGCACTTAAAACATTTTCTAGTCTGGGCACAGTGGCTCATACCTGTAATCCCAGCACTTTGGGAGGCCGAGGTGGTTGGATCACCAGAGGTCAGAAGTTTGAGACCAGCCCGGCCAACATGATGAAACCTTGTTTGTACTAAAAATACAAAAATTAACCTGGTGTGGCAGCAGGCGCCTGTAATCCCAGCTACTCGGCAGGCTGAGGCGGGAAAATCACTCAAACCCGGGAGGTGGAGGTTGTAGTGAGCCGAGATGGTGCCACTGCACTCCAGCCTGGGCAATGGAGCAAGACTCCATCTAAAAAAAAATTCCAAAAAAGGGCCATATGCTAGCCTTTAATATATATTTCAGTAAAGTTTTAAAGATTAAAATTATTCAAAGTATGCTCCTTGTTTATAACAGAATTAAAAACAAAATAAATTTGATCAGCAAATGTTTTGAAATCAAACAAAATGACTTATAAATAACTTACGGGCTAAAGAATGCACAAGGAAAATTAGAAAATATTTGAACTGATGGAAAAGAAAATGTAACATATCAAAATTTACTGGACGTGACTAAAGCAGTGCTTAGAGGAAAATTTATAGGCTTACTTGCCCATATTAGAAAAAAGGAAAGGTCTCAATCATCTAAATATCTACCTTAAGAAACCAAAAAAACAGCAAACCAAACTTCTAACTTCTTTTACATTTTTGGAGAAGTTGACAACACAGAACCTGTATTCCTGCATGGAAACACTTGTCTGGAGTTGAGCAGAAGCTACCTCCTTTACAGGCATGAGTTTCATATGTCTAAAGCCCTTCCAGTTCCTGACTACCAATAACATGGCTCTTCTGAGTGCCTGAATTCAAGATCCCTGATGTGTATGCAATTCTGGGAGCTAGTCCCAGGATTATGCAGCTCAGCCTGTGTGGCTTAGCTTTTCTAAAGTAGGACAACTAAAAAATGATAATATAGCCTTGTGGTTTTATTTTTGGTTTTACCTATAAAAGTAAGTTACACTTACTATATATGAATTAGTAAGGTTTTCTCTAAGATAAATAAATACAAATGATTCATGATGAATCTAATTTTAAAAGAGAAAATTAGGTACAATGCCTCTGCATACAACTTGATAATAATTTCCCCTAAATCAATCTCTTAAGTTGTCTTAGTGAATGCCTCAGTAGGATGTTGTCAGAAACAGATCATGGCAGGAGAGGAGGCTCAGGGGGAGCATCTGGCTGGTTGAGACGGTGGCTAACAGGTGACACAAATCAGAAAGGCCAGTGGTGAAATCCAGATAAGAATGAAAGGAAGATTGTTAGTAACTAGCCCTACACCCAGCCTCCTGGCAAATTAGGAATAAGATAATTCTAAAAGAGGTCCTGGAGGTAGAAAATTGCCTAGTGGGTTTGGGGAATGTTGTCATTCAGGAAATATAATGAGGAGGGGGACAGCCCAGATAAAAAGTCTGACATGCCAGGACAGGGCATCGTCATTTATCTTACAGGCAAGGAAAGTCATTGAAGGACTTTCAGCATGGAAACAGACATGATTAAATATACAAAAGTCAGTGACTTTTGTGGCAGGGAGGTGGATGGATTGGAGGAATGGGCGACAGTGTACAGCCAGTTAGGAGACTATCCAGGTGAGAGATTTGCCTGAACCAAGACAGTGACAGTGGACATGGATTGGGAAGAAGGCTGACAAATGAGATATTTAGGAGGTAAAGTAGGCAGGCTTTGGAGACTGTTGAGGATAAGGTTGATGGAGGCGTTGTGAATTATTCACAGCTCTTGGGCTTGGGAGATAGTGTGGATGCTGGGGTAACCTGTTAACACAGGGAGTGGAGGGGGAAGGGAAAGTTAAATGTGGGAATAGGGGATGATAATGAGTACACAGTTTTGTTTTGTTTTGTTTTTGTTTTTTAGATATATCGAACTCAGGGTTCTCGGATCCCTTTCCAGTGTTCTTTCAGTTTCACCAGTTCAACCTTCCACTGCTTGCTGGCTACTGGCCTAGGCATGGAAGTAACTCTGTTCCCCTAATTTAGTATTATTATTGTCATTGGATCCCATTTGTATGCCAAATGGAACACACATCATTTCTACTTTGCCCTTGTGTCACTAGACAAAAGCAGCTGGTTGGGCAGATAGCTTCACAAGGGGTTCCTGCAGAAATCCTCATTGCACCCCATGTTCCCAGCCTCATTCTTGTGGATACACAGATGAAACCTGACAACAATAATACAAAACTACTATTTAGCGCCTACTATGTGCTAGGCATTATGCTAAAGGACTTAATCCTATGAGTAGGTACAATTCTCATGATCTGTTTTCAAGTGAGCAAATGGAGGCACAGAGACATCCAGCAACTGGCCAAGGTCATGCAGCAAAAGGGAGGAGCAGGAAACTGAACGCAGGGAATCTGGCTTCATAGCCTATGCATGCAACCTCATGCCAGGTGGGATGCTTAGGGCTGGCAAAAATACACTTGTTTCCTCCACGGTGTCCCAGCCCATCAGTGTGACTTCTCTAGCTCAGCCCCTGCCCTTCCCAGTGCCTTGTCCTTGGGACCTTTGGGAACCCATCATCATGCTTCCTCCTCTTAACCTCCTACTCTCCCTGAACCCTCCTCCAGCTGAAAACCCATGCTGGTGAGTCAAGCCTGATGTCTAATGAATTATGTTTCTCCAAATTGCAATATTAATAAGGGCTGTGTGTTCCTAGAGGATCATTAATTACAGACACATTTTTATTTCCCACTGAAATACAGCCTGTGTTTCTGCTCCGCATGGTTGAGGCACAATCTTGCCAAACCTGCCTGTGTGTTGCTTTTGACATCTGTTTCTAACTTTCCGGCACACAGTCCTTGCAGTTACCTGCTCTCTGCATCTTTCTTCCTCCTCGGTGTGCATCTCTTTCCCCCAATGCCGAGAATTCCTGCATGCAAGCCTGGATGGGGGTGGAGGTCCCCATTTCTCAACCATCTCCAATCAAAACCCATTGCCATTGCTGCTAGGGACAGTGCAGAGTAGCTGAGGGTGAAAGAACAAAGAAAATGATGCCTTGCTGATGTTCCACATCAAAGACCTTCCTGGATTCAGGATGGTTCCAAAAATTGGGATGCCTGGGTAAGGCAGGAGGCACTGGGCCCCTGCCTTGGCCCATGTAGGTTTCCTAAGCTGAATCTACTGATGGACTCCACTTCTAGGCCCAGGCTTTGAGCCAAGTAGGACTGAGGCAAAGAACCTGGCAGAGCTCCCTGCTCTTACTATCTGCTGAGGCTTGGAGGCAGCAATTCTATCACCATACTCACTCTTTGAGATGTCAGGGCTGAGCCACAGACACCTCCTGCTAGTACAGCCCATGAGTCAAAGCAGTTTCTACCCTCCCTGCGCTGTTGATCCCCAGAGACATGGGCTCCCCTGATTTTACACTTCTTAATCTACCTGGACACCTGCTTAGAACTTCTGTCCCCTGTACATCATTAGATAGGAATATTGATCCCCATCTAATACCATTCTACCCGTTAGAAGCACCTGGGGGAGAATTGGGAAAATTTACAAAACACTCATGTCTAGGTCACCCTACAGACCAATTCAGAATCTCTGTGAGACTCCGGCATGTTTAAGAACCATTCTAATCCTTGCCACTCAAAGCAGAATTCATGCAACAGCAACACGAAGCATTGCGTAGGAGCTTATTAGGAATGCAGAATCTCAGGCCCCACCCTAGGCTGCCTGAATCAGCATCATCTACATTTTAATAAGATCTCCAGGTGATTTGTATGCACTTTAAAGTCTGAAAGGCACTCTAGCTCAAAATGTTTTTCAAACTTTAGTGTGTAAAAGAATCACCTAGAGAGCTTGTTAAAAATAAAAATCCAATTCAGTAGCTGTGGGAGGGGGCTGGGAATCTGCTCTTTTAACAAGGTCCCTAGTTAGTTCTGATGCAGATGGTCCTGGGATTGTACCTTGAGAGGCACTGCATCTAGGATTTGGGCTGTAGCCTCCTGGGCTGTGGGCTCGCCAACCTTGATGAGGTTCTCCAACTCAGGAAGCAGCTTTGCTTGGACAGGAGGGGTCTCCTGGGTTAGGGAAGCCTGTCTGGCTGCCTTCTCCTGCAGCCGGGAAGATTAGACCCTCTCGCCTCTTGCCTAAGCTGGTGGAGCTCTTTGGTCCCCACTGAGGCAGGTCCTCGGTTCACTTGTCCTCAGCTTGCCAAGGTATGTAGATTTTAGGAGCTATATGTATTTTTAATTGAGATATAATTCATATAAAATTTATTATTTTAAAGTGGTTTTTAGCATGTTCACTATGTTTTGCAACCATCACCACTATCTAATAGCAAAACATTTCTATCACCCTCAAAACCAACCCTATCATCCTTAGCAGTGAGTCCCAAGATCCTCTGTGCCATCCCCTGCCAACTGCTAATCTACTTTCTGCCTCTTTGAATTTGGCAAGTCAGGACATTTCATATGAATGGACTCCTACAATGTGCGGCCTTTGTGGCTGTCTCCTTTCACTTGCCATGATGTTCCCAGGCTCATCCTTGCAGCAGCATACACCAAGGTCTGCATATTTGCTTTCTCCACTGACCACCTGAGGGTGTGTTTGGCCTTGAGTGGTCACAGGAAAGCCCCTTACTCATGTCTTCATCCTACCTTTACCTCTTTAGCCCCCATCCAACAAGCCTCCAAAGACGGCAGTATTGGCTACAGGCTGGGTCCCACCAGGGACTGGAACAAGAAGGGGTCTTCCAGGCCACATGGCCCAACCTTTTCATTTCTAAGATGAGGAAACTAGGGGCAAGAGGGGCTTTCATTTACTTCTGTGCCCCTCCAGAACACTCTGGGGCTCCCCAAGATGGGGAGTTAAGCTGTGGGAAAGGGGAGGAGGAGGTGGGAGATGAATGAGGAGAGCAACTGGGAACAAGAGGGGGTTCCCAACAAGTGCGAGTCTGGAACTCCATTTCCCTAAGGAGAGAAAAATGAAACCCAAAGCTGAGATTTATATCTGCGATTTTCGAGTTTTCAGAAGACAGTGCAGAAAAGACACATTTATTGAGAGATGATAAATTCCCTCTTTGCAGATTTATTAGAACTTGTATAGAGCTGGATCATAGATTTTTTTTGGGCAAAAGCCCTTAAACTTTTATGCCCCATCATAATGCTAAATGAAGTCCAGTAAGAAGTTTAAATAATTCTTGATTAAATGATCCTCCCCTGCTGCACGTTCCAAGTTCCTGCCCCTCTAAGGCTGGGCCTGGCCAGTAAGAGGAGACATCTGCAGGCCCCCAGGGAGGTACAAAATCAGGGAACAAAATCTCTAGCATGGGAAAGAGTTGCTTCTAAGCTAGAATCCAGGGTTTAAGCTCAAAAAAGGGTGTAGAGTGGGTATAGTCTAGTGAGTAAATAATTGGATTAAACTGATTTTTAAAACAATGTCTACCATGCAGTAGGTCTTTTAAGATCTGGTGTCCCATTTAATGCACTGTGAAATAGAATATTTGTACAAATTCTTCCTTATCTTCTCCCTCTCTCCCTTTGTTTATTCTGTTCCAGCCCTACTGGCCTTTTTGCTAATCCTCAAGCATACCGTGCTCTTTGCTGCCTCAGGGCCTTTGCATCTCACCCTCTTGGCAAGGCTCTTCTTCCAGAAATGTTTATGGCTTGCTCCTTTACTTCTTTTAGTTTTTCTGTTTAAATGTCACTTGTCTGGCTGTCAAAAATAGCCCTCTCTATTACTCTTTTTCTCCTTATTATGCTTTACAACTCATTAATAACTCAAAGAATTCAATGAATATAATGAACAAAAGAATTAAAAATACTTCACAAAACAAGATATATGGAGGGAAAGCAAGCACATGGAAAGATGTTCAACATCATTAGTTAATAAAATGCCAATTCAAAACATGTGAGATGTCACTACACTTCCACTAGACTGGCTTAAATTAGACTGATTATACCAGGGGTTGGTGAAGAAGTGGATTAACCAGAGCTCGCACACACTGCTACTGGAAGTTGATAACCACTTTAAGAAATGGGTTAAATAGCTAATGAGACGTCTACTATTTGGCTCAGTCATTCCACTCCTTAGTTTATACCCAAGAGGAAAAAAAGCTTACCTCGTTTCACAGACTTGCAAGCAGATGCATAGCAACTTTGTTACAGCCCCAAATTCGAAAAGACCCAAATAGTCACCAACAGGTGAACTGATAAATTGTTATGTACATACAATGTAATATTACCAAGCAATAAAAGGAAATATCAAGACACAAAACAACAGGATGACTGTCAAAAATTATACTGAGTTAAGCCGATGGAAAAGAGAATATACTATAAGTTTCTATTTATATAAAATTCTAGAAAATGCAACTAATCGGTAGTGCTGAAAACAGATTACTGATTGCCTGTAGTTGGGAGTGGGGTCAGGGTAGGTGGGAGGAAGTGATTATGAAGGAAGATGAGTAGTCTTTTGAAAGTGATGAATATATTCATTATCTTCAGCGTGGTGGTGGTGATAGTTTTACAGGCATAAAAAAGTGATATAAATTTTAGACTATTTATAAGATGGAGTCTTGCTCTGTCACCCAGGCCGGAGTGCAGTGGCATGATCTCAGCTCACTGCAACCTCTGCCTCCCAGGTTCAAGCGATTCTCCTGCCTCAGCCTCCTAAGTAGCTGGGATTATAGGCATGTGCCACCATGCCGGCCTAATTTTTGTATTTTTAGTGGAGATGGGTTTTCGCCACGTTGGCCAGGCTAGTCATGAACTCCTGGCCTCAAGTGATCCACCCACCTTGGCCTCCCAAAGTGCTAGGATTACAGGTGTGAGCCACTGTGCCCAGCCAGTTTCAGACTTCAAACATGGGCTATTTATGATGTGGAAATTACACCTCAGGAAATCTTTGAAGTAATAACTTTCCACTCCTGGCTCAATAACTGAATCTGTAGGGCATAGAGTAGGAGGTCCTGGCACGGGGAAGCAGAGCTTGTCTCTGGAATGATAGCATCCTGTGGGCAATGCCTACTCTGAAAGACTTCTTGAAGTCAAAGCCATCGTGGCTATGAGAGGAGGTTAAAGATGGCTTATTCTCTGGTTTATTCTCCTTCAACAATCAAACCTGGGCTACCCTCTGCCCTTTAGGCCAGAAATCTCTTGTTGATTTCTAGCTCTTTTCTCCATTCACCCCGGAAATCCTGATCTCATGGCTGGGATATGATGGGCCTGACATGTGCCTCCACCTCCACTCAGCTCATTGCGTTGAAGTCTCTATTATTGTGGATATATCAGTTTCTTCATGCAGTTCTATCAGTTTCTGCTTCGTGTATTTTGAAGCTTTGTTTTTAGTTGCACAAACTATAATAAGAGTCTCTTCATGAGTTGACTCTTATCAATGTAAACTGACACCCTGTATGCCTGGCAATATTATTTGCTTTGAAATCTACTTTGTCTGGTATTGATAAAGCCATTCCACTTCAGCTTTCTTTTGATAAATACTAACATCTTGGATTCTCCCCTTAAGCTTTCAAATTTAAACTATTGGTGTTTTTATATTTGAAATGAATCTTTTTGTAGGTAGAAGGATATAGTTGGTCTTGCTTGTTAATTTGGGAATCCACCTTTTAATTGGGATAAATTTTATCAATTACATTTAATATAATATTGATATGGTTGAGTTTAAATCTATTTTGAAACTTATTTTCTATTCATCCCATCTTTTCTTCCTTTGTTTTTCTGCCTTCTTTTAAATTAATTTTTATTATTCCATTTTATCTACTTTGTTGGCAGCTTAGTTTTGTTGGCAGCTTAGTTATACTCTCCCTTTTCTAATGGTTAAATTACTGTTGTAGTTTTCTTTTTTTTCTTACATTTTAAAATCTAATTTCAAGTAATATTGCTCCATTTCACATATAGTATATGGACTGTGTAGCAGTACATTCCAATTTTTCCCCTCTTGGCCTCTGTACAAATTATTGTCCTATATTTGCATTTATATTTAAAACCCGTAATATAATGTTACTATGTTTGCTTTAAGCAGTCAGTTGCTTTAAATATCTATAGAATAAAGATGAAAGTATTTTATATTTACCCACATAACCTATTTTTGATGCCCATCTTGGGTTTATGTAGATTCTAATGATATCACTAAAACAACAAATATTATCTCACACACCTTCTGTGGATTTTATACGTTAGTTTCAAGTGGGAGCCACTTAGCTGGGTAGTTCTGACTCAGGGTTCTCATGAGGTTGTAGACAAGTTGTTGGCCAAGGCTATGATCCTCTGAAGGTGCTGAAAAATCTACTTACAAGCCCACTCCTGTGGTTGTTGTCAGAAGGCCTCAGTTCTTCACCATGTGGGCCTTCATAGGGCTTCTCATGTGTCATGGCATCTAACTTCTGCCAAAGTGAGTGATCAGAGAGAGAGAGAGAGAGAGATTGACATCCTCCAAGATGAAAGCCACACTCTTCCAGTATTTTTAGAACCTGGCATCCTCATATACCATGGCTTGCACCCATGATATTAGTCACCCAGGCTAGTCTTGGAACAATGAGGGGAGGAGATGACACATGGTGTGAATACTGGACTGGAGATCATTGGGAGTCATCTTGAAGTTTCAAGGCTGCCCACCACACCTTGATCTCCCCCGGATTCCCAGCATGTCTTTTCAACTTAGGAAACAGTTGGGCTCCTTCTGGATCCCTCTTCCCTGCTTCTGTCTCATCACTCACCCTGGAGGCTTTCCCCAGGTTATAAGGTAGAACACTGATAGGGCTCATCCTGTTTGCTTCCTGTCTCTCAGGCATCATCCTGTTTGCTTCCTGTCTCTCAGGGATCATTGTCCGGTGCTACCAGGTGTCCTGTGTCGGAGAACCATAGTTTTATATGTTTTGTCTGTTTTTGTTTGTTGCAGGAAGGAAAGTAAATTTGATCCTTTTTATGCCATCTTGGCTGGAAGTAAAAGTCTTCACGTATTTTGGTATAAAATCCAGCTGTTGACTAAGGCTTTAATCTGATAACACTTTTTTTTTTTTTTTTTTTTTTTTTGTCAGGGACAGTGAAATGGATGGAGGGGGAATGTGAAGGCTCTGTAATTTGGCACCTGAGGTGGATAATGGTTGTTTGAAGCTGTGGGATGGACGGGTCTGGGTGAGGAGCACAGTGAGGAATCAGACTATGGAACAAACATCTTCCTAATTTTATCAAGGGCTCATCTTAGTGATTTTCGTCTCCATCCCATTTGATAATACCTCTTCCCCCATGATAACCCTTTGGTAAGTTTCCATTTCAGTTTTCACAAATTTGATGTATAATCTTGTGGTTTCTCATTTTGCATAGAGATAATGCAAGAATTAGGGTGAGAAGACTTAGGCTCACGTGAGCCTTGCACTGAGGTGGGGGGTGGGCAAAAGGGAGTGTGGGGCAGGCCTGGAATGGGGGCACCTGAGCTCTGTCAGGGGAGGATGACAGGAGCCCCTCCAAACGGGTAGGAAACTGTGATGACTGTCTTTGGCACCTAGCTGCCTTCATTGACCCCAGCATCATCTGATAATTTGTTAATTCATTTCTAATTTTGATTGAATATCTACTATGTGGTAGACCCTTGGAGTACAGCAGTGAGCAAAACATGCACATTCCATGGTCCCTTGGAGTTCGTTATATTCTAGCAGGGAAGAGACAGTCAAGCACTCATCAACCCTTGTCTATTTCATTGTAATTTTGGTGATTGCCAAGGAGAGTCCTGGGTGCTAGGCAGGCATGTGTCAGGGGGACAAGATGGGAGGAAAGAAGTCTGCAAAGAGATCAGGTGCCCAGCTTGTTGCAAGGCTATCCTCCAGATCCCAGCCCTCCATCTCTCCCTCTCCCTGGTGGTCTCAGGCCTTCCTGGAGGGTCTTTTACAGTGGAGCTATTAGCATAAGTCAACACTATGCTGGCTCCTGGGAGCTCAGGTGCTGCCTAGGTGGGTTCAGCTGCTCTGTGGAGTCAGTTTTCTTGGCAGAGTCAATATGTACAGGATTAAAACATACACAGATTTTGTTTTACAGTCTCCTGGGAGCCTCAGAGACCTGTGGTTTTCTGTGCAAATATAAAGTCAGTTGATTCTTTCTGAACCCTGATTTTATCAAGAGAACTTAGATTTCTTCCCCTATATTTACACAGCCATGCCTGCGGAAACCATGCAGGCCAGATGGGCTGAAAACATTCTGTTGGAGTTGTGTGTGTGTGTGTGTGTGGTTGTGTGTGGAGGCATGCATGTGTCTTTGTGTGTCTGCATGAGTGCTTATGTATTTGTCTCTGTCATTTCTATGTGTCTACGTGCATGTCTGTGTATGCATGTCTACATGTGTGTATGTCTGTTTATGTGTCTGTACTGTGTGTGTCCGTATAAATGTATGTTGTGTATCTGTGCCTGTTTGTATATTTATGTATATGTGTGTCTGTGAGTTTCCATATGTGTGTATCTGTATCTATATATGTCTGTGTCTGTATGTGTCTGTGTAACTGTGCATATGTCTGTGTGTATATGCATGTGCGTGTCTCTGTGTATGAGTGTCTAATTCCATGTCTGTGTGTGTGTGTGCGCACACGCAGTCTGTGTCTATGTGTGTGCCTGGGTGCATGTATGTAGAGTGCTTGCTTTGATGTCATTTGTGCAGTTGTTCAGATGAGGTGATGGCCCATTTTCAGTCCTCACTGGATCCCTGATCCACATCCATCCCTGACAATGTGTGTCCCGTGTGTCTCTCATTTTAATGTTGTATCTCCTTCCTGATATCTGTTCCCAGCCATGGGCTTTTTTCCAGTCAGCTCTATCCCACTCAGCATGTTCACTCCCTGCTAACCTATTAGTTTGGTGCTTCTAAAGTGTGTGAGTTCATGTGTGTGAAGGTCACATTTAGCACATTTTGTATATTAACTCACATAAACCACAGGGCCATTCTTTAGGTGAGTATAAGGATGATGATCATTTTCAAATGAGGGAAGAGAGGCTAAGAGAGGCTCAGTAAGTTACCCAACGTCAATCAGCTAGAAAGTGGTGGGCTTCAACTTTGCAGCAAGTGGTCTGGCTCCAGAGACCAAAATGGCCAGATGTGACATTGTACAAAGGAAGAGGTGGCTTCCGGAGAAGAAAGCCATCAGATCCAAGGAAAGAAGAGCAGAAGAAAATGAAAGCAGTACTTCCGGCCTGAAAATACGTCTTCAGGCAGAGGTGGGGGTTTTTACTTGGGGTGAGGACATGAATGGAGAGGCCCTGGGGAGGGTGGGCGGCTGGACAGGTTGGCCTCCACATTGTGGCTTTGCCCCTGGCTGGCAGTGTGCCCCGGGCCAAGTCGTCTGACCTCTCCACTGCTAGGACCTACCTTCCAGGAGCATGGGCTTGGTCCTGGGGATTACAGTGGGTATATTCAGCGTAGTCTGATTAAGAGGCACATCTCTCGCCCTGTTCTTGGTAGTTTGCAATTTTTTCCTGGTATCTGTGTCTTTCATTGTGCCTCACCTAAAGAAACACCATTCTGCTCAAACGCCGGAAAACCTTTCATTTAAGCAGTGAGAAATTGAGGTGGTGTAATCAATGGGTTTCAGTGAATTTGTGGAGGGCTTTAGTAGGAAATGCAGAGTCCTGGGCCCCACCCCAGATGTACTGAATCACATAGGTGAGGCAGTACCTGTGAATCTGCATTTGAGGACCACCATTCCTACTTCAAAGGGTTAGATTGTTTAACCTTGGGTTACATGTTTGACCTTATGAAGGGGATGAGGAAAAGGATGCCTTTTCCCCCAGGGATTCTCTGCAGAGCTACAGGTACCCTCGGTTAACTCTGGAAGCTGTGTCCTATTTCAAGGGGATAGTGGAAGAAGGGGCAGGGTTGACTGTATCATGTTCTGACTTGGGGGCCATTCTGGGGGGCCAGAACACCCTGGCTCTGGCTGACCTTCACTCTTCAAATGGCTTAAGATGCAGTGGCAGGAGAATTCATCTCCCCCTTAGGCCTTGTGGCTGTCTGCAGTCTCAGCCCACAGATCTCCCCACCTAGAGAACAGCTAGGACACAGAGGTGACCTGCAGCCTCCACCCCTCCTACCAGGCCCTGTAACTCCCCCAGCAACCACAACTGCAAGAACAAGTTGTCTTCATTCCCAAAGCTGTAGCTGGTCCCCTAGAGCGCCCTGCGTTCTGAGAGCTGGAAGGCTTTTCAGTATTTGAAATGATTTTTTTCTATGTTAGGGTGGAACCAGCCCACTCCGCAAGCAAAATCTATAGCGCTGAGAAGCGGCAGAAAATTGGCAAGGCTTAATAAACCTCATGCCTGACGCACTCCTGTGGCTATATATCAAAGGGAAAACAAATATATTGACTAATTCCTCTTGGAAGAACATCCATAAATTACAGCTGTTTGAAACCAGCCTGTTGTGAAAAAAGGTTACGGATGATGTAATTTGCACCATTGTAGGTATAACTGCACCACACCCAGGTTTAACTTTTGCTGCCGCCTCTTAGCTCTGAGTGTGGGAAGGACCCAGCATCCTGGGGAATGTGTGGTTTCGGGGAGGAAGGAGAAAAATACCTTACATTTGATTTCTCAGAGTTCCCTCCTACCAGCAGCTTTGTATGACCCTCCTAACAGCCCCCTGGCGAAGGTCTTGGCTTCTCAGAGGCAGGATGAAGACACTGTCTGTGGGCTGGGGAAAACAGAACAGACTCAAGTTTAATGACCATGGCCCTGAGCTCTGGACAGAGGGCCTTCGACAGGTCTGGGTGCAGATCTGGGCAGGGCAGCCCCCGCTGCCACATGCCCACAGGAGAGATTGCATGGCCCAGACCCTGTTCTCGCTCATAGGCCCACCCAGGAGTTACTCTGATGGGTCCTGTATCTCCAGACCCCTTTGTCTCCTATGCTCATCTTGGGCATTAGGAACAGGAGCGCTCTCTCTACTTGTCCTGGAGAAGGGCTATCCTTTTTTTGTTTTTGTTTTTGAGATGGAGTCTTCCTTTGTTGTCCAGGCTGGAGTGCAGTGGCATGATCTCAGCTCACTGCAACCTCTGCCTCCCAGGTTCCAGTGGTTCTCCTGCCTCAGCCTCCTGGGTAGCTGGGATTACAGGCACACGCCACCATGCCTGGCTAATTTTTGTATTTTTAGTAGACATGGGGTTTCACCATGTTGGCAAGGCTGGTCTCTAACTCCTGACCTCAAGTGATCCACGTGCCTCAGCCTCCCAAAGTGCTGGGATTACAGGTGTGAGCCACTGTGCCCGGCCAAGAAGGGCTATCCTCCTGCCTGCAAATGAACACTGTGAGAGCAATGTCCTAGCAATGCTCTACATAGGTCAAAGCATACCAGCCCCCAGCTTCTGTGGTTACATTAGACCTCATCTATTATTCCCATCTAAGAGATGAGAAAACTGAGACCAGTAGGCTTAGTGCTGAACATACAGGGGGCGATACAAGTGTGCCTAGTTCTCCCACTTCCCATCTCCTTGGCCTACATCCCTGCCAATAGCTCATTGGTTTCTAAGCTTAGCTCCTAGGGTGCTGGAAATGCAGATTCCAGGCTTCAACCCCAGGGAATCTACGACTGCGAAGTTGTATTTTTTTAAACAATACGCAGGTAGTCACGATGTACCTAGATTAAAAACTCTTGGACTTGGCCCAAGGGTCTTTTGGTGAATGCCAGATTCCTTGAGTCTTCCCCTGGCTTCTCTTGTTAACCAAGGGTACACGTCAGTGGTTGTCTTGCCCCCAACCCACTGCTTGTCCAGATGGTTCCAAATGAACCCCTTTTTCCAGAGCTCTTAGTGCTGACACAGGGGCAGAAGAACTCCGGGGCTTTTCCAACAGTCAGGCTTTTTGAGAGGGGGAGGAGGCAATTAGGAGGGTCTTAAGGGAGAACATAGGCTAGGCCTGCATCAGAAAACTGGGGCTTGAATCAGACTTCATTATATACCTGATTTTCTTATTGGACAAGTACAACTGTGAGCCATTTCCGGGTGTCACATCCTCACTGTATCAAGAAGGGCTTTCACCACCCACACCAAGGTAGCCCACAGAGACCCTTCCAGCCACAAAGGTTGCTGCCCTGGACCCCACTGTTTACTGGCTTCTTCGCAGCAGGTGTGCGAAGTAGAGGCAGCTCTCCTGACGCAGGTGGACAACCCCATGCGTCTGATTGCAGTAATTGCTGGCTTGATGTTTTGTATTTGTCTACATCTACCCCGTCAGTGGCAGTCGCCCACTCGGCTTCGTTTCTCTGAGAAAGGCTCTCACTGTCCTCTCCCATACGCACATGTTCCTACAAACACAAATACACATGGCCATGGGCCCAGCTGGCCCACTCCCGGCTGGCCTCTATTCACAAGGCAAAAATAGCCACAGACATGCTCACAAATGAGTCTGTACTGCCAGTTGCTCTCCTCCTTTGTGACATCCCTGAGAAGCACCCACCCACTCCTTGTTTCCTTAGAAGGTGCAGCTGAGAGCTGTGTGGGGGTGGGAGAATCTGCGAGTGGGCTCCTGCTTCCTTTTCCCTCCGTCTTGTTCTAGAATGTTTGCTTCCTGGAACCTTCAGGGCAGATGGGAGGAGGGCCAGGAATAGGGCTTCTCTAGAGCTGTGGATTGAGAAGGAAGACCCGAGTTTCTTGGTGGGTGCGTGTAAATTGGACCTATTTGCAAGATGGATTCAGGGTCTAAAGGTGATACAGACCGTGGGATTATGCCTTGCACTTGGACTCCAAAGCTTAGCATCTGGTCCTAGCCACATCCCAGACAGGCTAAGAGAGTTTAGGAATGCCCTCCTCCCCATTCACCATTGGTTTGTCGTTGCTTAGTTTTAATTCAATTAAAAAATTGTCATACAGTAAAATTGAGCATATATATGGTAAAATTCATTGAACTGTACACCTATACACATCTGTATATAGACATACATGTATATATCGCACATATATACACGTGTGTGTACACACATATATGCATGCATATATCATACATATATACATGTATGTATATATCACAGACCTGTGTATGTATACATGGACACATATACATGCATATATATACACACATAATGCACACATATATATGTATGTGTATATATACAATACATATATATGTATATGTGTGTGTGTGTATATATATACATACATTGGTGTAGCCATCATCACAGTCAGGATACAGGGCACTTCCGTCACTTCCAAAACATCCTTGGGTATCCCTTGATTGTCACACCCTCCTTTATCCCTGATTCATCCTCCATCACTACGGTTTTGGTTTTTTGATAATGTCATATGAATGGAATCATACACTGTGTAACCTTTTGAGACTAGTTTCTCTCATTCAGCATAAGGCCTTTGGGAGTCATCCCAGTTATTCCATATATCAACCAATAGTTTGTTCTGGTTTACTGCTGAGTACTGCTCCATCATGTAGAGGTACCATAGTTTCTTTATTCATTCATCCTTTAAAGGATGTTTGGATTGGTTCCAGTCATTGATGATTATGAATAGAGCTTTTGCAAACATTCATGTGCAGGTTTTTGTATAAACCTCAATGTTCAATGCCCTAGGGTAAACCTCCAGGACTGGGTCATATGGAGATACACGTTTAACTTTATAAGCAACTGCTAAACTACTTCTAGAGAGGCTGTGCTCTTTTCCATTCCCACCAGTAATGTATGAGAGTTCCAGTGGCTCTGGATTCTTGGTAGCATTTGGTATCATCCATATTTTTTATTTTAAACATTGTAATAAGTGTGTAGTGGGATATCACTGTGCCTTTAATTTGTATTTCTCAAATGCCTAATGATGTTGAACAGTTTTTTCATGTACTTGTCATCTATTTGGTACAGTATGCGTTAAGTCTTTTGCCCATTTTAAAATGGGGATTTCTGTTTTCTTACAATTGAGTTTTAAGGGTTCTTTATTTTGGGTCATGTACTTTGGTGGATACATGAGCCACAAATATTTTCTCCCAGGCTGTAGCTTGTCTTTTCATTCTTTCAGCAGCGTCTTTTTAAGAGCTTTAATTTTAATATTGTATAATTTACAATTTTTCTGGGATCACGCTTCTTGGTGCATGTCTATGAACACTTTGGCAACTCCCAGGGTGCAAAGATTTTCCAGGATGTTTTCTTTTAAAACGCTTATAATCTTTTTATATGTAGATTTATGATCTACTTTAATTTTTGTTTATGGTACAAAGTTTAGTTTGAGGTTTATTATTTTTTTGCAGAAGGCTATCTAATTTTTCCAACAGCATTTCTCAAAAAGATTGTTCTTTCTCCCTTGAATAGTGTTTGCACCTTTTAAAAAATCAATTGTCCATATTTCTGTGGGTCTATTTCTGGGGTTTCTATTTTGTCCCATTAATCTGTGTTTCTATCTCATTATAAATACCACTTGGTCTTGATTTTTGTGACTATATAGTAAGTAATAAAATTGAATAGCTTGAGTCCTTTAACTTTATTCTTCTCTTTCAAAATTATTTTAGCTATTCTACTTCCTTTGATTTTTCCATATAAATTTTAGAATAAGCCTGTCTGTTCTACAAAATATGTACAAAAAGTCTCCCCGGGATTTTAATAGAATTGCATTAAACTGATAGATTAATTTGGTTAGAATCTGCATCTTTACCATGCTGAGTCTTCTAAGCCATGAACTAAGTGTGTCTATTCATTTATTTAGTTCTCCTTTGATTTCTTTCATCAGCATTTTGTGGGTTTTAGCATAGAGATTCTTTGCATTAGATTCATACTAAAGTATTTGATTTTTGGAACTACTCTAAATGATTTTGCTTTGTTTTCAAGTAATATGTTGTTAGTATATAGAAATACAATAGATTTTTGTGTATTGACTTTGTATTCTGTAACCTTGCTAAACTCTACTATTAGTTTAAGGAGTCATCATAATTACTGTCCTCACCCTTCTCCTCCTCCTCTTTTTCTTCTTCGATACCTTGGGATTTTCTACACAGACAATCATGTTGTCTGCAAATAGAGACTTTTTTATTTCTTCTTTTCTAATCTTTGTCTTCAATTTACTTTTTTTTACCTTATTGCACTTGCTTGGACTTCTAGTACAATTTTGAATAGGAGTAATGAGATGGGAATTATTGACTTGTTCCTGATCTTAGGAGAAGCATTTTTTTACATTAAACATTGTTAGCTGTAGGGTTTTTAACAGATACCCTTTATCAGGTTGAGAAATTTCATTTGTATTCCTAGTTTGTTGAGAGTTTTTATCATGAAAGAACGTTAAATTTTTCAAATGCTTTTTCTACACCAATTAATATGATCTTTTTTTTTTTAGATGGTACTAGCCTTGCATTCCTAGATAGACCTCACTTGGTCACAGCACATTATTTTTTAAATTATATTGATGCATTTGATTTACTACTATTTTGTTGATAATTTTTGTGTCACAAAAGAACATTTTGTGATTAAAGTTCTTAAAAAATATAAATCTGTAACTTTTTAAATTTTGTCTACTATTGGTGTCAAGATAATGGTGACTTCATAAAACTCAAAGAGTTGAGAAGTGTTTCCTCCTTATGATTCCTCCTTATGATTGTGTAGAATCCTTAAATGTTTGATGGAATTTGCCTGTGAAACCATCCAGGCTTGGAGTTTTCTATTTCAGAAGGTTTTAACATTATGTATTTCTTTAATAGTTATTGGACTATTCAGATTATGTACCTTATTTTTGCTGAACTTTGGCAGATAATAGTTTTTGAGAAATTAGACAATTTCATTCAAGTTGTCGAACTGATGTGCATAGAATTGTGCATGGAATTTATTTACTATCTTTTTAATGTCTGTGGAGTCTTTAGTGATATTCTCTTCTTTATTCCTAATGTTAGCAATATGTGACTTTTTTGTTTCCTTTTTTTCAGCCTTGCTAGAGGTTGATCATGAAACTTTTTGGTTTCATTGATTTTTCTCTGTAGTTTTGTTTTCAATGTCATTGATTTCAGAGCTTATTTTCACTACTACTTTCCTCCTCCCTACTTTAGGAATGTTTGGCTTTTCTTTTTCTTAAAGTAGAAGTTTAGATTATTGATATGACACCTTTCTTCTTTTCTGACAGAAGCATTTAATGCTATAATTTTCTCTCTAAGCAATTGCTTTATGTACATCCCACACACTTTGATAGATTATGTTTTTATATATTTCAGTTCAATTCAAACTAATATTTTTTGAGAATTCTGTGACCTAAGGATTACTTAGAAGTATATTGTTAAATTTTCAAGTAACTAGTAATTTTCTTAGAATCTTTCTGTTATTTATTTTAATTTAATTTCATAATTGCAGAATTAACTTTTTTGATTTCAACTATTTTAATTTGTTAAGGTTTGTTTTATGATCCAGGATCTGGTCTATCCTGATGAATTTTCCATTTACATTTGAAAAGAATGTCTATTCTGCTGTTTTTGGGTTAAATGTTCTGTGAATATCAATTAAATTCCATTTGTTGGTGACCTGTTCAGTTTTTCTATATCCTTGCTGACTTTATATCTAGTTTTTCTGTTTATTACTGAGAGAGGAGTATTGAAATCTGTAATTGTGAATTTGTCTATTTTTCCTTTTAATTCTGTCAGTTTTTGTTTATACATTGTGAAGCTCTGTTGTTAAGTGTATGCATATTTAGGATTACTATGCCATCTTGGTGAATTGATTCTCTTATCATTATGTAATATCCTTTAGCTTTTATAATTTTCTTTGCTCTGAGGTCTGCGTTGAAGTTAAAATAGCCATTCCAGCTTTGTTTCTTTTTTGAGACAGAGTCTCGCTCTGTTGCCCAGGCTGGAGTGCAGTGGCATGATCTCAGCTCACTGCAACCTCCGCCTCCCAGGTTCAAGCAATTCTCCTGCCTCAACCTCCTGAGTAGCTGTGATTACAGGTGTCCACTACCACACCTGGCTAATTTTTGTATTTTTAGTAGAGGCACGGTTTTACCATGTTGGCTAGGCTGGTCTTGAACCCCTGACCTCAAATGATTCACCCACCTCAGCCTCTGAAATTTCTGGGATTACAGGCGTGAGCCATCACACCCGGCCTCTGGCTTCCTTTTTTATTAGTATTTCTTTGTGTATCATTTCCTATTGTTTTACTTTGATTTTCCCATATTGTTTTATTTCAGATGAGTTTCTTGTAGACAGCGCACAGCTGATACATAGCTTAAGTCAATTCTGACAATTTCTGTCTTTTAATATATAGGTTTAGACCATTTACCCTTAATATAATTATTGTTATCTTTAGATTTAAGTCTGTAATTGTACTAATTTTTGTTGCTCTATTTTTCCTTTCTCTGTTTCCAACTTCTTATCTTCTTTTGGGTTATTTGGTTTATTCATATCATGTCACACTTATTTTTTAATATTTCAGTACTTGCTTTTCTTTAAATTTCTATTTTGTAATGTCCTTGAGGTCAGCAATTGTATCTTATTCTTCTTCATGTTTGTTCTTTATTTTCTGTCATTGTGGGGCCAAGGTAGTACTTCTTATGCAATGGCTGTGCCCTAGCTTTCCATTAAATAAATCAATGAACATTGAGTGATTTGAATTTATGTTTGATGTTTGATATTTCATGCTCAGGGAGTTTTTCTTCTTCCAGAGGGGTTATAATAATTTCCTTTCCCCTGACACATACGGCTTAGCTTTAAAATCTACTGGATTGAAATTTTACATTTGTATTTAGCCATGTCTGTGGATATATAAACAAGAAGACGACGATGTTTGTGTTAGCCTTAAAATAAAGTGTCTTAATGAAAAACCTTAGAACTTAGTTTTCCCTCTGTGTGTTAAAGATAATATCAACTCATGAAGGATTTTGGTAATGGCATACGAAAAGCGTCCCAGGTCTGTCAGATTTGACAATAGCTTGCCTGAATATATTAACATGTTGAAAGAAAGGTGTTAGTTAAAAAGGGCTGGTGAAAAGTGGAATCATAGGAAGAGAAGACTCATGGGACAACACGGTCAGTGCCCATCTGAGTTTTGTCCAGGAGAGGCATGAACTTTGAATCTCAGGGTCCCATTGGCTGGATCACCTATCTCCAGGTAGTAGATAGATGCATGAGGCCACCTTAATCTGATTCCATTAAAAATTCAATTATTTCACCTCTCTTTGTTCTGGTTTCATAATTACCAGGCAAATTTCCTTATAAGCAATTTTCTTTTAATTATGAAAGCAAGAACTAGCGGGTAACAATGGGAAATTAAACACATGCATCTCATTTTGCTTCCTTATGAAACTCTACTAAATTCACAGTAAAGGGATTTTTCAGAAAGGCATAAAGAAGAACAAGAATGAGTGAGGAGAAAATAGAAACAAAAATTTGAAGGTGGAAAGCATGTAGATTAATACTCTATTACCAAGCACAGGGAACCAGAATACTACGGAGGCAGTGAGAAAATGGAAAGCAGCTAGCTTTATGATTTTAAAGCCTCAAATGATTTAAGAATTGGCTGCAGCAGGCATGCCCTGTGACAAGGGGTGGAGAGAAAACCTACTATTAGGAGGACTGGTTTCAAGTCTGTGAGTATTTAGATTCCAAATCTCCTTTCCCACTCTGTCCAGCTTTGTGAATCCCTCACCTCTGCTGAACACCAGAGGTTTATTCGTAGAAGGATAAAGCAGATGATCATGGTATTTGGAACTATCCAAGCACAGCTGATGGTATGGGCACTGCTGAAAATAGAGGCATCAGGCAAGATCCCTACCCTTAGCCTGCTTTTCTACTTGGTTTCCAGTAGTAGACTGTCAGCTGAATTTTTATCTTTTTTTTTTTTGAGTCAGAGTTTTGCTCTGTCATCCAGGCTGGAGTTCAATGGTGTTCAACCCACTGCAGCCTCCACCTCCCAGGTTCAAGTGATTCTCATGCCTCAACCTCCCCAGTAGTTGGGATTGCAGGCATGTGCCATCACATCCAGCTAATTTTTTTTTAAGTAGAGAAGGGGTTTCATCATATTGGCCAGGCTGGTCTCGAACTCCTGGCCTCAAGTGATCTGCCTGTCTTAGCCTCCCAAAGTGCTGGGATTACAGGTGTGAGCCACCTCGCCACCCTATTTTTATCTTTCAAGCAAGAGGTTAGAAAAACCTTCTCTAGAGATTGCACCAGTTCAGGTACAATGTTACCACGCTGGGGGTTTTCCAATGTAACAGGCCAACCAGATTACTCCAGTGTGATAGTCCACAAGACTCATTCACATGCTCCGTGCTCTCAGACACCCAGTCTTAAAGATAAGGAGATGACAAGGAAAGTCAGAGATAGATCTGAGGAAAGCTTCCATCTAGAAAGATCAACACCAGAATAAAGAAATAGAAAAAGGCAACTTGATGGAACAGAGACTACAGAGAGAATACAAAAAATAAAATCATCTAAATATCTTTAGGGAAATAAGAGAATATAGTGCAATCCTGAAACAAGAACATGGTATTTTAAAAAGGAACATTCAGAGAACAAGACTTTTTTTTTTTTTTAGAAATTAAAAGTATGATGGTTGGGAGATAAAGTTAAGGTATTCTCAGAGAAAGTAGAGCCAAAAGTGAAGAGGATGGAAAGCAGGGGTGAAAATATTAAAAATGAGACAGCCTGTCCTGAAAGACTAGTATCTGAATCATAGTTCCATAATGAGTGAAGAGGGGAAACAGAAGAGAGGAAATCATCAAAAAATAAGAAAATTTTCTGTATTTGAAAGACATGCACTTGCAGATGAGAAGAGCCAGTGAAGATTCAAACAATGAGTGATAACAGACTCACATCATGGCACATCTTTTTAGGAAATTTTAGAACACTGGAACTGAAGGTTCATCCTACAAGTTTCCAGGGAGGAAAAAAAAATGTAGATTGCCTACACAGGATAAGCAAACAGAATGACTTCTGACTCCTCAACAGCAACACCAGAAATTAGGACTACTCAAATTTTTTATGCAAAATGATTTGTAACCTGGAATGCTGTATCAATCGCATTGATACAAATTTATCAATTATGTGTATGGAGAGAATAAAAACGTGAATGTTTCAAGAGATTTACCCCTAAGGCACCTTTTCTTAGGAAACTATTGGGAAGTTTGCTCTGCCAAACTGAGACAGTAAACTAACAGAGAGGAAGACATGAGTTATAGGAAACAGGAATTTCTACACTGAAGATAGACGAAAGAAATGCCAGGATGATAGTGAAGGGAGATACTAGGATGCATCAAAGGCAAGTAAGCCAGATTGGAGTAGCACACAGGGCTCTGAGAGAGACAGAGAGTTCTTTAAGAAAATGAAACTGCTGGAATGTTTGATGGGTCCAACTATACTGAGAGGAGATTTAGACATTGGGCAGACAGTTGGGGTTGAAATGTGATAAATACACAGAGATGAACAAATGAAAAAGGTAAAGCAAAACAAAAACAAAAATTGAGACAGAACAGAATAGTGCTGAGAAGGAAAAAGATTCACAGTGTACCCTGAGGCTTAGCCATGCACAGTGTCTGTATGGTGATAATAGTAATGTACACCAGGTGAAGATGAATATGCCAACCAATCACAGTACATCTCCACTGGGGGTACATCGGGGCTGGTTAGGAATATGTGTATGTGGTGAGCTTGTGGAGATGAGAGCAAACTCACGTCTTACCTTTTATACTGCAAGTCGAGAGACAGCCTAGAATTGGTAAAACTCAAGAAGTAGTTAGATATGCATGCAACTTAGAGGAGTGGAGGCAAATTAAAAGTAATGGCAAAAACCACAATTACTTTTTCACCAACCTAATACTAACTGAATGCTATAACTGTTGAAGGTGTTGGGTTCTGGTGATTAAGCAATGAGGGAGATGGAGAGGAGAGGGCAGGGGCTAATGCCTTCTAAAGCATGCATGAAATAAAAGCATGTGTGATAAAAACAAAACCTTAAAAATGGCAAGGAAATTTGAAAAAGTAAATTTTCTGTTCATGTCTAGCTTCTAATAGAAAGAAATAAATAATTAGATAAATAAAAATAAAACCATTCGTGGCCATTATAGAAAAGCTGGAAATGCTAGTAAGTATGTAGATGACACTACTATTTGCACTATTCATGGCCTTTTCACTCCCATCCACTGCTATGTGAATTGCAGTCCCCTACCTACTACAGGTGTGTGATCCCCTCTTTGACTGATCGTGCCAGGCTTGCTCTGTGAGGTTTTTGGCCAATGGAATGTGACTGGAAGTGACATTCAGCTGTCCAGCAGAGGCTTTAAAAACCTTTCCAATTTCTGTCATTGTTCTTTTTCCAGTGCTTTAGAATGGCCTGCCTCACGTGGGAGAGGTTCTTTTATTGAGTGTAGAAGGACCTGTGAGATAGAGCCACTGTTTTCCCATAGATGTGTATAACATGAGCAGGAAGTAAACCTAGAAAATAGCTGAGTAATGCAATATGTAAAAGTAAACAAAAGAAAACAAAGCAACACATCTGCTTCACTCGGAAATAATCACATTTAAACTTTTGATATTGTGTAGAATGCATTATTGTTGCCCATTCTTGGACCCCCAATAACTTGCAGTGTCTACCCCGACTGGCAAGTGCATCTCCTTACCCCTTGTCTTGGGCTTTGGCTCTGTGACTTACTTTGGCCTGGTGGAATGTGGGCAGAAGTGATGCATGCAGAGGCTAGAGATGTGCTCCTGCAGTTGGGCTTGCCCTCTTATGCTTCTGCCATGATAAAAGATGCCTGGATAGCATAGGCACTGGAGAGATGTGTGGACCAGGACCTCCCCTGCAGCCCTATTGCCTTGCTTCCCTCAGGAGAGACATCCTAATAACACACAAAAAACAAGTGCTTCTTATAGGCTTTGGGGTATTCTGTTAAACAGCATTTTGTGGTAACAGCTAATTGATACCTAACGCTGATACCTAGATTCCTGCCCTTTAAGACTTTTTCTATAGAAGCATGTCTGATTTCTCCATATAGGGATCATACTATCATACTATGCTGTTTTGTAATTTTTGACTTAACGTGTCACCTCTTCTTCATGTAACTATGCATTCTTCTTATTGTTCTTTCTTCTTTCTTCTTCCTTCTTCTTTTTTCTTCTTTTTAAATGGAGTCTCATGCTGTTGCCCTGGCTGGAAAGCAGTGGTGCGATCTCAGCTCACTGCAAGCTCCGACTCCCGGGTTCAAGTTATTCTCCTGCCTCAGCCTCCCAAGTAGCTGGAATTACAGGTGTCTGCTACCATGCCTGGCTAATTTTTGTATTTTTGGTAGAGGTGGGTTTCACCATATTAGCCAGGCTGGTCTAGAATGCCTGGCCTTAAGTGATCTGCCTGACTTGGCCTCCCAAAGTGCTGGGATTACAGGGGTAAGCCACCATGCCTGGCCTCTTTGTGTTCTTCTATAGCATATTCTTAAAAATAATTGTACTGTTTGCTGTTTAAATAATCATCTACTGGTCAACATTACACTTTTTCTGTGTTTTTTCATTTCACAAGTATTTATGTGATAAACATTGTCATACAAAATTTTTTTATAGATTCATGGTTATATTAAATTCCAAGGTATGTGATCAAGTAATAAGGCTTTTATAGTTATTGTCAAATTTATTAGAATTCTATATAAATGCCCATTTTCCATTTTACCAACACTGAATATTGTTATTTGTTAAATTGTGTATAAATTTGAAACATAAATTATATTGTATTTTAATTTGCATTTCTTTGATTCTAGAGATGTTGAACAATAATTTTTAAAAATAGCTTTATGAAGGTATAATTTACATACCATAAAATACATTTTAAATGTGCAATTCATTTATTTCATAATAAATTTATAATTATGCAACCATCACAAGGATCCAATTTTGAAATATTTCCATCACCCCAAAAGCATGCCTTCAACCCATTGGCTGTCCTTTTCTCTCAGCCGTGGTCAACCTTCTACCTTAATGACTTTTGGTCTCTTAAAAATTTATTGGCATTTCCTGTTGTGTGAATTGCCCACTTTGCCCTCTTGCCTATTGGAATATAGTTCTCGTCTTAGTGATTTATAAGAACCATTCAAAGACTCAGTTAAAAGTATGAAAGTTTTAAGTCAGCGTACATAGCCCTGCTTAACTGTCCGGTCCTTCCTCCTGTAATTTTTCCACTTCAACCTTGTGCTCCACTGTCCTTCTGGCTGCTGTTGCCACCACATGCCACAGCGGTCTTCTCTTGGCTTGGGTCTTTACTCCCCACCCTTGTCCTCACTCCTACTCATCTTCCTAGTCCCCAGAACAAATAACACATTCAGAGAGACCTTCCTTGACTATTAACTGGAGAGGTCCCTGGTATGACTTTCAATTTTTTGGCTTCAGAGGGACATATCTCTATGTCTAATGATTTATTTGAAGGTGGTCCTGCTTTTAATGTCTGTTGTCCATGGGGTTGAAAATTCTGTGAAGGTGTAGGTCCCATGTGTTTTGTTTATCACTGTATGCCTGGCCCCAGGTTGCTGATTTTCTATTTTTTATTTTATTTTATTTTATTTTGAGACAGAGTCTCACTCCATCACCCAGGCTAGAGTGTAGTGACATGCTATCAGCTCACCGAAACCTCTGCCTCCCAGGTTCAAGCGATTCTCCTGCCTCAGCCTCCTGATTAGCCGGGATTACAGGTATAGACCTGGCTGATTTTTCTGTTTCTTTTTTTCAGTAGAGATGGGGTTTCGCCACGTTGGCCAGGCTGGTCTCGAACTCCGGGCCTCAAGTGGTCAGCCTGCCTCGGCCTCCCCTAAGTGCAGGGATTACAGGCATGAGCCACTGCTCCTGGCCTTTTTTTTTTTCTTTTTGGCTTGTTTCCTCTTAATTTTATTTGTGGCATCTTCAGATCTTTATAAGTATTTAAATGTTTATGTAGTAAAGCTTATAATTTTTTTCTTTTAGAGTTTCTTCCTTTGCTTTTATGCTTAGGAGTGTCTTTTCTACATGAGAGCAGATAAGTATTCACTTATATTTTCTTCTAGGTTTTTTATGTTGTTTTTAATGAAAAATTTTAGTGCTTTTATCCATTTGGAGCTTATATTGGTTTATAGTGTGAAGACCATAATATAAAGTAACTGTATTTTCACAAACAGTTAACAAATTACCCTAACTGCATTTACGAAATAAATCTATCACCTTCTCACTGGTTGGAAATGCCACCTTTACTGGATACTAAATTCCTATGTATGCTAAATTCTATTTTTGGGCTTCCTAGCATGTACCACTGCTTTATCGATTTACTTATTTTAGTGCCAGTGTTATATAAGCCGAGGAATCTTCTAACTGTAGTGATGCTTTGCTTGTAGCATATTGTCAATATAAAGGTAGTGACAAGGGATTCCAATCTTCAGGACCATTTTCTTTGTCATTGAAAATTCATAATTGGACACTCTGGTTTTTGACATCGCTGTTATCAGCCCAGTGAGTCTGAGGCTGCCTCTGATTAAAGCCCCTTTCTTGATGTGCTTGCAAAGTCACATTTCTGGATGTGCCAGGCTATAGGTCCTATGCCTCGTCTGCAATGCTGTATTCTGCTTATCTTTAGAGTACCATATTCGGATCTCAAATGCAAGCTTTTAAGGCAACATTATGAGTAAAAAGTAGGCTAGATGTGAGACAATATGGAGAAGTGGAGACTGTGGTATCTGGAGAGTCCAAGCTGGTCTGAAGTCATTCCAATGATTTAAAAGTGTACAAGCTGAGCAAGGAATGGAGCAGACTGGATTTGGCATGAGGACTACATGTTTTCACTTCTGTTTGTATAGCAGTGAATAGTTTATTTATAGATTGTTTTATTTGATTGCTACAACAATCCTTTGAAGCAGATACTGCAATGTACCATTTTATAATACACATACTACATCTTCAAGAGGCTGAGTGACTTGCATAAAGCCTGTGAGCCAACACGTCATATTACAGATCCAGGACCCTGACGTGATCCAGGATTATATTCTTTTTCTTCCAAACCATGTTGTGGTGCCATCCGTAAATAGAGCAGGAATAACTGTGAGAAGCTTGTATGAGCTATTTCTATCACTGAATCTGAAAATAGCATGATCGAAGTGACCTACAAACTATCTATAAGCCTGGCTCTGGCTGGATTCCAAACATCAGGGCATAAGGCAGAGAGAAATGACACCAGGCAGTGAGAGTGAGCCTGGCCAGAGAGGCTGCGGGCTGAGTAACCCACTGCTTTCCATCCTCTTATTGTTGTAGTCATTTAGGAAACTCCCAGAGAGAGAGGCTGTTGGAGATGATGCACACTTTTAAATTACCAGTTCATTTCCGAAGCTGGTGTGTTCTCTCTCTCTCGCCTCTTGCCTTTCGCCTTTTCCACCTTTCCTACATGTATTACCATGGTACTCAAGTCCTGTAAGGGTGGATCACTTCTGGATGTCAGGATCCAAAGCAGGCGAAAAACCCATTTCCATTTCTAACTTTGAGCCTCAGCGGCTCTGAGTCCTTCTGAATGATACGGTCAAGGTAGATGTGAAGACTCATGAAAAGAAGGCTGCTATCTTCTGAGCCTGCTATCCTCTGACATAAGGGCTGGGGCAGGGGCTCACTACCAAGAGGGCTCTTTAACTCCATTTGAGAGAAGAGGGTTGGAGGCACTGGGAAATGAGACATTCCTTCTAGAGACCACCTGCTTTGTCTCAACAGCCAGAAAGAGGATCCTGATGAGCTTGAACCTGGAGAAAGGGTATCCCATTTTGCCTGGCACTAACTGCCAGTGCGTTTGTTTGAGCTGATGACCTTCTGAGAGTTCTGGGGACAGTGTAACCAAAAGTTTCTTTCAGAAGAAAAAAAAGGGTGACTTCAAGTGAGCCAGAGCCAGTGGGATACATCAGGGTCTTCCTGGGCTCTGCAGTAGTTTTCTGACACTGAACAAGTCTCATTCACTAAGCCTCTGGTTTCTGGCTTGCAAATTAAAGAAGTTTTAGACTAGCACATTATAGAGAAAGCAGAAAGGCCATGTCCACACAGAAGACATGCCAACTATATGGGGACGAAGTACCTAAACAGAATAGCCACGGAAAGCCTTAGACTGAGGAGTGGTGAGGCACCTCACTAGTACAAAAACATGAGCAGTCTGAAGATGGAGAACAGGTCCTTCTCTTTTTAATTGCAGTAGCATTCACATGACACAAATTTTACCATCTTTACCATTTTTAAGTATACAGTTTAGTAGAGTTACGTATATTCACATGACAATATGAATATAAACAATGCTATGTGAATATTCACATAACAGTGTGAACATACTTAATCTCCAGGACTCTTGTCACCATCCCGAATTGAAACTCTGTACTTATTAAAGACAAATTTCCCATTCTCCCCTCCACCCAGCCCCTGGCAGCAATCGTTTTACTTTCTGTCTGGATGAATTTGACTCCTCCAGGTACCTCATGTAAGTGAAATCATATAGCATTTGTCTTTTTATTTAACTTAGCATAATGTCCCCAGAGTCCATCTGTGCTGTACTATGTATCATAATTTCTTTTCTTTTTAAGGCTGAATAATCCATTGTATGTATACACTGCACTTTATTCACTTGTCAATGGACATTTGGGTTGCTTCCACCTTTGGCTTTTGTGAATAATGCTACTATGAACATAGGTGTGTAAATATCTTGTCATGACCTGCTTTCAAATCTTGTGGATGTATATCCATCCAGAAGTGAAATTGCTGAATCATATAATTCTACTCTTAATTTTTTGAGGAATTAACACACTTTTCCATGAGGGTTGCATCATTTTACAGTCCTGCCGACAGTGCATGAGGGTTCCAATTTCTCCACGTCCTTGTCCACACTTACTTTCGGGTTCGTTTTTTGAAAGTAGCCAACCTAATGGGTTTGAGATGGTATGTCATTGTGGTTTTGATTTGTATTTCCCTAATGATTAGTGATGGTGGACATCTTTTCATGTGCTTTTTGGCCATTTATGTATCTTCTTTGAGGAAATGTCTATTTCAAGTCCTTTGCCAATTTTTAAAATTGGGTTGTTTTTTGTTGTTGAGTTGTAGGAAGAGAACAGACAGGTCTTTTCATGTTTATATCTTCAGAACATAGAATAACAACTACCACAAAAAAAATTTGTTGAATAAATATGTCCTGGGTTGCTTTCATCCAATGATCTTATTCTAAGATTTGATATAAGTAATGACCAATAGCTAGAGTTGGAAATTAATACTGATGGGTAAAATACAATACTATATTTAAAATGAGATTGCGTAAAAGACAAAGAGGTGAATTTTGGATTCTACCACTTAGTTGGATGAATGTGCCATGGACCAATTCAGTGTACTTGGCTTCTCCTAGTACTTAAGTTAAGCCTTCTGTTCATCAATAATGGGGTTGGGAAAGGAAAAAAGGGAGACAGCCATTTAGTTACAAATTAGTGCTTCTTAGAAAAATACATATGTAATAAAGGCAGTATCTCTTCTTAGGAGGTTAAACAAAGCTTGTGCCCATTTCTCATGGTCACCATCTTTGATTTATTTTGTGACATTTCCTTTCCCCCAAATCCCTCAAATCTTCTCAGTAGTGGCTTAGAAGAAGGATATGAAAAACAATTAGTCTGTGCCTTCTATCTTGCCACTGGATGGCAGTACACCTACACCCCTGCATGCCCTTAAGGAGAAATCTTTCTGTGAGCACAATCTTGACTTGTCCAATTGGAGAAGACTGGAGATTTTAGCAGAAACACTTGTTTTTATATTTCTTCCTGAGTTGCTATGGTAGAATGTTAACATTTACTTCTTCATATTTATCCTGTAACCCAAAAGAAACTTGGCTTCAGTGTCATCTCTTCTGATACTTCTTCCCTTCCCTCCAGTCTAATTTACTTGTTACTCTTTTGTCTTCTTGTAGTGTCTGTGCTAAATAACTGCTTAATAACCCTGCCATGTAACCAGTGATTTGTTGGTTTGGAGATCATCTTTGGAGAAATATCTATTTCAAGTCCTTTGCCCATTTTTTTAAATTTGTATATTTAGGGGGTGGGTACAAGTGCAGATTTATTACATACAATGTTGTGTCATAAACTCCAAGCTCTTAGTGCACCCGTCACCTGAATAGTGAAATTGTACCCAATAGGAAATTTTTTAACCCTCACTCCCCTTCCACCCTCCTTGAATAATAGACACTGAAGACTACAAAGGACTATCTTTTGTAGTCTTAGTACCTTTTGTAGTCTTCAATGTCTGTTATCCTACTCTGCATGTCCGTATGTAATTGGTTTGTTTTTTTGTTGTTGTGTTGTAGGAAAAGCATAGATTTTTTTATGCTCATATCTTCAGAGCTTAGAGTAATAACTACCATGAAAAATATGCGTGTGTCTGTATTTTACTGAGGAGAAGAAGAGGGACTCATTTGACTTGCATCTCTGGCACTTGCCATGGTGCCTGTACATAGGGAGTGGTCAATCAAGACTTGTTAGTTGAGAGAGATTCTGGAGGAGTGGCATCAGAAAGATGGCAGAATAGAAGATTCCTTGGTATCACTCCCTTCACAAAAATACAAAGAAAATATTGAAAGACAAGAATAGCATCATAAGTTTACCAGAACTTGGGGGAAAAGTGGAGAAACCCACTGGGACCACAGAATAAAGAGAAGCTACAACTGCTAAGAGAAATAGTCATTTCAGACTATTGCACATTCTCTCCCCAAAGCCAGCATAATGCCACTAATAGAGAATTTCCCTAAACCAACAGTTTCTGAGGTGAGAGGAGAGAATTGCCGGTGGACATTTAATCTCCCTAAAAACCTGGGAATCTTTGCAGGAAGCTCACTTCAGTCCCATCCCGCGAGAGCTGCTGATAGTGTCAGAAGGGCTGACCCATATGGAGTGAATTGGGGTCAAAGAGCAGAGCACTAATTATAGAAACTGGTGTGCAGATCTTGGTGGCTATTCTGTATTCCAGTCAGTGCGGCCACCATGTAGAAGAGACTGTCCAGCATCAAATTGCTACAGGGGACATAGTCCATGAGAAAACTAAAATTCCTGGCTCAGTTTTTCACAAAGCCCAAATACTTAGGTGGAGCCTTGCCTTGGTCCAGAAACAACTAAAAGGTCAGGATTAGGATCTGATGCCTGATCAAGTCTTCTCCAAATGAAAAACAATGGCAGGGGAGCAATATAGTCCAGGGCAACATTTAACTTCCAGTGCTCACTATAAGTTTTACCCATACCAGGAAACAATAGCAGGGCAATGAATTAGTTCCAGTGCAATGTTTTAGTTGTGGTGCTGACTATAGTCCTTCCTAGAATAGCCAGAAACTACTGGCCAGTGTTTAAGTTATAGTGCAAAGTAGTATAAGTAAAACACCGTCAAAAACACCTGAAAAACTGGAAGAAGTGGCTGTGTTCTCAAATGCACAGGCATCAGTGTAAAGACAAAAGGATTGTGAAAACTCAGGGAAATACAACACTACCAAAGGAAACAAACAAAGCTTTAACAATAGACCCAGAAGAACTGAAGATCTATGAAATGTCAAACAGAGATTCTAGAATAATTCTCTTAAAGAAGTTCAGGAAATCACAAGAAAATATGGATGAAAACTAAATAAAATTTACGGATCAATCCAGGAACAAAATGAGAAATTTGTCAAAGAAATAGAAAGTTGAAAAAAACAAATAGAAATTCTATAAATAAAAAATAAAATAACTGAACTACAAAATTTATTAAAAAGTTTTAACAGCCTTGATCAAATACAGGAAAGAATTACCAAGCTTGAAGACAGAACTTAAAATGAAGTTACTCAAGTAGAAAAGCAAATAGAAAAATGAGTGAAAAAGAGTAAAGAAGGACTATGAGAATTATGGGACATGATCAAGCAAACTAACTTTCACATAATAGAAATTCCTGAAGGAGGCAAGAGAGAAAAAGGCCTACAAAGCATGTTTAAGAAAAACAGTGGCTGGAAATCTCCCAAATCTGGAGAAAAATGACAGTAGCCAGGTACAGGAAGCTGAGAAGTCACCAGTCGAATTCCACCCAAAAAGGAAATCTCTAAAGTACATCGTAATCAAATTAGCAAAAATCAAAGACAAAGAATACTCAAAGTAGCAAGAGAAAAGAGACATATCACATTTATTGGTTCCCCAATATGCCAATATGGCTTTTAGTGGATTTCTCAGCAGAAATCCTGCAGGCCAGTAGAAAGCAAAGTGCTTACAGGGGGGATGGCAGTTGGGGGAATAGAATTTGTCAACCCAGAATATTGTATTCAGCAAAGCTATCCTTCAAGAGGGTATTTTCCCAGAACTCCCCACCACGAACACCCCCCAAAAATGCTAAGGGAATTAATCAACACTAGACCTACCTTAAAATAAATGCTAAAGGGAGTCCTTAAATCTGAAAGAAATTAGTGTAATAACAATAACAACATGTAACAAGAAAGCATTAGAAGGTATGAAACTCAAGGATAAAAGAAAGAAAACAGACAAATTTGGAATATTCTAATACTGTAATTGGAGTAAGTAAACGAGTTTTTTTTTTTTTTTTTTTAAGAGTCTCACTATGGTGCCCAGGCTGGAGTACAGTGGCACAATCTTGGCGCACTGCAACCTCTGCCTCCCAAGTTCAAGTGATTATCATGCCTCAACCTCCTGAGTAGTTGGGATTATAGGTGTATACCGCCATGCCCAGCTAATTTTTGTATGTTTTAGTAGAGATGGGGTTTCTCCATGTTGTCCAGGCTGGTCTTGAACTCCTGACCTCAGGTGATCTGCCTGCCTTGGCCTCCCAAGGTGCTGGGATTACAGGCATGAGCCACCTCACTGGCCATAGGTAAGCCACTTATATCTCAAGTAGGAAGACTAAAAGACAAAACTGTTGAAATCAATAATAACTACAACAATTGGTTAAGAGATAAGCAACAGGGCCGGGCGCGGTGGCTCACGCCTGTAATCCCAGCACTTTGGGAGGCCGAGGCGGGTGGATCATGAGGTCAGGAGATCGAGACCATCCTGGCTAACAAGGTGAAACCCCGTCTCTACTAAAAATACAAAAAATTAGCCGGGCGCGGTGGCGGGCGCCTGTAGTCCCAGCTACTCGGGAGGCTGAGGCAGGAGAATGGCATGAACCCGGGAAGCGGAGCTTGCAGTGAGCCGAGATTGCGCCACTGCAGTCCGCAGTCCGGCCTGGGCGACAGAGCGAGACTCCGTCTCAAAAAAAAAAAAAAAAAAAAAAAAAAAAAAAAGAGATAAGCAACAAAAAAGGTGTTAATTGAAACATTAGTAAGTCAAAATGTTGGAGGGGGGTTGTTAAAGTGCAGAGTTTGTTTTTGTTACTGATTTTTATTTGAGATCAAAGTTAAGTCATTGTCAATTTAAAATAAACTGTTATAATGATAGGATGTTCTATGTAAACCTGATGATAACGACAAAGCAAAAACCTAAAATAGATATACCAAAAATAAATAGCAAAGAATCAAAAAGGTATTACTAGAGAATATCACTTAACTACAAAGGAAGGCAGTAAGGAGGGAAAAAGGAAGAAAATATCTATAAAACAGCTAGGAAACAAGTAAGAAAATGGCAGTAGTAAACCCTTACCTATCAATAATACTCTTGAATGTAAATGGATTAAAGTCTCCAATTAAAATATATTGAATGGCTGAATGAATTTAAAAAGGATCCAACTGTATGCTATCTATAAGAAACTCACTTCATTTATAAAGACACACATAGACTGAAAGTAAAGGGATCATAAAAGGTGTTTCATGCAAATGGAAACCTAAAAAGAGCAGACAAATCCTGTGGGATACAGCAAAAGCAATTCTATGACGGAAATTTATAGCAATAAATGCCTATGTCCAAAAAGCAAACTTTAAATAAACAACCTGACAATGCACCTCAAGAAACTAAAAAAGCAAGAACAAACCAAATACAAAATTAGCAGAAGAAAAGAAATAATAAAGATCAGGGGAGAAATAAATAAAATTGACACTTAAAAAATACAAAAAATTAATGAAACAAAAAGTTGTTTATTTGAAAACTTAAAATTAACAGACATTCTGCTAAACTAAGAAAAAAAGCCAAAAGACTCAAGTAAAATCAGAGACAAAAGGAAGACATTACAACTGATACCACAGAAATACAAAGGATTGTTAGAGACTATTAAGAGCAACTATATGCCAACAAATGGGAAACCTAGAAGAAATGGAGAAATTTCCAGACACGTACAACCTACCAAGATTGAACCATGAAGAAATAGAACATTTGAAGAGATCAATGCAGCAGTAATAAAAAGTCTCCTATTTAAAAACTCAGGACCTGGTGGCCTCACTGCTAAATTCTACCAAACATAAAAAGATTTAATACCAATTTGACAGAAACTATTTTAAAAAAATTGAAGTGGAGGACATACTTCCAAACAGATTTTATGGGGCCAGTATTACCTTGATACCAAAAGCAGACAAGAAAAAACACAGCGAAAGAAAACTATAAGCCAATATCCTTGATGAACATAGATGCAAAAATCCTCAACAAAATTCTTGCAAAGCTTAATAACACTTTAAAAAGGTCATTTATCATGAACAAGTGGGATTTATACCAGGGCAAGGATGATTCAATATACTCAAGTCAATAAACATGACACATCACATTAATAGAATCAAGAACAAGAACTGTATGATCATTTCAATAGATATTGAGAAAAAATTCAATAAATTTAGCATTCTTCACAATAAAAACTCTCAAAAATGGGTAGAGAAGAAATATACCTCAAAACAATAAAGACCGTGTATGCTAAGATGATAGTTAACATTATGTTGAAAGTGGAAAAATTAAAAGTCCTTTCTCTAATATCTGAAACTAGAAAAGAATACCCTCTTGCACCAGTTTTATTCAACATAGTATTGGAATTCTAGCCAGAGCAATTCAGCAAGAAAAATGCATTCAAATTGAAATGGAAGAAGCCAAACTATCCTTGTTCACAGATGACATAATTCTATATTTAGAAAAAGCTAAAGATGTCACAAGAAAGTGTTAGAGATGATAAATTTATTAGTAAAGCTGCAGGATACAAAATCACCATATAAAAATCAGTAGCATTTATTTTTATTTTTATTTTTATTTTTTTTTGAGACGGGGTTTCACTCTTGTTGCCCAGGATGGAGTGCAATGGCGCGATCTCAGCTCACCGCAACCTCCGCCTCCCAGCTTCAAGCAATTCTCCTGCCTCAGCCTCCCAAGTAGCTGGGATTACAGGCCTGCACCACCAAGCCCGGCTAATTTTGTATTTTTAGTAGAGACGGGGTTTCTCCATGTTGAGGCTGGCCTTGAACTCCTGACCTCAGGTGATCCACCCGTATCGGCCTCCCAAAGTGCTGAGATTACAGGCGTGAGCCACTGCATCCAGCCAAAAATCAGTAGCATTTATAAATGACAACAGTGAACAATCTAGAAAAGAAATCAAGACAGCAACCCTATTTATAATAGCTAAAAAAAAGTACTAGGAATTCACCAAAGAAGTGAAAGATATCTACAATAAAGATTATAAAACACCGATGAGAGAAATTGAGGAGTAAAAAAAAATTGAGAGTCCATGCTTACAGATTGGGAGAATTAATATTAAAATTTCCATACTACCCGAAATCTACAGATTCAATCCAAACCTTATAAAAATACCAGAGACATTCTTCACGGAAATAGAAAAAAAAATCCTAAAATTTGAATGGAAGCGCAAAAGACTTCAACTAGCCAAAGCAATCCTGAGCAAAAAGAACAAAGCTAGAGGTATCACACTACCAGACTACAAAACTCTAGTAAACAAAACAGCATGACACTGGCACATAAACGGAGATATAGAGCAATGCAACAGAGTAGATATCCTAGAAATGAATCTACACATGTACAGACAGCTCATTTTCAACAAAGGTGCCAAAAACATACACTGGGGAAAGGATAGTCCCTTCCATAGATGGTGCTGGGAAAACTGGATATCCATATGCAGAAGAATGAAACTAGGCCCCTGTTTTTCAACATTTACAAAAATCAAATTGAAATAGATTAAAGACTTAAATGTAAGACATGAAATTCTAAAACTACTATAAGAAAACATTGGAGAAATGCTTTAGGACATTGACCTGGGCAAAGATATTTTGGGTGAGAACTCAAAAGCCCAAGCAACAAGAATAAAAATAAATAAATGAAATTACAGTAAACTAAGCTTCTGCACAGCAAAGGAAACAATCAACAGAGTGAAAAGATAACCTACAAAATGGGAGAAAGTATTTGCCAACTATTCATCTGCAAAGGGATTAATAATGAGAACAGATGAGGAACTCAAGCAATAAAATAGCAAAACAACAAATAAATAACACCCAAATAATCCAATTGAAAATGGGCAAATGATCTAAATAGAAATTTCTCAAAAAAAAGCATATATATGACTAACAGGTGTATAAAAAATGCTCAGTATCACTCGTATGAAAGGCAAATTAAAACCACATTGCACAAATTAAAACCACACTGAGATATCATCTTAGCCCAGTTAAAATTGCTATTAAGAAGACAAAAAATAACAAATGCTAATGGAGAAAGGAGAACACTAATACACTACAGTTGAGAATGTAAATTAGCACAGCCACTATAAAAAACAGTATGGAGTAGTCTCAAAAACCTAAACATAGACCTATCATATAATCCAGCAATCCCACCACGGGGCATATATCCAAAAGAAAGGAAATTAGCATATTATCTGCACTTCTATGTTTATTGCAGCACTATTCACATTAGGTGAGATAGGGAAGCAAAGTTAGTATTCATCAACAAATAAATAGATAAAATATGGTATATATACATAATGGAATATTATTCAGCTATAAAAACGAAGAAACTTCCGTCATTTGCAGCAACATGGTTAGGTATCATGTTAAATGCAATAAGCCAGGCATAGAAAGGCAAATACTGCATGTTTTCACTCATATATAGAAGCTTAACAAGTTGATCTCATGAAGGCAAAGAGTAGAATGATGGCTATCAGAGGCTGGGAAGGGTAGTGGGGAGGAGGGAATGTAGAGGTATTGGCTAATGGGTACAAAAACAGAAGGAATAAATTGTAGTGTTTGCTAGCACAGTGGGGTGATGATAGTTAACAATAACTTACTGTATATTTCAAAATAGCTAGAAGAGAAGATTTGGAATATTACCAGCACAAAGAAATGATAAGTGTTTCAGGTGATGGATATCCTAATTACTCTAATTTGATTGTTGTATATTGTATGCAGGTATCAAAATATCCCATGTACCTAATAAATATGTACGATTATTAATGTATCAGTTAAAAAAGCTAAAAGGAAACAAAAGACTTATTGGTTAAATCCATCCAGTAGAATAAACATAAACTGATAAATGATCACTCATTCACCAGTGTGTCCAGATAGCATAAAGCAGAGCCTAAAAGTAATTTACATATTTCTGAATGTGCATTTAATACGTACAATATGATTGATGATAAATTATATTCCTTCAAAATTTACATATCTTTCATTAAAACTGATATCAAATATTTCTCTAATGTCTGTTTTGACTGTGCTATTTCTGGTTTTTTTTTGAACTGTGTCTTTCTGACCTTTGCGATTTTTGTCCGTCGTTACACTCGTGTTCTGAAAGCTTTGGGATTTCTGAGTGTCAACCTTAACTAATCCCTGCCGCTTGGTTCCTGCATTCAATCAGTCACCATGTCTGTTCATTTTGTCTCCTAAAAATCCCTCAAATCTGTCTATATTGCTTCATCCTCCTGGCCCCTGTCCTGGCTCAGCCACCATCGTCCTTTCTAGGCATCAGCTCCTCAGAGTTCTCTCTGCCTCTGATCTTGGCTCTTTCTAATTCATTCTCCACATTACAACTAGAGTGTTCATTTCAGAGTACAGGTCACATCCCTACTTAAAAACCTTTTTTAAAATCCTTAAAACATCCACAGTTAAGACCATTAAAAAGGGCTTCCTGTCACCCTCAAAGTAAGTCCAAGCTTCCTAACCCAGCGCCTGGAGACCCTGATAACTCCTCTAGCTTCCTCTTTCTCAACTCTCCACCTTAAGCTTTCTCTACTGCGATGAGGAACGCTTGTGTGATATAAGAATCTCCTCTGTGCCATTTCATCTCCCAGTATTCACATAGGCTGTCTTCTCTACCTCAGTTACTCTTCTGTCCCCTTGCCTAGCTGACATTTTATCCTTTAGACTTGACTTAAAACCACCACCTCTAGAAGACTTTTATGCACCCTGGAGATGAGAATGAGTGGATTACCCAGCTATGACCCACTGTGCCTACTCCGTTGTAGTTTATCCCTAGTGCCTAGCACTGTCCCCATCTCATAGTGGATACTAGATTGACATTTATCAAATTCATAGAAGTGCTTTTAGTTAACATGTATTGAGTACTCACTAAATGCCAGGTGTGTGCCTAAAACAGCTTATAGATTTATCTCATGTAATTCTCACAACTCTCTTGGGTGGTTATGCTCATTTTGACAGGTGAGGAAACTGAGGCTTGGAGAGATTGCACACAGGAAAGCAGTAGAGTTGCTGACATCTGCCCACATGAAGAGCTGGCTGTTTGAGGGATCTGTGAGGGTCCTTCATATGTAAAATTCATTGAATCTTTATAAGTTCTATTTGTTGCAAATATTTCCCCCAAGCCGTGATGCCTCCTAAAATTTTGTATTTGATTTGATTATGTTGAAGTTTAGAACCTTTTAGTTTTTAAATAGTAAAACCATGGCCCCTGCCACTCTTTTCTGGATGGTTTTTCTATGGATTATGCTTTAAAAAGTTCTATCTTTTCTAAGTTCAATTGGTCATGTAACTTTTTACTTAATTTTTTATAGTCTCATTGCTTTAAATTTAACTCTTTAAATCCTTTAAAGTTTGTCTGTGTAGAGTATATGATGAGGATCTATTTCCCTCCCAAATGGTAAATTTTTCTAAAACCATTTATTGGAAAATTCAATGCTTCCTGTAGGTTATGATGCTTATATTATTTTTAATATTTTATACTTACAGCCTTTTGGGGGGGTGGCTTTTGCTAGTTGATATATCAATTCTTGAGTACCATAGTGTTTTTATACCTTCTTTTTTATTTGGTAGGATAAATTCTGCCTCTGGTGTAACACTTTCCCCCCAACAATCTTCCTTTCTGACATTATCTTGGTTGATCCCACTTACTGTTTTTTCAGATGATTTAATTTTTTTTCATCCTTGAAACATTTACTGTGATAATTCTTTAAAAATAAATATAACACATGTTTATTATATAAGTCAGGGAGTATAAAAATTAAAATAGATGGAATCCAGAAATATTAATAGTAATATCTTGTTTTATTTCCTCATGGTTTTATTCTAGGGGCCTATGGGTAACAGGGTTGGGTTCATATTGAATAAAACTTACATCTTGCTTCTGCCTCCCTCCCCAGGTTACCTTGTAAGCATTTTCATATCTGATGAAATTTTGGAATCACGAGTTTTAATATTGCATGATACTCACTTAAATAAAATCCTGAAAATCCATTTAGTGATGCCGCTATTGGTGGATGTTTAGGTTATTACCAATTTTTTCTCCTTTAAACAGTGTCGTAATGAAAATCTGTGTAAACAGATTTTTGTTCACATTTGATCATTTCCTTAGGGTCTGTTTCAAAATCTGGGTCAACAGGTATGAGCAATTTTAAGGCTCCAAATTGCTTTTTTAAAAGACTGCACCAATGTAAACTCTCACCAGCAGTGTATGAAGATGTCTGTTTTCACTGCCAAAACTTGGGTATTATTATTTCATTGAGATTTTCATTGGGGTTATGTTAAATCTATAAATCAATTTAGAAAGAATTGTTTTCTTTACAATATTGATTCTTTTCTTTCAGGAAGATAATGTGTCTCTATTTAATTAAATTTTTATTTTATACCTCTCAATGAAGTTTTGTTTTTTTCCTTATGTAAATCCTGCTTATTTATTATCAAGATTAATTCTGAGTATATAATGGCATTTTTCTCCTTTTCTTTTCAGCTATTGTGAATGCCATTCAAAAAAAATTTATATCCTTTACTTTTCCCAAAGTGTGTCCGATAAGCATTCAGCCTTCCAGATGTTCTGTAAAAAACAAAGGGGTTCTGTGTTCAAACTGGTTTGAGAAAGACTATAATCTTCACATGGAAATCTTCATGACACATAAAAACTTGAGAAGTCCTATTGAAAACAAACCTGTTTAACATTATTTATTATTACACCTAGCACCTACCAAACTTATTTGATCATAGACTATTTACTTATGTAAAAAATAAAATTTTAATGTAAAATCTATTATTGTGCAGTAGAGCTGATACAGTTGCCCTGAGTCTAATGTCATGGACTGAAAAATGGCTTCAGTCTCCATTCCTCCCTGGAACTACACCCTTTGCTGTGTAACTGTGGAATGCTCTTCTGCTCTGACTCTGAGCTTGGCCTTGTCATTTGGCCAGTGGGATAGTAGCAAACATAAAGCACAGAGTGGCTTTAAAAGTGGTCTTGCTCGCCAGTGTACTCTTCTATGTCCATGAGAAAGACATGCCTGTGGCACCCTGTTGGAAGATGAGATACTTGGGGCAGAGTTGAGTTATGCTAGTCAACCAAGTTGAAACCCAGTGACATAATCCCCAAACCAGTCACCCTTCTTCATGAGCATGAGCTCAGTGAAGGCTAGAAGAGCCACTCAGCTGGCCTTCAGACTCATAAGCTAAACCAATTATGGTTGATTTAAGCCACTGAGCTTTGGAGTGACTTGTTACACAGCATTATTGAGGCAGTAGATAACTGTTAGGCTCACAGTGAGCAGGTATAATATAGGTAGGTAGTTTAAACTTGATAGTCTTTATTAGCAAGTTCTCTTTCATTGTTATTTTTCCAAATGGTTTTACCAAAAAAATGTTATTGAATAACTTTGGTGGCCACCATTGAGATTATTTTAAGTTTTTCTAATTGATGTGGTATTTTGTATTAATAGACTTCCTAATAATATCATGTCCTGTCCTTCCTAGGATGAGTCATTCTTGGTAACAGTTGATCATTCTTTTAATGTACTATTGAATTCCATATGCTATTATTTTCCTTAGAGACTTAGCATCTATATTCGTAAGTGAAATTAGTTTACAGTTTACTATTTTTGTTCATCTTTTTCATTTTTGGTACAAGACTTATGCCAACTTTATAAAATGACTCAGTTAGCTTTTCATCTTTACCGATGCTCTGGATCAATGTTTATAATATGGAAATTATCTCATCCTTAAAGGACTAGTAGAATTTACTGCTGAAGGCATCTGGTCATGGAAACTTTTGATGGCTTATTACTTACTTAATAGTTTTATTTTACTTTAATTTTTGGTCTTAAGGTCTGATGACTGGTCTTAAGGTCTTCCACTTATTTTTAATTAAATTTTTAGAAATTCACATTACTTTTGTGATGGCCAATTATATACATCCTGTACTTTCTGTATTTTTGGAAGCTCTCTTTCAATCATTTTGGAATCATATCTGATATAATAAATACCAGGCTATTTATTTCAGTAACTGCAATTTAATATCAGACCTAACGTAAATTTCTGTCTTAATATGATCTGATATATCTATGTATAACAGTATGGCTACCTGTGTGGTCATCATGTTTCTAACTTTTTGGTAGTTGGGTAGTGGGAGTCCTGTCTCACAGCAGTTTGATGTGCTGCTTATGATCGGAGAAGACAGGCTGAAGTATTATGGGTTCATAAATGATGGAAATTTGAATACTTCGACATGATTTCTGATCATAGTGTAAAAGAATATTTGAAAGTGAAACTCTTCTAAAAATCCTAGAACTGGATTATCATGTTTATTGGCCTTATGTTATGGTTAACATGGGATTTGAGGTTGAATACATAGTGTTTGAGAGCATGTTTTGCTGACCTGGGCTATTTCCCCAATGGCTTCAAGATAGCAAAGGAAAGGAAGGCAGTTACCAGCCACAAAGCAGGATCTAGCTCTGTGCTCTGCAGCCTCTGCTGAGCTCTGCTAATTGTTCAGTTCTCAGATTTCAGGCACTTTGTTATGCTAGCAGCCATGGTAAATATTTATACAGTGCTTACCATGTGCCAGGCACTACTCTAAGCACTATTATCGTATCATATCATTTTATAATTAGAAAAGGAAGGCACCAAAAGGTTACATAATTTGTCTGGGTTCACCAGTTTGTGAGTGCAGATGTTAAGATTCAAAATCCAGGCAATTGGGCTCCATGCTCTGTGCTGTTAGCCACTCTGCAATGCTGCCTCTAAATCTTTTTCATTTTGCATTTTTTTTTTATCAGTTCACCAGAGTACCTGGCTCAGCGTTGGGCTTTTAGTAGATGTTGGATACTGTAGACTTTTTTATAGATGAGGATAGAAGAAGTGAAGAAAGAGAGAAAACAAGTTGAAGAGGAAAGAGTAACGTGGTGTCATGGGGAGAATTTGTGGATTCTGAGTTGAGACTTTGATTTCAGCTATTAAAAAAATAGAAACAATACAATATCGTTCTCATAGGGTTACAGTGATGGTTTCCTAAGCAAAGGGCCTGACATGAGATTAACACTTCCTGATACTAGTACTAGTGGATCATCATAAATGATGATGACGATGATGACGATGATGAATGATGATCATAAAACCAAGCTCTTCCAGCAATTGGCTGTGTAATCTTTCTCAGGTCGCTTGGCTTCCTGGCCCTCACTTTCTTCATTTATTAGCCAGAGGACAACCTCATGACTGTATGACTGTATTAGTCCATTTTTGCATTGCTATAAAGAAATACTCGACACTGGATAATTTATAAGGAACAGCTCACGGTTCTGCAGGCTGTACGCAAGCATAGAGGCTTCGGCTTGGCTTCTGGGGAGGCCTCAGGAAACTTACAATCATGGCAGAAGGCAAGGAGAAGCAAGCATATCTTCCATGGCCAGTGTAGGAGGAAGAGTTGGGGTAGGTGCTACGCACTTTTAAACAACCAGATTTCAAGAGACCAGCACCAAGGGGATGGTGCTAAGCCATTCACGAAGGATCCATCCACATGATCCAATCACCTCCCACTAAGCCCACCTCCAATATTGAGGATTATAATTGAACATGAGATTTGGGTGGGAACACATCCAAACCATATCAATGACCATGTGATCTGTGACCCACAGAGGAGATTGAGCAGGAGAACACAAGGTAAGGGCTACTGCTGAGTGGGGTATCTGTTTAGAGGATCTGGGGGACTCCCCCTGCATCTGGGCATAAAAGTTGGTGTCTGTCCAGCTCATTTCACTCACTTCAAGGCATCTTGTAGATGGAGAACTGAGCTAGGGTTGAGGGTGGTGTCCATATACCACCCTTCTACATATCACTCAATACCTTTGTGGCTCATCAAGAATAGGGTTGACAGACTGAGCAAACAAAAATCTAGGATGCTCAGTAAAATTTGAATTTCAGATAGGTCATGAATAACTGTTATAAGTATGTCCCAAACATTGTATGGGACATACTTATACTAAACAATTGTTTGTTATTTAGACTCAGTTACCTGGGCTTCTCTGCCTGGTCCAATGTCCACATCTCCCAGATGCGGAGGCTGCGGTAAATCTGCACTGGGCCAACTTGCCCCTTAAGTCAGAGACCTGGGTTCTAAAATCTCTGTCTTCCTTGCTCCTTCTTCTTCTTTGGGAGAAAAGAACAGAATCACTAAATGAGATTTTTTTTGCTGTGAATTGCCAAGAGAAGAGCCTCTCCAGATTCAATAAGGCAATTATTATATCCTGAGTAAAGAACAATTGATTATTCCAAACAAATGTACCAGACTGTGCTTTTACAGAAATCTGTATCTATAACCTGTTGTAGTTGTTAAGTCAGAAGTAAATACATTCTTAATAACCAACTGGTATTTATTTAATGTACAATAACTTGCCTGCTAAGCTTAAATGAAATGCACAGTTAATTAAAACTATTTCTGTACTAAGTCCTCCAGGGAAAATATTTTACACACACTCTGAGTTGGGATTTTTTTTCACCTTCACTTCTCAACCCAGCCCCTGTTGGTAGCTTTTAATTTGATATGTTTAGAGGTCTGCAGATTTTTTTTTGGGCAATTCTCATCCTCCTCAGGGATATAGAAACTCTAAACTCTACTTATTTATCCAGAGTTCAGGAATCTTCAGGGAGACCTCAAGGTGAGACTGCATGGGTTGGTGCCCCACACCTTGCTTCCACTTGGAGGTGGCGGTTGTATCTAAATATACCTACTCACTCAAGGTTAAACTGGGCCTTTCACTTTGCCTCTCTGAACTTGAGTTTTCCAATCTGTGAAACAAATATAACCTCTCAGGTGTTTGACAGGTCAGCAAATAATCAGAACAGAATTTTACTTTTTTTGTTTGTTTGTTTGTTTTTGTTGAGATGGAGTCTTGCTCTTTTTGCCCAGGCTGGAGTACAGTCGCGTGATCTCAGCTCACTGCAACGTCTGCCTCCCAGGTTCAGGTGATTGTCCTGCCTTAGCCTCCCAAGTAGCTGGAATTACATGCTCCCACCACCACACCTGGCTAATTTTTGTATTTTTAGGAGACACAGGGTTTCATCATGTTGGCCAGGCTGGTAACCTTGACTTCTTAAAATGGTCTTGACTTGTGCCTGTCTCTCCTGCTGTGTGAATCCAGATTTGGGGCTGTTAGATGGCTTTGAGATGTTTGCTTATTTATCCACTCATTCATCTTCTCATTATTCATCAAGTATCAATGCCCAAGTGTCTGCTGGACCCGAAGCCTCATGAGCGCTGTGATTGCAGAGAGAAAGTCCCACCCCTACCTGTGTCTCTTACAGAAGTGTAAATTTGAATTTATGCAACTCCAGGAGTCATTTCACTCCCCTGAGTTTGTTTCCTTTTCTGCAAAGTGAGGAGAGTGCCTTCCCTACAAATCACTGAATGGCTGTGAAGTTCAAATGAGATAATGTATGCACAAACGCTTTCAAAAGTCTAAAGAATTAACATATAAATGTGTATTTCCCCCAGTAGTGGTAGTCCTTGAGAGTCTCATGTGGGATCTGCTGATCTGCGAAGTGCTGAGGACCAAAGCATGACAACCTATGAATGCCAGGCAAGCTTGGTGTGCCAGGGGACGGGCAGCTCAGCCTCCCACAATGACTCCTGGGGGTGAGAGCCAGCCAAATAATTAATAAAGCCTGATGTTCATGTGGGATGTCGAGAATAGAAAGTACTTTCAAAGCCGTGATCTCATTTGATTTTTATAGCATCCCTATGAGGATGGCAGAACAGACATCCTCCTTGTCAAGACAGGAGTAACCAAGCCTCAAAGATGGGAGATGACTGGTCCAAGGTCACCCTATGCATAGTTGTCAAAAACAGGACTAGCACACTAGTCATGCCTTTACATCACAGTTGCTCTCCAGAGAACAAGTCTCTTCTCCAGCGGGCTGAGGCCCTGAGAGTCCCAGCCTTGAGGAGTGTGTGCAGTGGAGGTGGGGGACCCTGTGAATGGATTAGAGAAAGACTTGTTCCATGGTGCAGAGTTTAGCAAGTGAGTTTGGACTGGATTTCAGGACCCCTCACTCCTCACTGGATTCTGTTACAGAGGATACAACCGTAACAGGAGTATCTCGTGGTCCTAGATGGGTGGGGCATTGACTGGGCTGGATTGCCCCTGAAGGAGGTCACTGGGGCTGCTGACCTTCTAGGGACCACCCCAGACTTCCTTGATGCTGTGATTATCTCCAACCTGCTCTCAGAGGGTATAATAAAAAGTTAATATCTGATTTCAGTGGGAAGCCGTTAGCCGACTATAATTACTAGGGTGTGTAATATGAAAGGCTGATGTAATTATGATTCTGAGGTAATGGGGGGAGCACACTCAGCAAGGTTTTGTGCTAATGTTGTCATTTATTACTTTGTCTCTCAAATTCTCTGCATTAATCAGATAGACTTATCTCTTCTGGTCTCTGAGATGAGTCTCCTTTCATATCCTTTCAGAAAACAGTAGGTGTTTTCGAGGTGGGGCTCAGATCCCGGAGGGGACTTCTAGGGCTGCCCAGCCTGTGCTGGGAACCACTGAGTTTTGCTTTTCCCATTCTAAGCCAGAAAAGAACAGGGGTGTGGGAGTGAGAAGCCCACTCTCCAATACTAGCTCTGTCCCTGAAATGATCCTGGGGCCTCTGGCTCCTTGGCTGTCAGATTCCCCATCTTGGAGGTGAGGAGGTGGAAGGGATGATTTCCAAGGACATTACAACTGCATCTTGTGTTTCTTGGGACCCTTTTGCTATATAGGGGATGCCAGGCCCAGGCTTCAGGGCAATCAAAGGGACAGACAAAGGGGGTCGGGGGAGCTTGGCTCCCTGGACAGGGAGGAGCTGTTATCTGTGCTTTCCATTCCGGGATCCACAAGCTACATGTGGCTTTTAAAGTTTTTCATTATTTAAAATGAAATGAAATGAAAATTAAATGAAGACTTCCGTTGCTCCATCTCCCTAGACACACACTTTCAGTGCCCAGTAGCTACATGGGTTTGAGCCTCCCATATTGGAGAGTGCAGATTCAGAGCAGTTCCATTCTTGCAGAATGTTCCCTCGGCTGATGCTGAGGATGGCATTCGGGCTCTGGATATGGGGTGTTGGAGGGAAGGCAGGTTTGGGGTCTGGTCAGGCTTACAATCCTGGATATGTCATTTAAAGATAGGGACTTTGGGCAAATGACTTAACTCTTCTGAACCTCTGTGCAATGGAAATCATAATACCATTTTGTAGAGTATTCTGAGTATTAAATGATTTGAGCATCATTATGTTGAATATTAAATATGCAAAGGAGTGTCTTGTGGGACTGCTGCATTATCACCCTTTAGAAGTTCGTGACCCAGAAAGATGTCCTGTTGGGTCATCTTGGGAAGAGGTGACCTTGGGAAGACGTGGCTCATCTGCCCTGATGTTTTTGCAACTCGCTAAAGTGTTTAGGTATGTTATTTTATTATTATTATTTTAAAACAGAGCTACTGCCTGCCTATTTCTTCCTTCCCTCCCCTCATCTTCTCTCTCCTCCTCCCTCACCTCCACCTGTCATCTTTCTAGGGCTGCCACTAAAAATACAGGATATAAGTTAAATCAGAATTCCAGACAAACAAAAAATCTAGTGTTTTTTTTTTTTTTTTTAAGGATAAGTATATCCCATGCATTATTTAGGACATACTTAGACTAAAACATGACTTGTTGCTTATCTGATACTCTAATTTGACTGGGTGTCTTGTGTCTTATCTGGCAACCCTACCCTCCTTACTTGCCATTGTTAGGCTTGAAGATCAGATGCTAGGCCAGAGGGTATGTGCTTGAGGTCTGGGGGATAGGTGTTGGGGATCCTCTCACATTTCTATATGTGTTTCTTGGTGCGTGTCTGCTCATGAGAGAAGGTGCAGGTGAGTAGACGGAATGCAGAGGTCCATATAGATGTGGACAAATCTAAGTCTGGATTAGTAGTATGGACAGGGGCCACAATGCCATCCTTGTGGGTTCCTTTCTGTGTTCCTGCCAGTGAATCTGTGTGTCTGTGTCCCAGGCCCAATCCTCTTGAGGCCCCAAAAAGGAACAGAGGAAATGTCTTGCTTGCTTTTGGTGATTGATTGATAGTTTGACTGCATTGCTTTTTTCCCTAGGGGTGGACATGACTTGCAAGGCTTCAGCCTCAGTGGGGCATAGTCAGGGTGTGGGGAGGGCCTGTGGTTCAGGAACATCGTGGGACCCTGCTTCCCTCTCCCACTCCACCCCAGCCCTCCTGCAGCCACTCCATGCAAGTCACAGCCCCCCTCCCACTGTGATCCACTCTGGCCTCAGATTCTATCTCAGTTCCATCTCCTGTCTTGGTGTGGGATCCAGCCTTGGGCTATGTGCCCTGTATGGGATGGGGCTGGAACAGGGAAAGGCAAGGACATCAGTGAGCCTCTTCATGCAGACCTCACACTTGCCCCTCTTTACTTTTCTCTCCCTTCCCCAGTTCCCTTCTCTTGTCTCCATCCCTAGTGGAAGTGGGCAAGGAGCTTGAACAATACAACCTGAACTCAAATACACAGATAGGTCACACATGTACTGCTTTTGGGTTCTTTTGACCATTTGTGTCTTTGAATAGACTGAGAATTATTCTTTGCTTCTCCTCCCATCATCCCTTTTACTCCGTTACAGGAATCCTCTGCTCCCAGGTCATCTACTCATTGCCTCCAGATCCTCCTGCCCATCTAAGCCTGCATTCCTCTGCAGACGCCATCCCTTCTTGCCTCTTCTCTATTTTCTGCCTCCTTTATGATTTCCTGTCTCGCAGGCACTGCTCTGGCCACACTGCCCCTAGGAAGCCTGTGCTGGCTACCCTGGCTCTGGCACACACAGGCCTGGCCCACTTCCTGGGTATATCTTCTGATAAAGTATATGTCCTGTCCTCAGCCTCCTTGTAAACCTATTAAGGAAGGAACTGGATGTAAAACCTTTAGCATTTCTGGTACCTGTCCAGAGTGTTTGGTGCACAAGTATTTGGTGGTGAAATAATAAAAATACAGGGGATCCCGTGGAGGGCATCCTAGTAGTGTTAGGGAGGTGACCTGCTCCTTCTAGCTGGGCCGTCTTGCTCAGAACACAGTGACTCATGATATTATTTATTTATGTCTGTGCTTCTAGCTGAAGAATCTCATTTTCAAATACAATATCATGCAGAGCCTTAATGTACTGAGCAGGGTACTAGCTCAACTACTAGGGAGACACGTGAGGAGGGGTCACAGCCCGTTCATCCTGACCCCTGTCCCCAAGAAGGTCCTACAGAAGAGAATTAATGCTCCCTGATGAGATGCCACGTGCCTCCCACCTCATTATGTTTGGGAATCCACTTCTTGGCGTTCCTGGAATGCTCCATGCTTGCTTGACAGTTTGGTTGAAATTTGATGTTGTCAATTTGTGTTTGGTTTTCCTTTCAGGATCTCTTCCTAAAAAAATAATGTGGTGAGGACTTAGGACAAAACACAGAGGGTTCAGTATGTTCTACCCTCCCCTCTCTCACCTTCTCGGAGCCCTGATTCATGCCTTGGCAGGGTTCAGGCAACCTTGCGGCTGCCTTGTTTCACATCAGACCTGTTCCTCACCCTGGACTGTAAACATCAAACTGATCTTTGACAGGTTGTGACACACTCTGGTGATGGAAGAATTTTTTTAGCTGTCAGGGAGGAGAGGCAGATGGGCCTGTCTCTCAGAACCTTTGCTGGGCTTTGGCACATCTGCTGGGGGCTGTGGAGACACCCTACCCCTCCAGGCAGGTGCTTCTTCTCCTCTCTGCTTTACTGATGCTGGGCTGGTCCTGGTGGGAGCTGGAGGGAACAAAGGATTTGGGGTAAAGCATCAATAACAGCTCCATTTCTGGTGTTTCTCAATATCCACTTGTCCTCTGTGAAGGTCTGAGAGTAGAACCTAGCGAGGTTGGTGATATCAGATCCATCCCTATTGGGAGGACATGGAAGGAATGCTATTCTTTGAAGTCTGTAACCTGTTGCAGCTTGCAAGGCATTTTCTGATGCATTATCCTCTGTATCTGTTAGGAGGTCTATGAGGTAGGTAGGGATGAGCCCTCATTTTGTATATGAGGAAATTGAGGTTAGTGTTGAAGTGAATTTCTAGCTAGTGGTAATTCTGGGTCTAAAGCTGAGGATACAACCATAAAGTGAGACCAATAATAATTGAAGGCAAATATTTTTTCCAGCTTTAAAAAAATCTACCAGGCATTATTGTAACTGTTTTACACATATCAGCTAATTTATTTTTCCTCCCAAAACACTATGATGCAGGTATTATGATTGTGCCCATTTTATGGAGAAAGGAGGTAGAGGTACTGAGAGGTCAGTCACTTGGCCAAGGTCATCAGCTGGGAAAAGGCTGAGCAAGAGTTTGAACTCTGACAGTCTGGCTCCAGCATTTTCTATGGCTGTTTCACCAATTCTTTGCTTGCCTACTTTGCAGAGTTGCCATGAAGTTCAGATGAGCCAATGGATGATAAAGCACTTAGAAAAGCATACAATTTTTATGCAAACGCAAGGTGATTTATGGACAGCTTGTTCCTTCACCAGATACTGGGATGACAGTCAAATTTGACTTTTTAATTAATTTGAAGGCAAGCCTGTCAGGTAGAGGCAGGGAACACCAGCCCAATCAGACTCTAAGAACATCTCTGTCTTTTCTGATGCCTTCAGATGGCTTTGGTCCTTTCTCATTAAATCCTTGATTCCTGGTCTATTGAGAATTTCAGTCAGGTATATATTTGTTAAATAGTGAGATAGCCTCATAGAATCAGACAGGAGCAGGCTTTGAGACCACTGAGCCACTCAGCCTTGTGAATATTTAACCTGGATTTTTTAAAATAACTATCTATGGACCTGTCATTTATGGCTTTTTCTAGGCCCCTGCAAAATTGATTTTATGTGTGTGATTTTTATATCACATATCATCCCCTTCTAATAAAGGCCGTCCACCCACAGACTCTCATGGAGAAGCAACATGGAACTCCAGAATCAATGCAGGTGGGCAGGAGGGGAGTCTGGGTGAGAAACGGAGAGAAGGATCTGAGAGGTCACCCCGTGCACGCCTCCAGTCCTCGCTCCCAGCACTGCCATTGGCAGGCATATCTGAAAGACTAGAGCAATGAGGAGCACCTGCCATTTGTACTACCACCCCATCGGGTCCCTATCTTTGACTCAAGTGGAGTCAGAACACATCCATAGTTGGTGTTCTACCTTTCTCAACAGTCCCGTAATTTTCTCGAGTGCACTCGGTTTTCTGCTTCTAGTTAGGTGAAAAGTCCAATCGTACACACAGTCCTTACATAGGACCACATCTTCTGGGCGGAGATCTGGTTGGCAGAATCGGAGCTTGACTTTTCTTGACCTCTTTGCTCCCATTGGCTTGTTCCTGATCTATTCTCACTGAGTTTAGGATTTCCACACCTTAGGGTCCTTTGCTTCCCAGGGCGATCCATGTTTTACCCTAAGTTTGTTGCTGTGGGATCCTGCCCTCACCTGCCTCTTGGGATTTATGACACCTGCTTGTCCAGTCTTTCCTTGCTGTCCACACATCGGGATCACTATGGTTTGCAAGAGATAGCAACAACATGAAAAAAGCAGAATGACCTTGAAAGCAATAAACTTGGTTCCACCAGTGATCAGAGAATCACTCTCATCACTCTTGAAGTCTAAAATCCGAATACTTAGAAGGAAATCTGTGAGGTTATAGCCATGTTTCACCTATTTTTTAAAAAGTTCTTTATTTTGTATTCTTTTCCTTTTCACCAATGGGAATCTAAGCTAAGGACCTCAAGGAAATACAAATCTTACAATACAACGAATAAAGTTTTTTAATTCTTATAATTAAAAAATCTTAAATTTGCAATCACAAGTGGAGCATGTTCCGTGTTTCGGAAACCATGTTGGGCATGTTACAGGTTTCATCTAGTTTAATAATGTTAAATTGATCACGTGAGGATTACACAAATGGGAAACGTCAGAGTCAGTATTCTGTACTCTGGGTAAAATGACTATTTGAGCTTGATGTAAGGTCATTGACTCCTTCTGATTACTAAACTGGGAACACAAAGACGCCACATCCCCCTGATGTTGTAATGGAGTTTAGTAGGGTGATAGCATTCCTCACACAGTGGCATAGGTGAACAATAGAGCAAGTGGCAAGAGAGGACCCTGGCCTCAGAGACTCATGGGCGTAACCCACATCCAGTCAGTCCTGAACATCAAGTGAGGTCAGCAAGCATGAATGGCCAGCTCATGATTTGCTCATTCCTGATTCAGGTACTAGAGAGATAGAAGGATCCAGAGGAAAACATAAGTCCTGGCTGTCTTCCTCAAGAACTTCAGAGATGTAGCCAACACAGTGGAAATATGCAAAAAGTATTAAGAGTGGACAGAGGATAAAGACCCAGGTAAGTGGGACAGCCAAAATGGAACATTTAGGATTCTAAATAAAACCCAATGGATCAAGCTGGAAAACATTTGTGAATGTTTCAAGCACTATTCTAAGTGCTCTGGGAATCACCAAAGCTGTAACAGGGGGCCATTCTCCTGGAAGAATCTGTACTACCATTGGAATCTGCATCTCATCAGAGAGCCAGAATTCACCTCGAGCCACCAACAGAAGTGCTGGACTGGGAGACACAGCCTAGAAGGCCAATGGGACTTTATTCTGGGGGATGATGTCCCTTTAAATTCCTCCTCCATTCTGTTTCTGTTCACAGATCCTTGGCTGGCACTGATGTGCCCTTCTTGAGCACAACTGAGAAGTCATAGTAGGAGGGGCTCTCGATGCCACCTGCCACATTTAACAGGGACGTAGGGTGGCTGATGAGTTCCACAGCTCATCCTTAATTAGGAATGCCGCTAAAAACGCCACCAGAGAGCCCTGCCCAGAGCTGCGAAGCCGTCTGTTTGCTAATGCCGAGTTGCTTGGATTGATTGATACTTGTTTTGCGATTCCTTCCGTCAGCTTTCTTGGGTCCAGCCATCTGTTTTCTACCCAACAAGAGGCACGTTGGCTCCGGTCCTTGCCTGATTTGCAGCAGTGATGACATAATGGTGGGTTGGGGGCTTAAACTTGGGGCTTGGCAGTGATTTGTTTTTGGCACAGAATCTTCGCTGAGAGAATGATGTGGCCATCTTGGGCTGGAAAGACTTCTTGGGCTTTGGGTTTTATTGTCTGAGACTCAGGAAAAGTTAGCAGAGGTAATCTGGAGCACCTGATGATTTTCCTTGACCTGCTGTCAGGAAGCTCACTGCCTTCTTTAAGTCCACTCAACAGCTCTTTCCACTCCATACCTCATCTTCCAGGACATTGTAATGTCTGCCCACTGGAACAAAGTCACACCTAACTTACACCTGTATTTGTTGTTGTTGTTTTTTTTTCTTTGTTTTGTTTTTTTGAGACAGTGTCTCACTCTGTTGCCCAGGGTGGAGTGCAGTGGCACCATCTCGGCTCACTGTGACCTCCACCTCCCAGGTTCAAGCAATTCTTCTGCCTCAGCCTCCTGAGTAGCTGGGACTGCAGGCTCCTGCCACCATGCCCTGCAAATTTTTTGTATTTTTAGTAGAGACTGGGTTTTGCCATGTTGGCCAGGGTGGTCTCAAACTCCTGACCTCAGGATATCCACCCACCTTGGCCTCCCAAAGTGCTAGGATTACAGGAGTGAGCCACCACACCTGGTCACATCTATTTTTTTTTTTTTTAATAGACGTTGTTTTACTCTCTCACCCAGGCTGGAGTGGGGCCTCCAACTGCTGGGCTCAGGAGATCCTCTCATCTGAGCCTCCCAAGTAGCTGAGACTACAGGTGTGAGCCACCACACCTGGCTAATTTTTTGTAGAGATGCAGTCTCACTGTGTCACCCAAGCTAGTCTTGAACTCCTGGCATCCAGTGATCCTCCTGCCTTGGCCTCCTGAACTGCTGGGATTACAGGTATGAGCCACTGCACCTGGACTCACCACTGCTGCTTTTGAGGCCAAGGCCTTCCTTTTCTGGCAATAATCTTATTAAAAAGTATATTGGGAGAGAAAACAAGAAAGTAAGGCATAACCTCTGCAGTCTGAGAGCTTATAGTCTTGGTTGGAAACACACACAAACATACACACACACTTAAAGATCTGAGGAAAATGAAGGAGGACTTAGAGCAAAATCAAGATTTAAATTATGTTAGTAGTAGTCCTAAGAAATGAAGAGATCAATAGAGTTTAAAATGGAGAAAAAGTCTTTAAAAGGGAGGCAACTCATGATTAGACCTTTAAGGCCTGGATAATATTTGGATAAGTGAAGCAACAAGGAATGGGTGGAGAAGAAATGTATTTAACACATAAATACAGTACATGTATGCTATGCATATGGGCTAAACTTTGCTTTTGAATAACAGCCTGGTTGTAAAAAGAAAGGCCAGAAAAATGCTAAATTGCTAAACTGTGTCTGCTAAATTACTTCCCCAGCATCAGTCTGAGGTTGTTGATGGAATCAGCAGAGGAGGAGGACTGTGAGCCCCAGAGGGAAAGTCCAGGAAGAGCTCATCCATGCTGGGCAGGGCTGGCTGGGTGAGGTGGAGTAGGAGTGGGTGGCATACAGCCACAGAGCGTGGCTGTGTTGGGGTTCTCTGGAGGGACAGAACTAATAGCATACACACACACACACACACACACACACACATATACACACACACACATATACATGTATGTATGTGTTTATAAGTTTATTAAGGAGTATTAAGTCACATGATCACAAGGTTCCCCAACAAGCTGTCTGTCTGCAAATTGAGGTGCAAGGAAGGCAATCTGAGTCCCAAAGCGGAAGAACTTGGAGTCAGATGTTCAAGGGCAGGAAGTATCCAGCACGGGAGAAAGATGTAGGCTGGGAGGCTAAACCAGTCTAGGCTTTTTGCATCCTACCGCATATTTTTATTCAGGCTGAGCTGGCAGAGTTGTCCCCACCCAGATTAAAGGTGGGTATGCCTTTCCCGATCCACTGATGCAAATGTTAATCTCCTTTGGCAACACCCTCACAGACACCCCCAGGGACAATACTTTGCATCCTTTCATCCAGTCAAGTTGACACTCAGTATTAACCATCACAGGGGCTGGGTAGGGGAGGTTCAGTGTTGTTCTCACCAGCATGCCAAGTTCTGGCTCCACTCAGTGGGCTCTGTGCACTGAGCAGGCAGAGAGGAGAGTCCAACCCATCAAATACCTGGGATGTTTGGCAATAGCATAATTCCAGTCATTGTTGTGGTTTGCAGGAAGCAACACACAACTGCAAAGCCCACAAGAATTGAGAGCACCAGGGGGAAGCCAGCAAGTTGAGGATCTGGGCACACAACTAGTTGTGGTGGGAATTAAATTCCTGACTAGGGTAAGAGAGGCAGAAGTTCAGCCACACACATTGGAAGAGTAGAGAATCATGTGCATTGAGGTATCTGTGGATTTGAGAAGCCAAGGTTCTCCCCTGGCACTTGGCATATAGGCTCATAGGTGGTAAGACAGATTCCAGAGCACTGGGATAGGGCTGAGGCCTCAGGGATGCATTCTCAGTTCAGTAAGGGACTGTTGATTTGAATTACAAGGGCTTCCTATTCCTGGCAGGCCTGAGCAGAATAGGGGCTGCAGACAGAGGGCATCGGCGGTCCTACTGAACTGTGGGGAGCTGGGACAGGTAAAGGTAAGGAGAAAGAGCAGTATCTGAACAACATTTCTAAAAGGTTTTCCAGGAAAACAAACCAAAAAAAAAAAAAAAACAAAAAAAACACCAAGGCCAAGGAAAACACCCAGTAAGGGGAGTTGAGAGCTTGTGACTCTTTGCTAGAGTGAAGTTCAGGCAGTACTGGCAGGAATGATCACTCAGAATTTAACTGTTTAGAAAAGCTGACAGCAGTAAAAAAAAGAATTGCTAAGTAAGGCACCAAGTTTGGGGTTTACAAGTCAAGAAAAAAAAAACAGTACATTTGTGTTTTTACTTCATTATCTTTACTGAAGATTTAGCATTTCACTTTTGGTTGCAAAGTGTGTAAACTACACTTTCTTTTAACATAGTAGTCATTAATTAGTAGTTAACAAATTAACTACAAATTTGTTTTAAAAATTAAAAGATATATATCTATGTTCATATACACATATGTACCTATATGCATAAATACATACATTGATTGACAGATGTAGTATAAACATACTGCTTGTGTATTTAAATCTGCAACCGAAGTATTTCCAAGTCCTCTAGTCTTGGGTCATCCTTCCCTTTTTTATGTAAATAAACTGATAGTAGGCTTCTGTCTTTTGCACTGTTGAAGTTTGTGCGTCAAACCCATCATTTCAGGCTGGAGTGAGTATATGTATGAGGGCGATGGAGATTAAGTTTCTCTGGTTCACTTTCTGCTGCAGTCTCAGTGCCTACTTGGGTCCTTCCTCATGTGGTTGTGAAACGGCATCATTGTCTGGGGTAAATACCCAAGGTTCGTCATCTCACACCAAGGAAATCAAGTAGGCATACACACAAGAGGTGGGTTTAGGAGTGGAGTTTTAATAGACAAAAGAGAAAGGAGAATAGCTCTCTCCTGTGAGTGAGAGGGGCTCCCGAATGGGAATTCTGGCCCAGAATGAGAGTAGACCAGATTTTATAGCCAGGCTTGAGGAGGCTGTGTCTGATTTACATACAGCCTGTGATTTACACACATACAGCCTGTGACCACCAAAGTAGCCCTGGAGGTACTTCAGTAATGACTTCAGGGTCATTCTTTCATTGCCTTTATGTATAGCATGTAGCTTCTCTCCACCCATATTAATCACCTTATCAAACATTCACTTGAATACACCCTTATTGTTCTCTCCTGAACATATTTTCCCGTTGTTTTTTTTTTCTTGCTCGCAGGCTGAAGTTTCCAAATCGTTAAGTTCTGCCTCCATTTGGATGACGAATTCTGTCTTTAATTCATTTTTCCTGACTTGCATCGTACTATAAGCAGTCAAGAGAAGCCATGCTGCACCCTCGATGCTTTGCTTAGATAGTTCTTCCACCAAATACCCTATTTCATTGCTTGTAAGTCCGTCCTGCTACAAAACGCTAGGACATGAACACAATTCAGTGAAATTCTTTGCCACTTTATAATAAGGGTCACCTTTCATTCGATTTCTTGGAACATGTTTCTCATTCCCATCTAAACCTCTTTATGGATGATAAAGAACAGCCTTTATCATTCATATTTGTGCTTTCTGCTCATGACCTTTTAGGTAATCTCTAAGAAGACTGAAACTTTATCTACAGCTCTCCTCTTCTGAGTCTTCACCAGAACCATCCTTAACCCATTTATGCCTGAGGTTGCAAGTTTTTGAATTTTCACAATCAGACTTTGGTGATGGCGTTGAGCAATAGGACATAAATAACTCCCACATGCTTAGCGTTCCAATAATGGAACTCCAGGCATGTTTAATTCACAGTAACACAGGCTTTTTCTAGCATGCACCTCCAAATTCTTCCAGCTTCTCCCTATTACCCAGTTCTGAAGCTGCTAACACATTTTTAGGTATTTGTTACAGTAGGACCCCACTCTTGATACTAATTTCTGTCTTGATCTGTTTAGGTTACTATAACAAAACACCCTCAAATGGGTAATTTATAAACAATAGAAATGTCCTCCTCATATTCTGGGAGGCTGGGAGGCTCAGGATCAAATTGTCAGCAGATTAGGTGTCTGGTTAGGGGTTGTTTCTCATACAAAACATCTTCCATGTGTCCTCATATGTCAGTAAGGCAAGCATCCTTCCTGAAGCCTCTTCTATGAGCACACTAATTTCACTCATGAGTTGCAGCTTTCGTAACCTATGTTGGACGTGTTTCATAACCCCAAATGTCAGTTTTTAATCAGCTCTCAAAGGTCCCACCTTTAATATTATTGCATTGGAGATTCGGTTTCAACAAAAAGTTTTTTGGGTGAAGGGAGTGGACACAAAATTTCATTCAGACCATAGCATACCCCAGATTGAATATTACACATCCCTTCCAAAAGTCCTTTGGCCTTTCCTGCCACTTTTTTCATAACCTACCTCTACTTCTTAAGGGCCTACCCTACCTCTTTCTCAGGGCATGTGCCTTACTGGCTGAGCTGTCAGCCCAAAACACAAACCTCTTCCACTTTATTAAGCAGAGCAAGTTAACTATATTTGTTTCTATCTCTTTCTGCCTAGTTTGGTCTGGGCCTTGCCATTTATTAATAAACCTGTGAATATATATATATATATATATATGTATATATTTGTAACAGTAGAGTCATCTATCCTATTTTTAATTTTAATATCACAAAGGACTAGTTTTGAAATAAACTTTGAAATAACACATGTGTTTAAGTTGTCCTGTATGAAATTCTTAGGCCAGGCTCCCTTTCCAGTCAATAATCTCTTTTCTCATAAATGGCGACAGTGAATGATGTAGTTCTCCTTGACATGGACGTTCCCCAGGGGACATACTTTGCTCTGGTTCTTTTGTCTCTTCATGTTAAATATCTGTGCTTGGCAAATGTGAAATTCAAAATTTCACTTCAATCGTATTTTTTTTAGGACACACTGTGTTCCTGGTACTATGCTAGGTTCCAGATAGGGCAGGAACTGTTATTTATTCTTTTCTATCTGAGGAGTTTGGAGTCTGGTGGGGGAGATGGACTCAAGTAGAAATATTTAATAGGATGTGGTAAATGCAAAGATCTAGAGATGCACGGGGCTCTCCAGGAGGTCAGAGGATGAGATATAGAACATCCTGGCGGTTCAAGTAAGTCTTCTAGGAGAAAACGAAGCCTGAGCTCAATCTTGGAGCGTCATTAGGATTAGCCAGGTGCAGACAGAAGAAACAACAATCTTGGCATGCAAAGGTGTATGGGAAAAAGCAGAGAGGCAGGGGAACAAAGGGCCTGCAGGGTCCATTTTGGCAAGATTACAGCACAAAGGAGAAGGCGTAGCCTTGCGGAAGACAAGACAGGAAATGAGACCTGAAACAGTCATGACAATCCTCTTTATCATGCAAAGAATCTTGAACTTTATCCTGTATACAGTGGCAGCTATTAGACAGGAGATGGACCATGGTCAGATGTGGACTCTCATGGTGTGATATTATAAAATATATGTTTGGTCTTTATCCCCATTTCCTGAACATGGCTCCTAAAATCCTTGCAGATGGGGGCACTAGGAAACTCTTTTGTTCTGATATTTGGTCTTTGATCCCCAATTCCTGACACAGCGCTCCCAAGACCTTTGTAATTTCTTAGGGGATAGGAGAGTCATTTGTTTTAATGAGGCAACTTTCAGTGGGCTCCTGGATAGCCTCAGGGTGGGCCTGGTTGCCAGGAGAGCCAACCATCTGTTGAGGCTTTCAGCTCCATCCCCTAACCTCCTGGAGACGGTAAGAGGCCGAAGGTTGAGTTGTTCACTAGTAACCAATGATGTAACCAACCATGCCTATGTAATGAAGCTAGTTTTCATAAAAACCCGAGAGACTGGGTTTGGAGAGCTTCTGAATAGGTGAACATGTGGAGGTTCCTGGAGAGGGGCATGCCCAATAACCACATGAAAGCTCCATGCATCTTCCCCTATACCTTTCCCTATGCACCACTTCCATCTAGCTGTTCACCTGTATCCTGTTCATTGCCTTTATATTAAGCCAGTATATATAAGTAAAGTGTTTCCCAGAGTTCTGTGAGCCACTCTAGCAAATTAAACCTGAGGAGGGGGTTGTGGGAACCCCCAATTTACAGCAGTTTGGTCAGAAGTACAGGCCACAACTTGTGACTTGCAATTGCATTTCAAGTGGGAGGCAGTTTTGTAGGACTGAGTCCTCCAACTGTGGGATCTGACATTTCTACCAGGTAGATTGTGTCTGAATTGAATTGAATTGTAGGACACCCAGCTGGTGTCTGCTGTGCAATTGATTGGTTGCTGGTAGGGAGAAACCCCCACAGATTTTGGGGACCAGAGGCAACTGAGTGGAGGGTAGAACATGATGGATTTTTCCTATCTCACAATACATGGCCATGACTTGGGACAAGATTGGTAGGAGGAGAATTATTTAGAAATGTAGTTGTAATTATTTAAGCAAGAAATGATACAGCTTGAAAGGAAGAGATTTGAAACATTTTGAGAGACTTAATTGGCTTTGGCAATCTGTGGGATGTTGTTGAGATGTGGACCTCAATGGTGTCCCCTCCCTAGCAGCACCACCACATCTCATGCAGCCTGAAGACATGGGACCAGCAAGCTCCACCCTCAGAATGATGAGACCACAACAAGGCACCGAGGAAACCCACTGGGAAAAATGGGAGTTGGTGGATCTGTTGAGTGCTTTAGGGTGCAAGTAAGAAGATCTTCCATCTCAAATGGACTTAAACAATAATAGACGTATCTCATGTGACATGTAACCCAGAGGTAGGGTGACCCACAGGCTGGCTAATCAGCTCAGTAATGTCAAGGGCTCAGAATTACTTTCCCATTCTGTGCTGCTGTCCTCAGCCTGAGTATTTGTTCTTGTCTAGCTGTCCTTCTCATTAGGTGTTATAGTCATACCTGAAGATGCCAAAGGACAAACAATGCCTTCTCTCCTGCTCTCTTTTGCAAAAAGGAGGAGAATTTTTGGAAAAGAATGCCTTCTCTCCTGCAGCCTCTTTTCCAAAAGGAGAGTTCCAGAACCCTCAACAAACATTCCTTCATCTCTTGCTAGCCAGAACTAACATGTCCATTGTTTGACCGTTGGCTAGCAGGAGAGGACTTCCATGATTGGGTTAGACCAATCAAGACAAACTCCCTGTACTGGAAAGGCAGCAGGATTGTTCTCCCTTGAAGTGTATGGCTGAATAAAGAAGAATAGCAAACCTGACCATAATCTGATCTCTGTTAGGAAGGACAGGGGAAGATATCTGATATGACTGGAGAGGTAAGTAGGAATTTAGTACACAAAGAAGCAGATTGCTTCGTTCCAGAAGGTGGAATCTACAAGCTTCCTAATCTCTAAGGTTTGGAGGTACAGATCCAGAGGGAGGAGATAGGAGATGGTGACAAGTATAGTTCTAGGGACTCATAACACTTCCTTCTAAGATCTGTGGGTCCTGACGAGCAAGGAGCTGGTGAGTGGGGCTTGGGAAGAAACCTCAAACTCACCAAAGGGAGAGTAAAAGGAAACGATATGCTTTTGGGAGTTTGAATTGCAGTGACAGCGAAAAAGGAAAATGCATTTCCCTGCCATGTAGAAACAGAATCCCAACAGGAAAGATGTCATTTGTGCCATTACCTCCAGGGCTTAGCAGTGCTCTATTCCTAGCTTAAAGTAGTTTGAGTAAATGTGAAATGTGGAAGAATTTATTGTGCTGTGTGGCAATCCTTTGTGTGTTACGTGATTCACTCCCAAGGTTCCACTTGGGCTTCTTGACAAATAAACTTCTTTCCCCTCTTACCCTATTTTACAGGTAAGGAAATTGAGTCTTGGGAAGAAGCGAGTGACATAGCTGAGGTCCCACAGCTAGTAAATAGAGGATTCCTGGCCTCTGTTCATAACATGACCATCGTCCAATAGCTTAGAAAAATGCTGGAAATAGTTTTATTTGCAAAGGAGAAAAAGACCAAATAAGAACAAAGCCCAGAGGTGGGCAGTGAAAGGGTGGATGATCAGTCTCTGCATCCCCTACCTACTTCCACACCACCTGGCCTTGATGCTGGGGTTGTGAGTCTTGAACCCACATCCATCAGAGAAGAAAGAACCTGCAATGCATGCGAGAGGTAGGGGGTGAATACCATACTGTTCTATTTTTCTGTCCCTTCCTAAAAAGTCTTTAAAATTTCATTTTTTTTCCTTTTTCTCCTAAGAAGAACACCACAAACACACAGCTTTGGCATGTGTCTCCCTCCAGCAGCTCCGCCCTTGTCCTCCCCCCTCCACATAGCCTCTCTCTTTATCCCTTCACACCAAACACTTTCAAAGTTAATTTCAAAAAGCTGGGAACACTTGATAGTTTTAATTAATCCTATGCCTGGGGAAATATGATTTTGTGCATCCGAGGCCTCTCAGCTTCTCTCGATAGATAGCTTGTTCTGGATAATGCTAGCGTTTCCAATTTAGCTGTGATTATGCCACCAACTCCGTTTGTTTGTTTGTTTGTTTATTACCTAAAAGAGAAGCTAATGCTGATGTGTGTCCTTAGGAAGGGATTTCTAGTTTTCCTAATAATGCGTCCTAGTTAAGCAGCGCTGTAGGTCTTTCATGGTGTTCTCACAGTAGCATCTTGGCAGGGACCCCATGAGACGGGGAGGGAAGTCACCATCCCCCACGCAGAGAGGAGGAAACTGAGATTCAGAGCGGTTTGGTGATGTGTGCGCAGTTGTTCATTTAGGGCAAGCGAGGTGCACACCAAAGCTGACTAGTTTGTAAATCAGGATTCATTGCACAACAACTCATTTTTCTTCTTGTGAGAATTCCACTGAGATACTGTGCAAACCACTGCCAGGTGGGCCAGTTGGAAAGGTAGCTTTTGGTCACTTTCAAGTGGAGGGGTATTTTGCAGTTTGGGAAATATTTATTGCTGCCACGCCGATTGAAGTTCAGGGTGCTGAGGCATGAGACCTGTATCACAATTCTTCCTCATATTACCTGGTCCTCTCCAGTCCAGCCAGCTCCATTGCACAGCAAGAGGGCACACATCATTTGACTAAAATGCAAGAGACCCTTGGAGTGCAAGAAACACCAGTAAGTAAGTGGTAGGTAAATAATTCCATATTCTTGGCTGGTTGCAATGGCTCACCCCTGTAATCCCAGCACGTTGGGAGGCTGAGGCGGGAGGATTCCTTGAGCCCAGTAGTTTGAGACCAGCCTGGGCAACAAAGGGAGACCCTATAAAAATTTTTACAAATAGCTGGGTATGGTGGTGTGTTCCTGTGGTCCTGGCTGCTTGGGAGGCGGAGGCAGGAGGATTCCTTGAGCCCAGAGTTTGAGATTGCGGTGGAGCTATGATCACACCACTGCACTCCAGCCTGGGTGACAGTGTGAGATCCTGTCTTAAAAAAAAAAAAAAAAAAAAAAAGGAATAGCTCCATATCTTGGCAAAGGTCCCAACTTAAGGTACCTTTTACAGTAGTCCTATTCAATTTTTATATGAGTTAAGTCTATTTTGGCTTAAAGTAATGGAAAATCCAACTCAACTGGTGACAAACAGTCCAGTTCTAAGTCTGGTGTAAGATGTGGTTTGAGGCGGGAGCTCAAACAATGTCTCCGTGATTCAAATTTTCATCTCTTGACTCTCCTTCCTACTGTCTCCATTCTCGGGCAAGCAAGCTCTCTTTCTGTGGTTGAAAGATGACCACAGTGGTTCCAGGTCTTGTCTTCTTTCAACTTCAAGTTTTTGAGAAAGAAGAAAAGCTTCTCCTGGTGGTCCCACAGAAACCCCTGAGGATCACTCTGATTGGCTTGGTGAAGTTATGTGTTCACTGAGGATCACTCTGATTGGCTCAATCTACAAACAGCTGATTGGTTGGGTGGAGGCCATGTGCTTCACACCTGGTGCTGGGGACAGAGTCAATCTCACCCAAAAGCTGGTGGAGTAAGAATGGGAAGAGGGCTCCCCAGGAAAAATCAGAATAAAATTATCAGCAGAGGAGGGATAGATGCTGGGTAGACAGCCCCCTGCACCCCCACAAAGTAGAGTGTGTTCTGCTTCCTTTTCTCGTTTTCACTTTGAAGTGAAAGTGACTGGAATGATTACATCCATCTCCCTTAATAACCAAGGAAGCAAAATCTTTTCTGATTGAGTCCTCAGCCCACAGCTGGGTTTTAGATACCTCATGTGAATGTCCTTCTTGGATTCCTCCCTCAGAATCTTCCTAAACTAAACTTCCACTTCTCACACCTCTTGGATTAGGGCTTCTAAATTCTTCAGGTAAGATAACACTCCTCTCGCTTCATTTGAACCCAGGGTTCTCTAAAAACCTTGTTTATTTACAATTTGAACTCTTGCCTCCCACTATTTACTTTACTTAGCATCACTAGCTGAAACCTAGTTTCTTCCATCCTGCCCTAAATGACTCCTACTTTCTTGGGAAGACTCCTTTATCAAGTGGACTTCTTTTGGTCATCTTCTTTTTTTTTCCGAGAGTCCATTTTTCCTTTTTCTCCCCATGGCTCCATGCATGTATGCACTCTTGGAAGTAGAGACACATGCTGGGGAAATTAGAATAGAACCTTTTTAGCTTCTCTACATGTCCCTCTCTAAGGAAATGGAAAGTAAACACAGCATGTCACCCACTAAGCCAATATGAATACATGCAATCATTATTATTGGGGCTTTGCCAACTACTTCCAATAAAATAAGCATGAGTCTCAATCTTCTCATCATATTTCAGGAAATCAGAAAATCATAAGCATGCTTGAGACTTCCTGGGAGATGATGCTACTTTCCTTGTCTATCCATTTTGTTTGCTTGGTTTTTTTTTTGGCCAGTGGGTGGATTATAGGGACACTGGAATCCTAATACACCTAATCTAATGAGAACAGACTTCAGAACACTCATCCCTGTAGGCTTTTAATAAGCAAGGAGATAAGAGTTCTCCCAGTTGTTGACTCAAGCACTCCATTCAAACCTCTAAGATATATTCACCCAAAGTGTTTTTTTCCCTCATGATTTTGATGAATTTGTCCCCAGTTCAAGAGATCCTCCAATAGTAGGGAGGATGTAGGTATGCATGGGCTTGGAGAACATTTTTTTTTTTTTTTTTTTTTTACAAAGTATCTTGATATTTTTGAAAGAAAAGTGAAAGTCAGGAGGCAAAGGCCAAGAGTGAAGACAAGACAGTGGTGGGTCTTCAGATGTGATCAAGACAGGTCTTTGGCAAAGCCCAGGGGCCTTTGGGGCCAGCAGCTTCCTCAATGCAGGTTGACTGGACTGTAATCACATGTGCAGCTCTTCATATTGTCTTGGTGGATGACATTCTGTGTTGACTTTCTTGGACTACAGTCTAGAATGACACATTTCTAGATGGTGGGGACAGCATCTTCATCTTATTATCCCAAAGGACTTCACATAGCTGCAAGTTCAGTGGTATTGATTAATGAAAGAGTGACTTACTATAAGGTTGGTGCAAAAGAGATTGTGGTTTTGCCATTGCTTTCAATGGCAAAAATTGCCATTACTTCTGCACCAAACTAATAAATGCATGCAAGTACAAATGAGTGAATGAATCAGTGTGAATAGAGCCGCTTGTAAAAGCCTGTTTAGTGTGATATGTCACTGAGTCCAATTCAACACCTGTTTTATTGATAAATTAGGGAAGTTAGGGACCTAATGATACTATAAACCTTGATAGCTTCATGCCTAAAAGCAGTCAGATGTGACAACTATTACTGAGGTAAGATAAGCTTGAAATAATTTAATTATTTGTTTTCCCTTATGAAATCATTTCTTTCTCTTAGGGGTCTTTTTATGTGACTCTTCCAGCTTCCCAAGAAGGCAGGAAGGTGAAACCAGGTGCTGGGACTCTTTTGTATGTAATGACACTGTCCTGATTCAGCGGCAAAGATGTCATGGTTCTGTTATCAGCCAAGTGCTCCTTCTGCTTGTACTGTTCAGGAGTTCTCCCAAGCCTGTTGACGGAGATGCCTGGTGGAGGTGGAAGACATCCACCATCATGGCACACTCATGAGCCAATGTGTTCCTCAATGAATTAATAAGAAACCTAGGAAAGGACATTGATTTGTTTTCAGTTGGGGAAACACTAGAATCAGATCCAGGGATCCTACTTCTCAGGCCCAGAGATATTCCCCAGGCCCTCATTGTTTTTCCCTTTCTGACTCTTGCAGAGCCTTCTTTAAGGCCCTGTATTGGGTCTTGAGCCTCCGCTGTCTAAGAACAAGGGACAAAGGCAACATCCTCCACAGCCTTTGGTCATCCCAGCTTGGTAATGGGATGTCGCATGAGAGAAGGTCTCTCTCTTACTGTTCCCTCTGCCTCTTCCTGCAGGCAATTTGTTCTGACAAACACATAGAAGCTGGGTAATGGGGAATGAAGCCCTCCGGCAGCAGAACAGGAGGATGCAAATTGATAAATAAATAATTGTTGAATTAAACCAGAGATTCACAAACTTCAGGAGACGTGGGGTAAAGGAAAGCTTCAGACCTATCCCTGATGATGAGGAAGGAAAGGAGCAAAGTATGGGGCACAGAAAGGATCCCTGGAAACTGTTCTAAGGTCTTGCTACCCCAGATTTGAATCCTGGCTTCACTTTTTATTAGCTGTGGCCTTTAGACAACTCAGTCAACTTCATTGGGCATGTGTTTCATTATCTTTATTATAGGAATAGTGCCTACCCTACAGGGCTGTTGTGGTAATTACCCAAGGCAATCCATCATTCGTTCATTCATTTATTCTCTATAGAGATTAGATATAGATAGATCTATATAGATCTATATGTAGATATCGATATCTAATCTCTATAGAGAGATATAGAGATAGATCAATACAGATTGATCGATTGATCTATCAATTGATCTATCGATTGATCTATCAATCAGTCAATGAGGGTTAGTGAAGTAAGTGCCTATCAGAGTTTCATATTTCCTGGCAGATATTAGGTTCTGAGAATGATATATTTGCCTTTTTGTTTGGGACCTTGGTTTTCTCCCAGGAACCATGCAGTGATGGTCTCAAGGGACTCATCTACTCTAACATTTAATAATACAGACAGTCACCCTCCCAGCTCAGCAACAGTCTGGCTGTGGAAGCCGGGTTTTCTGCTTACAGCATAGACCTGTCATAGAAGCCAGCCTCCCACCCTGGTGCCTGAGCTCTGCCATCCGGCTGGCTTTCAGGAAACCACGCCTGTGCAGCGGTTTCGAGCCAGTTAGCATCAGCTGGCATTTGCAAGCGACATTTAAAGGTCACCTCTGATCCTCCTGCCGGGGAAACAGGGAGGGAAGGCGCAGCAGAGAATGTGGACTTGGGTTGAATCTAATGAGCTTGGGCAAGAAGCTAGGAGGCTGCAACAGAGAGGAGTGGAGTGGGAAGGGCTTATGGGAGAAACTCAGGCAGGGAGCCATGCCCAGGAAGAGTGGGAGGATCCTCTCAGGTCTGGAAAGAATGGGGGCTTTGAGCTAGTGTGCCTCATCTACCCTGGTATGGGCATATGCAGGTCCTGGAGTTTGTGTCCTCTAAGAAGTATGCGTGGGGAGGAAAAGGTTGATGGAAAATGCATAAAGAAGGGTCCTTCCTTAGAAATCCTTTATCCTGCTTGAGGGACAAGTTCACCATATGGCTAGAGAGGTTCAGTGAGCATTTTTTTCTGAACCAATAATTAGGACATGTGTCATAAAATCTGACTAGCCAATACTCCATCGTGTGGGGGAGAGTTCATGGACATCCTATTTGAAATCAAGACTACCTTAGGAAATAGGAGACACTTGGAACCCATGTAAACAGGTGATTGGGACTAGAGCACCACTGTTCTCAAAGAAGACAGTGCTACTGATGGAAATCAAAAGGGTGATGCATTGATCCTGTGTTCAGAGAGCTCTTTGATAATGAGGACGATGGGGAACACGTGCCCTCCTGTCAGCCCTGCCAGCCCTAATGTGCTCATTAGCCTCTCCTTTCCTCCTGGAGTCTGGGCTTTCCATGCCTCTGCCATTCCCCTTCTCTCTACACCCCAACAATGACCCCAAGAGTTGCCTCTTCCCCACCATGCTGAAGCAACATCGTTGTCTGAGGTAATACCCGAGGTTCGTTGCCTCATGCGAAGAAAATTAAGGACACGGACCCACATGAGGAGTGAGTTTAGGAGTGGAGGTTTAATGGACAAAGGAGGACAGCTCTCTCTATTGCAAGAGAGAGGGGCACCCGAATGGGACTTCTGGGCCTTGGTGGAGTATGCCAGATTTTATAGACAGGCTTGAGGAGGCCGTGTCTGATTCACATAGGGCCCAAAGATTGTTTGGACCAGGTGTGATGTTTACATAGTGCACGAAGAAACTAAGCACCACATCCTAATCTTATTATGCAAATGGAGTCTCTACTTGGCCAGTCCCATGTTGACTGCTCGTTACTGTGCACGTGATTGACAAGGAAAGGGAAAGATGGAGCCGCCATGTTGGACATGCCTAGCCCCGGGTAGACTTTTCCTATTGGCACACTTGCCAGCATTAACCTGTGCAAGCTTCTAGCTTGCTTATGTCTGCAGCTTGATTTTGTAGGCTGTTCTTTGTTAGAAAAGAAAATGATTTGGGGGCTGCTTTTTCATTAAAAGGAAAACCTTCCTGAGGACTTCTTACCCTCACTACTTGCTTAAATACTTTGTTCTTAACTTCTATGTCAATGCCACATGCACTTGTGCCTGTCTGGTCCTGTGCACCCTCCAACTAGGGAAGGGATGCCTGCCTAGCATTGGTGCTGATCGCAGCTGGGCTTGGGTGTGGGGCACAGTAGCGATGGAAATGATTGCTCGTCTCTCTCTTAAGGGAGGCATTTATCACATGGTTCTGTTCTGGAGGCCGTGTGTGTCTTGCAATCACTTGGGAGGGGTCATGGAAATTGACTTGCTTTCCATCTTTTGTGTGAAGCCTATTGTCACCCCCCGGTACGCCATATAAACCTAAACCAATGTTGAATGTTAAATAAAACACTACCAAGGCTTTACAGCTTCCCCTCTCTTCCCAGTTTCCCTGTCCTTCTCTCCATATTTGAGTCATGCCTGGAATGCTCAGAAGTGGGTCTCTGGCCAGGTGGGATGATTCCTGAGCCCCTCCATTCCCCCAAGCCCTTTCTCCTGCCCTACCTTGTGCCCACGAGGCTGCGCCATTTCCATCCTTGAGGACGTTTCCACTATGTCTTCAGGAATCCCCTGCTAAAATGCAAGCACTCTGGGGAGGGTCTAAACTGCATTAAGCTAAAAGCACATTAAGCTGCTGTCAGTTTAGCCAGGACATTTTGGTGGGGATTAATTTATCAGGCCTCTTTCAGATGTGACACCTAGTTGAGAGGGATTTGGATTTAGGACTGAAGGAGTATGGTGGCAGGGAAAAGAGGGAGAGACAGACAGGAGGAGCCCTCAGAGGGGAAGCTGGCTGTGGGGGTGGGGGGTAGAGGGTGGGCGGTGGTGGTAGTGCTGGGAGGGAAGGTAGATAAAGTACACAGCTGGTGAGGACACAGGAAGGAGAAAGCTGGCAAGGGCTTCAGGGGCTGGCCTGGCCTGGCCAACAGCTGTGCAAGGGCAGGCCTCATGCTCCGGCAGCACAGATGCCTCCTTCCTGGCATCTTGGGGCCCAGAAGCCAGGACAGTCTCAGGAGTACAGCAGTTGACTGCTGGCAGTGACTCCCTAGAGGCAGCAAGCAGCTGTTCTGTTCCCGCCCCCATTTGTTCAGGGTTTTTCCTCTGATCTGTGAAATGCTTTGTGCACCCTTATTTTTACAGGCTGATCTCCACAGGGACTTTAGCATAGCTTCTCCCTCACCTTGCTAAGCATCGCCCAATCCTTGGCTGTTCCCTCAGGGTGAGAGATTTTTCAAAAACAGAAACAAAGGGGCTAGAGTCTGAGCTGTCTTTAGCCTTGGCCCTTCCTTGGGGGCATTAGTGACACAAATCTGAGGCAGCCTTGTGGCATTACACAGAGATCATCCGAGGGACTGGAGAGAGCCAGGTCTCTTGTTTAAAGAAGAGTCCTTTTTTTTTTTTTTTTTTTTAAGTAGGAAGAGAAGGCTGAGAATGAGGTTGAGGAAGAAGAGGAGAAAGGAGGAGAATGGTGTTTATGGACTTTCTGCTATGTCCCCAGACTGTGGTAGGCATTTCACACACACCTTGTTCTCTCCTGCCCCAGGCGTGAGATGTCACAGTCGTAATCACTCTAGTCCTGCATATGACTCAGATTCAGTGACTGGCCCAGCTGGTAAAGGGGGCTCTGGTTCCCAAGCCAGGGTGGTCTGACTCCAGAGGGGAGGAAATCAATGCGAGTAGAGCAAAGTGAAAGGAAAAACAAAAGAAAAAGCTGCTTCTGGTAGAATTAAGTCTCTGCCACACTCTGGCCCATGTTTATAGGACAGTGCAGTCAGGATGAGGTGGAGATCCTGGGATATCTTCCACTTCACTCTATGGACTTGCCCCGAATTCTTTGTTGTGTGAAGTCCAAGAACCCTCTCTTGGGGTCTGGATTGGGACCCTTTGCTGGTAACAATTCCATGACCATTCTCATCTTGAGACCTGTCACATTCAAAGCATCTAACTCTTGCCAGTCAGGACAGAGTGGTCTTAATTCCTTAAATCATGGCGAGCTCAGGTCCTAGGATACTTTCATGTTAAAAAAATTTTCCTGTGAGCTGCTGCCCAAATAGAGAAAATAAAGGGGCGAGGGAGATAAAACCAGGCAAGAAAAACATGTCAGCTGAGTCATAAGAGGCTGGATCACCTTCCCTCCACAGGGCTGGTTATTAATACTCAGAATTCTTATCCATTCATTAGTGTGGCAAGCACTGTCTAGTGACAGGTTAATTACACAGTTCTGGGTAATTAGAAAGTAAATATATGTTAAGAGGACACCACTGTCAAGATAAAAACTGTCTATTAGAAAGCCCTCTCGCATGGTGAATTCCACCTTCATCTTTTCAACCTGAAAGGATTTTTTTTCGTTGTTGGCTTGAGAAAAATCTCCTCTGCTGCTCCCTCTAGCTAAGATGTATTTAGTTCTGCTTCTTCCTCACCTCTCTGCCTCCCACCTTGGTCATGCATCTTGCTGGTCCACTTTGGAGCTCTGCTTCTTTTCTGGGGTAAATGTCTCTAGAGTCAAAACCCTTGCAGGTGGGACTTAAAGCTCTAGTGTGGTCTGGAGAGGTTTGGGAGGAAATTCTGATTCCTCTGGGGCTGGGTGAAGTGAAGGTCATGGGGGTAGGAAAGAAGATGACCCCGTTGAGCATAAATTTGACTTCTTCTGTTGCTGCATGACTAGGTGAAATGGAGGCACTTCTCAGACTGTTGCGATATAAAGTGTGGGTGCTATTAAAGCAGTGACACCCTAGAAGACGGAGATCCATTTACTCGTTAATCCTAACCCCAAAGACAATGCAGAGCTGGTCTCTGCAGGCTTTTCTCATGCTTGCTCTCCGAGGGTGAGCTCCCTTCCATCCACTAGCACCTGGAACACTGAAGTCATAGAAAGACCCATGGATAAGACTCCACGGGTGTGGCTCTGCCCACCTACAATGGCCAGAGACCCCACCAACCCTGGCTGAGGATTTGAACAACAATCACAACCATGTAAATTAGGCTTATTCTTGGTGAGGTGTAATGAATGACCATCTCCACGGATAGGAAGCCGTAGGCTACTATTTTCACAGGCATCTCTTAGCAAGAAAGTGCTCCACGGTGTAAACATTTCTGTGTAGTTTTAAGTGATTTGATTCAAGTTGCTTTAGAATCAGGGTCTATAGTTAGTCTAAAATACCATTCGTTCCTGGTTTGCTCTAGTATAGGGGATTAGTAAGTTCGGCTAAGCTCTCACATCTCCTCCATGAGCCACGCGTTGGAAACTTGAGCACTTAGCTCAAAACCCAAGTTGGGCCATTTCTGCATCTTTACCTCTCTCCCCACTCTAGCAGGCCTAGGGAATTTATTTTAAAAAGCCAATGAAAAGCCAGATGAGTGTCTGCGTCTACCTCCTTTCTTCCTTGAATTCATCCATGTATTCAACCAATGGTTACTGAGTTTCAACTGTAGCCAAGTGCTGAGCTGTGTGTTGGATACACAACTCTAAATTGACCAATCACTGCTCTCAAGGAGCTCATAAACATGACGGAGAGATGAATAAAGAGGCAGTTACCAGACAGAGTGGTAGGAGGCACTGCTTATGTATGGAAGTCATGAGTGTTGAAGGAGCAGAGATGAAAGCATGCCTAACATCACCTTGTCTATGAGAACACCTAATATTGCCTTGTCCGTGAGAACATCTAATATTGCATTGTCTGGAAATGCTTAAAGGATGAGATGAAATTTTCCCCAAGCCAATAACTGACCTACTTAAGAAAAATCTCCTCTGCTGCTCCCTCTAGCTAAGATGTATTTAGTTGTGCTTCTTCCTCACCTCAGTAGCCACAGAACCAGGTCTGGCACCCAGATCTTCTGATTCTTTAACTAAGGCATGGGGTACCAGCCACACTGTTGGATATCAGAAGCTGGTGCAGAGCTGTTGGTTAAATCTGAGTCTCAGTTATGTGTCATGGCCACTCTGTGGCTAGCAAGAGGCCACAGCTCCACTGGGGGCCAGAAGCCAGTTAGCAGTGAGAGGATGAGGGTCTTGGGGTAAGGGGAAGAAAAGCTCAGAGCACAAACACTGGGAGATTGGGGGGTCCATGGCAGATCTCAGGACCCCCACTCTTCTCCTCAGCACCTCCTTCTCTTTGGGACTGTCCTCTGACTTCATCTGCCTCTCTGCTGTCAGGGGCCTTTCCAAATGTGAACTGATGCTCTACTAAGCAGCCTGGCTTCCTGGTGACATTCCTGACATGACATTAATGGGGAAAATGGCGAAATGCATCCCTTGGGCCAAGGAACATTGATTTTTCGTTTAGACCCCTTCACTAAGCATCAACAACAGATTTGGCAGGTTTGATTAGGTTTTTCCACAAGGGCTTAAGGCTAGGCAGGAGAGAGTGATCAGGCTCAAAAGAATTGGAGAGTCAGGATAGAGTGGATGTAATTCCTTAAATCATGGTGTTGAAATGGAAGTGGGTGGTGAGTATAAAGAAGGGGCAGAGAACTGCGAGGACTGGGTTAGGAGGCACTTCTTTATGTATTTTTTTCATTGAGAAAGAACAATGCATTATGGCCTCCTTCCAAAGTCAAATATCTGTCAAAGCTCAGGATGCTGGGATCTGGAGTGCTTGTTCCCAAAAGAAGTATTATAACTCTTTTTTGAGGGAAACCTTTATTTATTTACTTACTTACTTACTAACTAGTTTAGAATATTCTACAGAGACAGGGTCTCACTATGTTGCCCAGGCTGATCTCAAACTCCTGGGCTCAAATGATCTTCCTGCCTCAACCTCCTGAGTAGCTGGGACTACAGGTGCTTGCTACTAGGCCCGGCTAATTTTTTTAAATTATTGTAGAGACAGGATCTTGCTATGTTGCCCAGGCTGGTCCCAAACTACTGGCCTCAAGTAAGCCTCTCTCCTTGGCCTCCCAAACGCTGGGGTTACACGTGGGAGCCACTGCACCAGGCCAAGAAAAAAACCATTAAAATACTTCCCTCTGGAACTGCTCCCCAGACTCTGTTGGTCTCATGCTTTGGCGTAGGCATCGGGATAGAACTGGTTTCTTATAACCAGCAAGCGCTGATCTTTTTCTTTTGTAACTAAAACTTTTCCTTTAAGAAAATAAAATATGATGGCTAGGAAATGCCCACCAGAGACTTCCACCCAATTAAAACTTTTCCTGTAGTTGGGTAGAGCTCAACTTGTTCTCCGTCAAAAAAAAAAAAAAAAAACCCTCAATTATCATGAAATGCATTCCTTGCTCTGGCACAATAAATAAAGCATTTCCACAAAAGAATAATATTTATATTATCATCAGGAATAGAAAAAGAAACACACCAAATGAAAGATGCCGGGAATAATCAGCAATGCCATTTCTACTGTAGTTCTTGAACCTCTTAATGCAGCAACACGCCAGCCCCAACCCCCTGGCTCGGCTCTATTTAAATATACATATCTCTCTGTGTGTATATATCTCACTCCCTGAATATATAGAGATAGATAGATATATATTATCTCTTTAAAATATTAAAATAAATTACATCTTTGCACAGAATACAGACATTAATTCTGTTTCCAGGAGATTTGTCAAATCAGTGGCCTCTGTTTGCATAACAAGCTCTTTGGTTACGCTGTGCAGAATATAAATTACCATGTTGTCAGCTCCAGATGAAAATCACCAGATTTTCAGCAGAGTCGCCTCCATTGATTAAGAAGAGCTTTATGTTATGTGTCCAGGTAATGTCTGTCAGTACCTGGTTCTTCTTGGAAGTAGCTGTCAGTTCAGAAAGACTGAAAATTCCAAAAAATAGGGAATGAGGGGTCATACTGTGATTGGAAAGCTGCCCTCTCCACGCCCCACCCCCTTTTATAGAGAACAGAATTCCTTTCCTTTACTTCATTCATTGAATTTCATACATGCAAGGGTGCATGCACGCACACAGAGACACACACAGCTTCTGTTCTGGGTTTTGAATTATTGGGTGGAACAGTGGACAACTTCCAGATTTAGGACAAAACCTTTGCATGCATTTGGATCATTCTGAGGTTTAAGGCATAGAAGGCTCAAAACAGGCTTACAAACTCCAAAATCCCGAGAAACAGAATTTGTTCTGTCTCTAAGTGTTGTAAATAAGGCTTCTAACAATAGTTAATAGTTCATGAATGCCTAGTATGTGTCAGACACTCTGCTAAGTGCTTTATGTGTACTGTGTCTATATCTAGTTCTATGATAGGTACTGTTACTATTTACCTGTTAGAAATTAGGACACTGAGAGATAGAAAGCTCAGGAAACTTGCCCAGGGACCACACACAGGAAGCTGTTGATCTGGAAATCGAATTCAGGTCTGTCTGAGTCAAGAGTCCAGGCTTCTGAGGCTTTTGACAGGCTCATGGCACTATGCTGCATTTTGATACCTTCTGCATCTCTGAGGACAGCATAAGGCTTCTCGCCCGGCGTTCCAGGGTGGTCAGTTCAAATGATAGTTGATTCCTGGCTGCTCTTGTTGGCTTGAATGGGAGATTAGATAAAAATGTTTGAGAATTTCCCTGTACTTAGTGTGGGAATTTGAAGAACCAGAATGGTTTAGTTACTTCCTGCTTCTCCCACTCCTCTGCCTCTGTTCACCCAAACGTACATTGTCATCTCTTTAATGTCCATGAAATTTGAAACTGAAAGGATGGTTAACTGGTCTGCATGCTTATTTTACACATGAGAATACAGAGGTCCAGGCTAGGCAAATGACATGCACAGGGCGGCTCAGTTTGGGGCAGACCTAGGGTTGGAATCTTCCCCAGTTTTCTGGATCCCTATGTATAGTCCAGAAAGAGTTCGTCTAGGCTGGCTTCGAATGGTGCAGAATCAGGCCAGGATGAGCTTCTGGAGCCATGCTGAGGGATGCTGTGGGCTCTGGGCTGGAGGAAAACACAGCCAGCCCTGACCTGACCCAATGCTACAGCGTTGTGTTCAGTGAGTGAACACAATGGGCATTTGGTTTGCTCCCCCTAGATTCCAGAACGCTAGGTCCGTAGGTGATTTTATGTTGCCTTTTTACAACTGTGGTATTTCCTCATGATCAGTTACAGTTGTAAAATATATCTAGAGTTGTTTTCAGAAGCTGTAAAATTTGCCTCTGCTCTGTTTCCTTTTAGAAATTTTCAGTTCAGGAAGATCAAAGGCCAATGGAGAGAACAAAATTTAACTCTGATTTCAGCCATTCTTTTTCCAGTCTTGAAATTTCTCCTTCCAAATTACATTTACATCAAAAACATTTCAGTCTGTAATTTTCATGACAATACATAAAAGTCATCTCTTGGTTGAGCAGACATAGGAAAACTTCCTGGGCTTCTCTTCAATGTTCACGGCAACCTTTGTTCCATCGAGCCCAATTGTCCCCTGAATAATAGCAGTAGGAACAGTGATCAAAATATGTTGCTTTTATTTTCCCATTTAGCAGCAGGACTAGATTAAGCTGACACCAGATGTGTCCAAATAGGTCTGAGGAATCCTCAAACAGATGATTTTTAGTGATTTTCTGCTACTGACAAAGAACATAGACTTAGGAATTCATAAACTGGTGTAGCAGAGACTCCTGGTTACTTCTGAAATTCACACTTCCTTTTATATAGTAACAGAGCGCAATTTTTAATTGAATACTTTGTTCTCCAGATAAAAGGGATTTCCAGCAATCTTTTGTGACTAAGGCCACGTGGTTAAGTTTTAGCCAATGATCTGTAAGGGAAAGTGTCAAATGAGGGTTGCAAGAAGTCTTGTAAAAGAAGTCTTGACAAAAGTCTCTTTTTTTTCCATTTGGATGCTTGGATCATAAAGGTGATATCTGGAGCTCTAGCAACTTTCCAGAACCATGACAACGAGGACCACATCTTAGAGATAGTGGGAGAAAGCTAGAAAGAGCTTCATCTCTGATGACTGGAGATGTGCTATGATACCCACTGACAGCTACCTCTGGATTTTTTATTTAAGAAAGAAATAAAACTCTATTATGAGATGCCAGTATTTTTCAAGTGTTTGTTAATCTCAGCTGAGTCTGGTCTTGGGCTCAAATTTGTCTTTTTTTCCCCAATAGTTTTTGGGGAACAGGTGGTGTTTGGTTGCATGAAAAAGTTCTTTAGTGGTGATTTCTGAGATTTTGGTGTACCTGTCACCCAAAGAATGTACACTGTACTCAATGTGTAGTCTTTTATCCCTCACTCCCCTTCCACCGGTCCCCCAAGTCCCCAAAGTCCATTTATCATTCTTACGCCTTTGCGTTCTCATAGCTCAGCTTCCACTTGTAAGTAATAACATACGATGTTTGGTTTTCCATTCCTGAGTTACTTCACTTAGAATAATGGTCTCTAGCTCCATCAAGGTTGCTGCAAATACCATTATTTCATTCCTTTTTATAGCTGAGTAGTATTCCATAGTATATATATGTATTTGTATGTGTATATATGTAAAGAAAATGTGATATACATATATCTATTTATAAAGAAAATGTGATATACATACATCTATATATAAAGAAAATGTGACATACATATATCTATAAAGAAAATGTGATACATATCATATATAAAGAAAATGTGATATATGTGATACATGTATATCATATATGTATATATGTATATATCATATATACATATCACGTTTTCTTTATCCACTCATTGGTTGATGGGCATTTAGGCTGGTTCCATATTTTTGAAGTTGTGAATTGTGCTCCTATAAACATGCAAACTTGTCTTCTATCATGCTGACCTTCAATTTCCTTGCTTACTAATTAGACTTATGGGTTTCTACTTTTAACATTTTCTGAGTTGTTCTGAGAGTTGAACATTTAATAAATGCCGAGTAGAGGCAATGCATGGCTCTGTTCCTCCTACTTTGTCTCTCCTAATATTTTCAGGGTGTTGTATGTTTCACCAGCTGGCTATAAAATCTGTGTAACAAGAAAGTTTAGCACAATCAAGAGGTGAACCATATGGATAGGTGGCCAAACTAGAAATACAGAGTGTCATTGCTCAATTTGGTTTGATGCAGGTGAAAGAACTGACCAGACTTTGAGTTTCTCTCTCACTCCAAGGTTTTTAGCTTCTTTCCACAGTGTAAGCCATAGCTCTTTTTCACAGTTGCCCTGTTTACTAAGGAAATATGGGCCTTACTGCATGTTTTCTTCAGGTATTACACCTGTAAAAAGGCTTAGCTTTGCTCCACTCAACTTCGTGATAATGTAATTCTTCGAGTCACACAATCTTTACTTGGAGACACTTCTCTGAATTTTTATTTTCTCTCTCGGCTGGTCTACTTCTGCTTAGCTGCGTGATTCCCTACTTTCAAGCCCTTTCTGATGCTCTCTAACTGACTTTCTAGTCAGAACATCTTTAGGTTAAACTTGCAGCTCCTCCAGCTAGAATCCTTTTTACTTTCCGTTTCTCTCTGACATCTCTGTCCTGTCTCACTCAGTTTATTTAATATATATTTTTAAATTCAGGCATATGATCTGTTTGTATAGTGTTCTGCTTTGTATTTACATATAATTTCATTTGATCTTTATAATCACCTTGCTTGGAAAAGGAGGTGGGCACTATTGTCCTCACCTTTGGCATGAGGAGACATAGCCTGGGAGGAGGAGTTAGAGCCTCATGCGAGAGCGCACAGGTTGTTCCTGATGGGGCTGGGTCCAGCAGCTCATCCTCAGATTTCCAGTTTTATGTTCTTTTCATTATGCACCAAAATTTCCTCACCAAATTTGAAAGCCAGTCACGCAGGCTGCCTATCAATGAGGTCTCAAGTTTTTATTATGATTTCTGCTGCATTCTCCAGACAGATTCATTCTGATCCACATTTATTTCTTGAGGATGAAGGATTTGTCACATTTTGTATTTCAGCAACATTTTTATACCTTTCCAAGTGCTTTCTTATACATTATCTTATTTGATATTCACTGTATGTCTATGAAATAGGTAAGGCAGGCACTTATTTTTCTCCCATTCTGTATATGAGGAAATGAATGTCTGAATAATCTAAATGATGGGCTCAAGATCACAGGGAAAATTAGTGACAGAATTGGGACTGTGTCCTCTGATTGGAGAATTACTATTTCAAAGGATGGATATGGAAAGTAGCCTCCTTTGATTACCTAGACCTGATTCTATAGTGAATACTAGGTCAGACCACATGTAAGTGAATCAGGGATGCGCATACTCTTTTTTTTGAGGTTCTGTGGGAGAGGACAGATCCTCCCTCTTCCTTACCATTCTCAGGTCAATCAGTTACCTATTGAAACACTTGTTTTTCTTGTACCTTGTGTCCAGCATTCTTTCGAGTACTACAGGGGCATGGTTCAGCAGGGAAGGCTAGATGATGACCATTTCAAAGGTGACCCTGTCCAGTGCAGAAGTGAGGCTTTAATACTATGAAAGGTCAAAGGAATAAAGTAACAGCGTGATACCACGAGTCCTCTGGGAAGGCTTTGTGGAGGCTGGGGGATAGTCTGACTCTCGGGTCCCTAGAGTCAGTATGGGATCATGGAATGCGCTCTGAACTGTATGCCCGTACACAATTTGAGCCTCAGCCCTCCCACTAACCTTCTCAGTGGTCTTGGGTAAACCACTTGACCTCCTTAGACCTTAGTTTCTACATCTTTACCATGAGAAGTTTGGACTAGCTTTGGAGGGCCCATATTAATGCATTTGGGCTGCCAAGATAAATACCACAGATCTGGTGGCTTAAATAATGGAGATTAATTTTTTTTTCACAGCTCTGGAGGCCAGAAGTCCAAATTCAAGGTGTCAGCAAGGTTAGTTTCTCCTCAGGCCTCTCTCTTGGCTTGTATATGGCCCTCTTATTCTCTTTGTTTTTGTATAGTCTTTCCTATGTACCTGTCTGTGCCCAAATTCTCTCTTCCTAAAAGGACACCAGTCATATTAAATCAGGGCCCATCAGAATAACCTCATTTTAATTTAATTGCCCCTTTAGGGGCCCTGTTTTTAAAAATAGTCATATTTTGAGGTACTGGAGGTTAGAACCTCAATATATGAATTTTGGGAGAACAGAATTCAGGCCACAACAGTGCCCACATTGGATTGATCATCTCAATTACCCAGGAGGCTTTAACAATAACATTTTTCTGAATTTAGAATCTACTGCCTAAGAACCACAAGAAAGCAATGGAGCCCTGAGATCTGCCTATTTCAAGAGGTCACCAGGTGATGGCATGCCTGGTCATGTGTGGGACCTGCTGCACTAGAGGGTCTCCAGAATCCTATCATCTTTAATGACCTTTGTGCTTAAGAATCCAGAAAGAGGAGGAAAGGGGACACCCTTAGGGAGGGGTGAGAGATATCTAAGCGGTGTCCCAAAGGGCTTCCCCTGCTCTTTGGTTTACAGAAACACTGAGACAGATGTGGGAGAGAGAGCCACCCCTCTCTGCCATTCACCCCCAGGATCCTCCTGTTATGTTAATAAAAGAGGCTGAGCTTGGGACTTTTGACGGTTAATTTTATCTGTTTATGTGACTGGGCTAAAGGATTCCCAGATAGCTGGTAGCACATTATTCTGGGTGTGTCAGTGATGGCATTTCTGGAAGTGATTGGCACATGATTTGGTGGACTGAGTAAAGAAGATCCCCTCTCACTAATGTGGGTGAGCATCATTCAATCCACTGAGATGCTGAATAGAATACAAAGGCAGAGGAAGAGCAAATTCATTCTCTGTTTGAGCTGGGACATTTGTCTTCTCCTGCCCTTGGACATGGACGTCGACACTGTTGGTTCTCAGACCTTTGAAACTGGACTGAATTATACCACTGACTCTCCCGTTTCTCTAGCCTACAGAGAGCAGAATGAGAGACTTTTTGGTCTCCATAATCACATGAGCCAACCCCCTTAATAAACTTCTCTCTGTCTCTCGCCATCTCTTTCTCATTCTCAGAGCCAATAGGATGTGTAAACACATCCATATATATATGTATGTGTATACACACACGTGTATAGGTGTGTATACACACGTGTATAGGTGTATATATGTATATATACCCATGTATGTGTGTATATGTATATATACCCATGTATGTGTGTATATGTATACACATGCGTATATATACATATGTGCGCATATATGTATATACGTATATACATATATGCGCATATATGTATATACGTATATACATATATGCATATATACATATATGCATATGTACACATATATGCGTATATGCATACATATGTGTATATACACATATATACGTATATATGTGTATATATATGTGTATATATATGTATAGGTAATATATATTACATATTGCATATGCACATGTATATTTATGTATACACCCTGTTCTGTTTCTCTGGAGAACCCTGAGAACTGATGAATACAGAACTAAAACAAGGGATTCCAGAAAGAATGAGAGAAGAGATGCTAGAGTGGAATACTCAGAGATTCTTACTCAGAGAGTTCTGACCTGTGAAGCAAAGCAATAACTTGGAGGGTAGTTCGCGTTGAAGACAGCATGAGCTTTGAAGGCAAACAGATTTGGTGCAGACCTGATTTCTGCCATTCACTTGTTGTGTGATGCAGGGTGGGTCATTTGAAGTTTCAGAGGCTTGGTTTCTTCAATACATGAGGGGAAATAATGTCAGATGAGCAGAGTGGTTATGAGAACTCAATTAGATGATGCTTGTAAAATGCTTTAGTTCCTGGCAATTAATGGGACCTGCATAATCAATTTCTATTTGCTCTTCTAAAACAAAGTTGATCACACACACACACACACACACAAGGGAGGGGGGCAGTGCAAGGAAAGAATAAGGAGGAGTAGCAGCAAAGAAAGCAGGCATTCCAACATTCTGTTCCAGACCTGCAGGATCCATTGCTGTTTAAGAGGGAAGTGGTTTCCCTTGTTGGGGGCTCATGCTCATTATCTAGTTGTTAAGCCAAAGGTTTCACCCTCAAAGAGTATAACTACCTTAGTGTTCAGCATATATTCCAGGAATGGCCATATAGTCTAATTTGTGCTCCACTGATGACATCACCTTTGACCTGTCAATGATAACAGGTAATATTTACATTTAATCCATCACTTTTTAAAACATATAAATGATTTACTTACACAGTTAACTTGCAAAGTTAAGAGCTAAAGGTTTAATTTTCATCTTTTTTTTTCTTACATCAATTCTGTGTTCCAGACGGGAAACCCAATGTCAGAGGTTAACATAACACCTAAAAATATGGAGCTCCTGATGAAAATCAAGGAAATTGGGGAAAAAAAGGAGGGGGTTGGCGCAGGTGGTAGGGCTCTGTGGAAAGAGCACAGAATTCATCTTAACATTGTTCTCTGGTTGTTCCTCATGTTGGCCTTTTCTCTGCAACTGGGTCATAGATTCCTTGAGGGGAGGTACCATGCCTGGGACATCTGCATGCCCAGTGGCACTTTTGTGCCACTGACACAGAGCAAATGGGCAATGTGCATGCTTGATGGGCTGAGTGGAAGGGACGTGGATGCAGAAGGAAGTGAGAGCTGCCCTAGTCTTGGAGGCTTTGCCTGGGGTCAAGGTGGGTGGTCCTGAGGAAATGGGCACCCCTTTGTCTGGGAGACATTGCTATTCTTGCTGATCATGTAGCTTTGGCATCACAAGATAGATGTGGAAGTAAAGCAGTATGATGGAAGGATCCTAATGTGCTTCCCACCTCACAGCCCCCTCCATGCCGCGTGAGCGCTTCCAAGGAGCCCAAGGGAGCTGGTTACAGTTTAATTTTATTTCTTTTAATTTTATGAGCGAGAACCCCTGGGTTGATCAACATGAAAGAAAATGGTAATTTGCAAAGTTGCTCTTCTTCCCTGCACACTCTCCCCGGTTGTTTACCCGAGGATAAAGTGTCTTTCTTGCAAGGTGCATTTTCCACTCAGCACATATTCTTCTGTGATTAATTTTGCTTTATTTATTGATTAACTTCTCTTCTTTAGTGTTCTGTGCTTTGTTTTGAGATAATTCTCTTCCCTGTCTCTCTATGAATTTAATCTCATTTTGGATCATTCATTTGAGATACAGCTTCTTAAGGGTAAGGACTGTATCTATTTGGTTAATAGTGCTGCTAGGGCTAAATGTTTCTATCCTTCCCAAATTCATATGTTGAAATCCTAACCCCCCAAGGTGATGATACTAAGAGGTGGGGTCTTTGGGAGGTGACTAGGTCATGGGTGCAGAAGCGTTACGAAGGGGATTAGTGCCTTTATAAAAGTGGCCCCAGGGGGAGCTTTTTTGCCCTTTCTACCATATGAGAATGCAGCAAGAAGGTGCCATCTGTAAACCCAATGAGCAAGCTTTCATCAGACCCCGACTCTAATGATGCCTTGATATTGGACTTCCCAGCCTCCAGAACTGTCCGAAATAAGTTTTTTGTTGTTTATAAGATACCTAGTTCAGTCTGTTCTGTTAGGGAAGCCTGAATGGATGATGATAAGAACCTTGCATTTGCCCTGGCTTTTCCTGGAATTGTGAGCCCTGACTTTCAACACCTTACATGTTTCAGGTGGTTGTCTGCACATTTTTCTTCCTCACTCCAAGGGTGCAGCCTCCTCAACCCTTTGCTCCAGTTGACAACCAAATGTCCTGGGGGCATGGTACCACCTGCTTCAGATGGCCTCCTCACCATCTCCACAGAAATCATGCTTCCCTTTTCCTCTGTCCTCCTTCTCCACAGTCAAGTAGAGAGCAAAGAAAATGGGCTTTAGAGTTAAGCAGCCCTAAGACTGACCTCTGGCCTCTTCACTAAACCTGTTGACAAAGTCACTTTCCTGTCCAGTCCCAGTCTATTATTTATTTACAAAATGGGGAAATGCCTTTTAGCAGGTTAAGATAAGGAGAAGACATGAGAGAACACAGGAAAATCATCCAGTGTGGTGCACAGTAAGCATGGAAAATGTTTCTTGGCTGCCCCCAGGCTTAGTCATCTCTTCCTTTCACCTTCCTCCTTCTCTTTCAGCTCTTCACCAGCTGGATCTTCTCTCCCTTTTCTCGTTCCATGTGTGCCTCAAAATATGGACAAAATCACAGCAAGAGGAACATACCTAGGATGCAGCACTAAGAATAGGACAAACTTTCATTTTGGGGGAAACAGTGCCCACATTTGGGCATCTGAAGTTGTGACCAAAAGTTGTCTTTAAATCTTCATAAAACCTCTTTACTGCCTCCTTCTTTTCCAATTAAATCCAGTTTTCTTCAAACGCTGGCACTTGTGATGAATCAGAAACACTCTTCCTCATTCCACGGTATTATTTTTTTTTTCTGTTTTAATGATTAGTATTGCAACAGTATTTTTCCTGCCATATTTCTTCACAAATATAAGTTATTTCAGTTACGTTATGGTTTAAAAAGGCTTTTGAGTAAGAGCCAGGGAAGCTAACCATCATTTTCAACATGGTTTTCTGTGGGAAAATATATTACCTACTTCAAAACAACCTTCTGAAACATGACTATGTAGAACACAGGCTACTTATAAGTTGAAGGTGGTCTCTTACCTTTTATTTCCTGAAAGCTATTTTATATGATTTACTTTGTTTCTCTGAGCTGGTATATTAGGCTGGGATGGCAGGACCCTGTGGTGTGGAGAAGTTAGGTCAGTGGAAATGAGTCACACAGCAGAGTTGAGCCCAAGTTTCCAGTCTCTGGCCTCTCAGGCCACTGCCCCTTCCTCAACCAGGAGACTTTCTAAATTAGTGCCCACTGGAGAGGACTGTGTATTGTGCATGAAACCACCTGTCTAGGTTCAGCAGAAGGCTACCAGCTGTGCCTGACCTCTAAGGTCCCTCAGGCCACCATTCCTGCTGCTCTGCTCCACGAGCCACATTGTCCCTTGTGGGGAAGCATGCTCATTGGTCATGCCATGAGGAGGGCACAGGGCTGTGAGGCTGTGTGTGCGGGAAAGAGATGACTAACACCCCCTGCCACCAGGCCACGTCACTGGCTGCTGCAAATGCCAAGCTGTGTTGGTTCATTTATTCAACAGATATTTGCCAAAGCCCTGTCACATCGCTGTGATAGGTGTTGAATGACACAGCCATGAGCAAACACTAAGGAGGTCCCCACTTTCACAGAGTTTATAGTCTGTTTACATTTAAACAAAGCAGCCTCACGAATGTCGTCTCTGGGACAGATGTGGCTGATGGAAGCAGGTTGAGTCATGTGACACAAGGGAGGGTACAAGCAGAATCTTTCCTTCTGAGATCAGGGTTTCCATTTTAAAAGTATTCATCAGAAAGTCACTGTGCCCAGCACTGTGCTAGACTCTGTGACAGTGAATAAAATGTGATCTTGACTTCAAAGTGCTGATAATTGAGTAAGAGGGGCAGGTGGTGGTCTATCAGTCAACCTTTGCTATGTCACAAATCACTCCAAAACTTTGTAGCTTAACATAAACATTTCTTGAATATCTCATAATTCTTTGGGTCAGAGCCAGGTCTGGGTTGGCTTGGCTGATGTCTGTGGTCAGCTGGCAGCTTTGCTGGGACTGGATGGCCTAGCACAACCTCACTTTGTTTTTTTTTTTTTTTTTTTGGTTGTAAGATTTTTATTTCAAAATGAGCTAAACAAAATGAGCCATTAATAAACTCAGGATTGTTAGTATTCTAAAGACATTTTTATAATTTGAAAGAAAGTAAAACATTCTTTTTGGCAATCTAAACTACCATGTTACCCACATTGAAATAAAAACAGAATTGGAAAATACTTACAAATATGTATTTATATGGGAATACTATCATGGTAAGTAGGTGAAACATATTTCAAAACCAGTAGTGCTAGTTCGGTAACTTTGCCGTGTCTGGGTCCCAACAAGTGAGACCTCTTCATTAGTCTACATTATATATGTTTTTTTTTCTTTCTTTTATTATTATTATACTTTAAGTTTTAGGGTACATGTGCACAATGTGCAGGTTAGTTACATGTGTATACATGTGCCATGCTGGTGTGCTGCACCCATTAACTCGTCATTTAGCATTAGGTATATCTCCTAAAGCTATCCCTTCCCCCTCCCCCCACCCCACAACAGTCCCCAGAGAGTGATGTTCCCCTTCCTGTGTCCGTGTGTTCTCATTGTTCAATTCCCACCTATGAGTGAGAACATGCGGTGTTTGGTTTTTTGTTCTTGCGATAATTTACTGAGAATGATGATTTCCAATTTCATCCATGTCCCTGCAAAGGACATGAACTCATCATTTTTTATGGCTGCATAGTATTCCATGGTGTATATGTGCCACATTTTCTTAATCCAGTCTGTCATTGTTGGGCATTTGGGCTGGTTCCAAGTCTTTGCTATTGTGAATAGTGCCGCAGTAAACATACGTGTGCATGTGTCTTTATAGCAGCATGATTTATAGTCCTTTGGGTATATACCCAGTAATGGGATGGCTGGGTCAAACGGTATTTCTAGTTCTAGATCCCTGAGGAATCGCCACACTGACTTCCACAATGGTTGCACTAGTTTACAGTCCCACCAACAGTGTAAAAGTGTTCCTATTTCTCCACATCCTCTCCAGTGCCTGTTGTTTCCTGACTTTTTAATGATTGCCATTTTAACTGGTGTGAGATGGTATCTCACTGTGGTTTTGATTTGCATTTCTCTGATAGCCAGTGATGGTGAGCATTTTTTCATGTGTTCTTTGGCTGCATAAATGTCTTCTTTTGAGAAGTGTCTGTTCATGTCCTTCGCCCACTTTTTGATGGGGTTGTTTGTTTTTTTCTTGTAAATTTGTTTGACTTCATTGTAGATTCTGGATATTAGCCCTTTGTCAGATGAGTAGCACAACCTCACTTCCAAGGCAGGCAGGCAGTGGCAGACTGGCCGGTGCAGGGCCTCAGCAGGTGGCTTGTCTCTGTGCCATCTGGTCTTCTCAACTTCCAGTAGGCGGGCTTTTCTTGTGGTCATGTCAGGGTTCTAAAGAAAAAAAGACGGTGGGCCGGGCACAGCGGCTCACGCCTGTAATCCCAGCACTTTCGGAGGCCAAGGTGGGTGGATCATGAGGTCAGGAGATCCAGACCATCCTGGCTAACACAGTGAAACCCTGTCTCTACTAAAAATACAAAAAATTAGCCGGGCATGGTGGCGGGTGCCAGTAGTCCCAGCTACTCGGGAGGCTGAGGCAGGAGAATGGCATGAACCCGGGAGGCGGAGCTAGCAGTGAGCCGAGATCGCCCCACTGCACTCCAGCCTGGGTGACAGAGTGAGACTCCATCTCAAGGAAAAAAAAAAAAAAAAAGGAAAAGGACACCGTAAGCCCCAACACATGCACACACCTTTTCGTCTCTGCTTGCATAGCATTTGTATTCTACACACTTGTCAAAGCAAGTCTGATGGCCAAGCCTGGAGTCGGGAGACAGGGGGAATATACCAGAATACGGATACAGAGAAGCGTGAACATATTGTGCGCCATAATGCTGTGATCTACCACTGCCACCTGAATTAAATCATGTGATGAAGGTAAAGAGAGATGTAAGCATAGGGGGACCACAGGGGACCAAAGAGGCAAGAGCAGCTAACACAGGAAATCAGGACAGGATTCTCAGCAGAGGCAACTTCCTGTCTGGTAGATGACAAAGAGTTTGCCAAATGTAGAGTAGAAGACAGGGCATTGAGCATGTGGATGACGTATCTCCTAGGGGAAGGTACAGACAGTCTGGGGGCTCCGTCCTCATTCTGCCTTTTCTAGCCCTTTGCCAGCAAATGACTGCATGTTATCCTTGTTTTCATAGAAACTATGTCTTTTGAAACAACCATTTAGGCACTCCCTAATCCCAATTTGTTCAGTATTTCTAATGGAATGCCATGAACAAAAATCTGTGTAATCTGTTTATTGAATTGTCTGATCTTACTGAGGCAGACAGTTTTTCTTTTTCACTCATTGTCTTTAAGAATGTTTGGTGAAATTCCCTTTCTGATCCCCTTATCAAATTTTGGAAAGATCCAAAAACTTTCTGGTCATTTTCCGTTATAAAAACCTAGACCATCCAGGAATGTAATATTAAGTGGTCTGTTACTATAATTGCACTGACATAATACTTCACATTATATAATACAACTCTTTGAACATTGAAAGTCTCCCTGGGTAAAAAGTAAGTTTTGTGAGGGCACAGACCAATTTTGAAGTATTTACTCTTGAATTGCTAGCATTTAGAAGAGTACCTCGCATATAATAGACACTCAAAACCTAGTTGTAGTATGGAATAATGAATATAATTCACAGCATTTAATGATAGAAATAGAACAAAGTACTATGAAAAACATTTGGGATGGAATTCAGACTTCGTGGCCAGGTGTGGTGGCTCATGCCTATAATCCCAGCACTTTTGGAAGGCCAAGGTGGGCAGATCACCTGAGGTCAGGAGTTCGAGACCAGCCTGGCCAGCTTGGTGAAACCCTGTCTCTACTAAAAATACAAAAATTAGCCAGGTGTGTTGGTGTGTGCCTGTAATCTCAGCTACTAGGGAGGCTGAGGCAGGAGAATTGCTTGAACCCAGGAGGCGGAAGTTGCAGCAAGAAGAGATCGTGTCACTGTACTCCAGCCTGGGTGACACAGCCAGACTCTGTCTTAAAACAAAACAAAACAAAACAAAAACCCAAAAACCAAAACCCAAAAAACAACAAAAAAAGAAAAAGCAAATTTCATGATAAAAGTGTTAATATAGTAGAATAGACAGATGTTTACTTAATTTGATAGAACATATCTGTATACGCAAACCAGGATTATGCATAATGGTGTAACACTTAAAAACCTTCACACTGAAGTCAGGACTAGGATAAAAATGTTAATTGCTTGAGGTCCTTGACAATGTAATTAAATAGGAGAAAGGGCTAGGTGGCATAAATATTGGAAAGAAGGAGGTAAAGTTATTAGTAATCACTGGTTGCATATACTTATATCTGGAAAGGCTTAAAACAGTTTTAAACTCTAAGAGAATTTCGTAAGTAAGCTGGTAGAAAATAATATTCAGATGTCAGAAGCCTTCATATACATGAACAACCAGTTAAAGTATATAATGGAAGAAAGAGACAGGTTATAATAGTGACTACCATGATAACATAAAATATAACCATTGTAAAGCTACAATAATTAGAAGAATGTGGGACATATGAGTAGAAAGATCAACACTAGCACCAAATGCAGAGGGGGAGACTGCAGGCAATAAGAGCAACAGTAATGACAGTGGACACATAGGGAATGTGCTTGGCATTCTCATCTGATATTTGAACCCTGGCAATCGGATCCAGAGTTTATGTTTTTAACTGCTATGCTATGATGCCTCTATTTTTTGCTGTAGGTACATTTGAAATGCATAAAATAAATGCTTCAGTTAATAATGTTGGAATATCTATGTAGTTATCCAGAAGACAATTAAGTCTGATTTGTGAATTACCTCTTACTCCAAAATAAATTCCAATGTATCAAAGAGGTGTACCAAAAAAGACACCAAAAGAATAAATGGGAATTTTCTCTTGTTGTTGTTAATCATCTCAGAGTGGGAACTATCTTTTAGAGTTTGACACAAAACCCAGTAGCCTTAAGAAAAAAAAAAAAAGACTAGAAAATGGGGCTGTACAAATAAAACAAATTTCTTCATGGAAAAAATACAACAAATAAGATTAAAACATGACAGAGAAGAAAATACTTGTGACATATCACACACATAATGTGTACCTAAACACCAATAAGACAAACAAACCTTAGTCGTCCAAGTTGAACATGAAGAAGAGCTATGAAGAGCTCACATAAAAGGAAATACAAATGATTCCTCAATATTAAAATATGCTGATTCTCACAGCATCAGAAGAAAAAATCAAATTAAAGTTATAATAAGATACCTATGATACTGACAAAAATAAAAGTTTGAGGATGCAAAGTATCAGGCAGGTTTTAAGTAATGGGGATTCCTAACTATTGCTCATGGAAATTTAATTCATACACTCTTTACCAAAAGTAAATGCACATGCCCTTTCACTCACTGATTCCACTTCTAGGAATTTATCCTGCAACTGCGTTTGCACATACACACAATGTTGTTTGCATCAAGTTATTTAATATCATTGCATACAATAAGGAAAGATCATGGGTAACACAAATCTACAATAGGGGCCTGGTTAAATAATCAAGATCACCATATAGTGGAATGATCTATTTGCATTTGGAGGGATGTGGAAGGCTTCAGGTATTGATATGGGAGTATCTCCATAAAATACCGCAACATAGGGTTACCACTTAAAACACGACGAATTTCTCTATTCATTCATCTATCCATCTGTCTTTGCATCATCTATCTACCCATCTATCCATATATCTCTCTATCTGCCTATAAATGCCAAGGATATCTCTAGAAAGACACAAAAGAAACAGCTAACAGTAGTGCTTTGGGGGAAGAAAACTGGGGGACTAGAATAGGAGAGACACTCGCTTTCATATTTTGTACCATTGGAATCTATAAAGCTGATATAAAATGGCACTTATTTCTATATATAAATGCTTGGCAATGACCATGCTATGAGTCCTCATGAAGTAGTCAGATGCTTACTTCTACTGAGAATAAGTTTGGATTTAAGAACTGATCAGAGGGAATTATGTACAAAAAGGAAAATAAAATGAAAGATCACAGATATGGGTAAATCCTAAAATGAAAACCACCATTTGGATAAGAATGAACAGACCTTTGTACAGCATAAGAAATAGCAAAAACATGACCTTGAGTAAAATAGAGTTAGTAGTCTAAGACAAAGTTTAGATTATCCCAGTGGAAAAATGAGAAAGCTCATCTATTTTTATAGATCAGCAATGGTTCCTACATAAATGTCTGCATGGCATTAGAAGATCATACAAGGTATGGGGTAATGCTCTGTGTTGTGTAGGACTGTCCCCTCACTGCAGAGCATCTGTCACATCTGGCCCTGCCCTCCAAATGCCAGTAGCCTGGTGGCAATTCTCAGTTATGGCAGCTGAAGACACCCCATCAATTTCCAAAAGCACCCTAGTAAGAACCAGCTGCTTGCTCTATGTCTAAGATGCTCAAATTGCCTTCCACATTTCTCCCTTCCTCCCTTAGGGGCTCCTTCTGTAGACCAGGAGGTGTGCTTGTCAGAGCTGGCCTTGGAGGATGCCTGTGTATTCTGCTTTTCCACACCCAAGTCTGCCTTATAAAGGCCCAAGGGTTGGGATAAAGAGAAGAGGAGCATGGAGGGAGGGAAACAGAGGCACGGAGGATGGGTTTGCTCTTGCTGGAGTGTGGGTGCATCTGAAAAGGGAGGATGTAAGCAGAGGGAGATGAGGGAGCTGGGTTACCCCAACCCACCAGGCACACTCAGTCTCCACCTGACCACTGGGCTGGGATCTCTGAGCAGCAGACACTGGAGCAGCAGACAGGGGGCATACCTGGAGGAGGGGCCTCCTGAGCAGGCCATGTTTGAGAAAAGGGGTGCCTAGTTTGAAAGGCTGTGATGGAAAGTCAATCCAAAAACGGATGCGTTTCCCCCACCAAAAGAGGGACACTGTCTCATTGTCTGAAGGACTCCTGCTTCCTCTCTTGGATGATTTTCCTTTCCTTGTCTGCTGATAAAGAAGGCTTGCAGAGCTCCTGCCTGGACGGGTCCAATGTCAGGGATCCTAGTCTGAAAGGATGTGGTCATGCAGTCAGTCCAATAATGGGAAAGCCCACACCTGGAAACACAGCCTCTGTTTCCTGTGCTTAGGGATCCTGTGACACACCAAGGCCCTCCCTGTCCCCACAGCAGGCTGGAGTTGGCCACATCCAAATGGGGACCTCTGTGTTCATCTGGCTGCCACTGGTCTGTACCTCTTATACCAGGTGACTGTATTGCCAATTAAAATGAAGTCACAAAAATGAAGGCGAAACTAAACTCTAGTGGTTGTAGTTAAATTCAAGTTTCATATCCAAGATCAACCTCATTTCTTTTCCTTACCCTTCAGTAGGCTTTTCGTGTGGATTGAGGAAGCTGCAGGGTATGTTTGGGTGGGGGATGAATGCCCACTCTAATTTTTTGTTTCCTCCTCTTTTAGCTCCTGCAGGGTTGAAATATAAGGACATGGAAGCACAGGGAAAGAGGCAAACATTTTCTTAATTAATTGAGCCTGTTGTTGGCAGTGGCTGCCTGGCCATCGCGCCCTTCTCTGCAGGAGTCCAGATACTGTTCCCTGTGGGGCACAGGTGTGCATGTTGGGAATTCTGAGGGGCTTCTCTTGCTCCCCACTTGAGCTCCCTGAATGGGTTTCCAGCCCATGGCTTCCTGTTATTGGGTCCTCTCACCTAGTGGCCCTTTGGTGTATTTGACAATGGCAATGCAGTGTGTCTCAGGGCACTCCTGGGTCTATAGTAGCTGCCACCTACTTGACATGCCCTGTGTTGGAGTGTCAGCTGCCCCACTACCAATCTCCTCCGGCTCTCCTCTCTTCCATGCAAGTATCGTATCTTCTGCTCAGGAGGGGATGCAGCAGTTTAACAAGTTCTTTGCAGAAATAAACATCCATCCTGGAATTGAGTACTAATAGATCAAAGCAAACATTTACAGTGCCCTTACTATGTGCCAGGCTGTGCTCAAAATTACCATCCATGTGTGTTTGTCTGCTCAGGCTGCTGTAATGGAATACCATGGGCTGGGTAGCTTAAAAGCAGAAATAGACCTCATGTAACCCTAATTACCCTCCAAAGGCCTTTCTCTAATTACCATTACATTGGGTGTTAGGGCTTCAACATATTAATCTGGGGAGATACAAATATTCAGTCCATAGCAACATGTAATCCTCACAATAACCACACGAAGTATCTACTGTTATCTCAGTTTTACAGATGGGAAAATGAAGTATGGGAAGGTTCAGTAACTTGGTCAAGGTTACACAGTTGGGGCAGCAGAACTGGGATTTGGACCTCGACAGGCTAGCGTCCCTCGGTTTTGCTGGAAACATCTGTGCTATGCTGTCTCAGCAGCAGGTGCTGTGTCTACAATCACAGTCAGTCTCAGCCAGTGCTCCCCTTGGATCCTAACCCCTCACTGGAGGGGATAAAAAGGCTACTGTACAACTGTGCACCTCAGTAACTGAGAGCTCCAAAGATACTCTCTCTCCAGCCACGGTTACCCTACAGAGACTGGAGGAAGGGAAGGGACGCGGGGGGTTGGGAGTGGCTGGTGGCAGTAGAGCCTACTCTGCCACCTTGCACTACATCTGGGTGGAAGTAGGGTCCGAGTCTAACTTTGAAAGCTTTCTTTATATATGTATTTGTATCATTTTATGGGAGGTACATGTGCAGTTTTGTTGCATGCGTAGATTGTGTAGTTGTCAAGTCACTCCTGTTAGGGTATCCATCACCTGAATAAGATACACTGTACCTATTAAGTAATTTGTCATCAGCCATCCCTTCACCCCCTCACCCTTCTGATTGAGTCTCTGTCGTCCATCAACCCACTCTCTGCATCCGTGTGTACACGTTATTTAGCTCCCACTTATGAATCAGGATGTGCGGTATTTGTCTTTCTGTGGAGGCTCTCTTTAGAACATGGCATTCTCAGTGCCTTTTTGTTGCCAGATAGGGGTTCTGGTTGTCAATTCTGGGGTACCAGGAAAAGTCTCTTCCAGTATCCTGTTACCTCTGTGTGGGAGAGAGACAGATGGTTGTTAAACCCCAAGAACTGGCTGACTTTACTTGAGGGAATGGAGACAAGAACAAGTCAACTCCACGAGATTCAGCAAATTCAATTACCTGTCACTGCTCTGCTCCAATCTCCTACGCATCCCATTACCAGCACTGTGGAGCCTAAACTCTTAGGCTGGCTTCACCCTATTGTTCCCAAGTACTTCCTGCTTCAGCCCGGAGTGAAGCTTTTGCTCCAACCCAGCAGCTCCATGCAACTCCTTCAAAACCACCATTTTCTGCACCTCCTTTAGGGATATAAACTTGAGAGGAGATAATGGATTTGAACTGCTTTGTAAGACACAGGTTGCTACACTAACAATAGCCATGAACCCAGGTGGAGCAGGGTTCAGTTTACAAAGTCTTTTAAATCAGTCCTTAAAGCAGCCCTCTGAGTTAGGAATGACTGTTCCCATTTTCCAATTGAGGGCACTGAGGCTCAGAGGGCTGAGGTGGTTTCTCCAGCCCCCCTGGCCAAGAGTTGCTGAGCTGTTGTCAGACCAGGGCCTCTGACTCCAGACCTTGTGCTTTTCCTCTTAATCTCTGGAGAAGGAAGAGAAAGAGGAGGAGGGGAAGAGGAGGGGAAAAGGAAGAGGAGGAGGAGGAGGAGGAGGGGAAAAGGAGGAGGAGGAGAAGAAGGGAATAAGGAAGAGGAGAGGAGGAGGAAGAGAAAAAGAAGGTGGGGAGGAGAGGAGAATGGGGAAGAGGGAGAGGAGGAGAGGAAGGGGAGGAGGAAGAAAATGAGGGGAGGAAGGGAGGAGAGGAGAAAAAGGAAGAGGGGAAGAGGGAGAGAAGGAGGAGGAGGAAGGAGAGGAGGAGGAAAAGGGGAAGGGAGGAGGGGGAGGAGGAGGAAGAGGAGGGGAGGAGAGGAGAAGTGTAGGGGAGGAGGAGGACCGGAGGAGGAGGGAGAGTCAATGACCATCTCTGATTTTTTGGCGAGCCTGAAGCTTCTAGGATTGGTTGACTTCTTTGTGGGGAGAGCCATCCAGTCTCTTTTTATGAATGTCATGTGGGAAACTCATGACTCTTTAAATTTCTAGGTCAGGGAATTTTTATTTCTGTTAACAAATACAGTGAAAATAATAGGAAGTCCAGAAAGGGGGCCAGGTGGAATCTCTCGGGTTCACAGTGCAGGGAAGATAAAAGCTTGCCAGAACACCTAATCACCATGTCAGAATGGCTGCCCTACACCTATACCATTAGATTAGGTTTCCTCAGGCCCAAGGAGAAGAGCAACAGCAAACATTCATCGGGCTAATCACTTTACATGGATTATCTCAATTAATCCTCACAACAACCCTACAAGGTAGGTGTTCATACCAGTCACACTGTACCAGAGGAGAAAAGCTTCATTCATTCGTCCTTGTCATCCAGTCTGTAATCACTCGGGGTCTACCTGGGAACAGTGAAGCTGGTTGTGCAGCTCTGCTCACAGTCAACTCCTGTTTTATGCAGAGAGAAGGGAACAGTGGATCAGGTACTGATGAGAAATACAAACATCACTTCAATTTAGCATTGGGACGTATGCCTCGCCCTGGCATTTGAAAATAGCTGTGTATGACGTTTGGAGAATTCCCAGTGCGGTAAGCGGAAGCCAAATGAGGAAGCTACCCGGTGATGTTCTGACTGGAAAAGGATGAGGTCACTGGCTTCCCTCAGTGCTGACAGTGGTCTAAATCATCTCCCAGTACCCACTTCCCCCTCTTTCTCCCTTCCCCTTCTCCCCACTCTCTTTTTTTTTTTTTTGAAATGGAGTTTCACTCTTGTTGCCCAAGCCAGAGTGCAATGGCTTGATCTCAGCTTACTGCAACCTCCACCTCCCAGGTTCAAGCAGTTCTCCTGCCTCAGCCTCCCTAGTAGCTGAGATTACAGGCATGTGCCACCACGCCCCACTAATTTTGTATTTTTAGTAGAGATGGGATTTCTCCATGTTGGTCAGACTGGTCTCAAACTCCCAACCTCAGGTGATTCATCTGCCTCGGCCTCCCAAAGTGCTGGGATTACAGGTGTGAGCCACCATGCCTGGCCCTCTCCCCACTCTTATTATTAAGGTTGATAATATCATTTTTAAGGTTGACAAAATTATTCTCATTGTCGCTAAGGTTGCCAGGCCTTAGTGCATACGTGTGAGCCCTCAGTGACTGGTCCTTCACAGCCACACTCTGTGGGATGCAGAGTCTGTGCTGGGGCCAGCTCGGGAGAGCTGACCGTTAAATTTCAGAAATGCTGTGAGTCACTTGTTAAACCTGTTACTAAAAATAAAATTATATAAACTTACAATGAAATAGATTACAGTAAAAACAAAGGCAATAAACACAATAGGGGCATTGAATATTTACCAGCACACCACTAGAAGTACTGTTATCCTTGTTGTGAATAAGAGAACTGAGGTTTTGGATAACGCCCATGTCACACAGCTGGGAAGTAGCAAAGGCAGACCTGGATCAAGCTGTCTCCAAGACTCTGGCTTGAGTTAGCTGCTCTTCCCTCTGACTGTGCTGTCTGCCGCATTTTGGTCCCATCCAGTTCTGAGGGGTGGGGCTGGTGACAGAGAGACTTAGTTTATAGGAACTACTGCTAGGTCTTGATTTGTCTCATAGGAGAAACCGCCACCACCAAAAAAATAGACTGTGGCAATAGCATTCTAGCCTTCTCTACCTGTGATATAAAAATGTGTCTAGAGCCAGAGGTCCCCAACTGCTGTGTCAGGAGAGAGGGCAAGGGGTCAGCTCTCCTACTTACAAGCATCCATTCATTTTCCATAGCGTCTCTACCTCTCAGTGAGCACTAAGGTCCCAGAAACGTTTGGGGCCACAAAGCTTCGTTCCCAGAGATAAAACTTACCCATGGGGACAAAGGGGTCAGACTCCAGGTCTTTTACATAGAACAAGAACAAGAGAGGACTATCTCCAGAGGCCATGGAAATGTTGAGAGATGGGAATGAGGAGGTGCATGGTGCCTCTTCATGGCAAAGCTTCAGATCCATAAATATATCCACTGGAATGCAGGACAAAACATAATGTATAAAAGATTGAATAGAAGATATATTATGCTATTGCATAGCAATACTGTCTGCAGGAATTTATAGCTTCGATATATTCCCCATTAAAAGTGGTTCAGCTAGCTGGTAGAGAAGCTCAATTCATCTTCCATCTGTTGAAAACCATCAATATTATGGTTTACCCATTTAAACTGGAAATGGGACCAAATATTTGGGCTATTTATAATAAAAAATATGAAAATCTTTGTATTGGTGTTCATCGCCTAACTTCTCCAATTTAATCAGAAGCCTGCTTATAGAGAGCTCAGAGAAGATTTCTCACCTTTGAAATCTCGAGGATCCAAGAGGCAGGAATGAGGAAGAACACTGGATGTCAGGTTTCTTTCTCAAAGAGCGAGGCAGGTGCCCCTAGCATGGTGAGCAGCAGTGGCAGTGAAAACCTTTAGTCACAGGAAAGCCAGGAGGGCGTTTCCACCTGCCATTGTTTACATGTTCAAGATCAGGAGGGATGGAGAAGCTAGAAGGTATGAATATGGAGAGTCAGTTAGCATCAAAGTGCAGTTAGGCTGGGCCTGGTGGTGTGTGCCTGTAGTCTCATCTAGTTGGGAGGTTGAGGCAGAACAATCGCTTGAGGCCAGGAGTTCAAAACTGCAGAGAGTTATGATCACAATACTGTACAAAGCAAGATCCCATCTGTAAAAAATAAATAAAAAACCAAAGTGTAATTAGCTGAGCCTAGCACATTCCCCATATATTAGGCTACGTTCTTAGGGAAAATGCGAGCTCCAGGGCCCTATCTTTGACAGTGGTGTTGAACCCAGTGTGGTGAAGTATGGTAATTGTGTTATCAGAATTCCCATGGATCAGACATTGATCCTCAGGGGAGGCACTACTGATAGTTGGCAAATTTGTGAGAGGACTTTGGTTCTCTCAATGTGGGGCCCAAGGCTGCAATGCCTAGGACAGTTCTATGCAACAAAAAATTGTATGCCTTATTTAGATTTTTTCCTAGAACAGCTCTTCCCATTTCCCTCTCCTGGGCTTTTCCACTCCTTGGTTTTGCTCCGGTTTCCACTATCTGCCTTAAACCTGACTTTTGGTTTCTGATTCCCTTAGATCTCTCACACTTGGGCTGTTCTCTGCTCTGGAGTCTTGTCTCTGCACCTGCACTCCAGGGCACACCCACAGCTCTGAAGGAGACCCCACTGTCAGCTGGGGTTGTCTGAGCTGCACAAAGGCCCTGTGAGCCCCTGCCCATCAAGGGGATTGAAATCAAGGATCACCTCTTTAGTCATTCCTGCCTTGACTTCGTTCCCTTGGTTGCCTGCTCTCCCTCTGTACTCCCTTGCTTTTACCATCACATAGCTGTCCAATCTCACAGCAGCAGGATTTCCTTCATGAGCTTAGACACAAGCAGGGTCAGGCCCTTCATTGTATTTGAATCCAGGAAGGCCTCTATCTGGGCAGCATCTTCCTGCTAAAGGCTGCTTGTTACACACACACACATACACACACACACACACACACAGAGGCAGGCAGAGGGCCCTTCTGTGGCCCTGCACTCCACACTGGCCTCAGCAGCTCCTGCAAGCCTTGTGGTGTGGGAAAGGGTCACTCCAGCTCAGCACTGGCATTCCTTGTGTCTCCCTCTTTGAAATACTCAGAGTGTCATTCTGCCCTTTTGGTGTGTGCCCAGGGCTTTCTGGGCTATTTTTGAACGCTTTTAGCACTTACTCTCTGTACCATTTGTTAGGATGGTTAGTCATCACTGTCTATGAATGTCGCCTCCTGACAGTGTGGAGTGCAGACAAGCCAAGCAACAGCCGGTGGGCCTGGGAGGAAGAGACTCAGGCTATTCTGATGAGCAGCTAGGGACCGCTGGAAAGAGTCCGGATGAGCATGCAGACCCAGCATGATCCAGGACATGCAGTGGGGTAAGGAGAAGAGCAAGGCATTTGTGGTTGGGTTTCAACATTAGCTCTGCCAGTCTGATGTTCCTAGACAAGTCCTTTGACCTCTCTGAATACCACTCTCCACATCGTCGACAGAGAATAGCCACGTTTTTAGGACAGACATTGACTGTCAGCTTGCATAGTTTCTCAGGAGGATACAGGATTGGAAATATACCATTGATTTTTCTGTCTACACTTACTGTTCCCCTGGATAGAGAGATTAGGAGAAAGACTGATGCTCAATGTATGACCAACCTCCCCCTTTTGAGTTCAGCTTTCTCAATAAAGAAACCCATTCTCTTTTTTTGACCCCTGTTCCCATGCAATGAGCCACCTGGTCCCCTGCCCAGGGTCTCCCTGCTTGCACATGTCTGGGGATCCTTTGCCTGCTGCTGTGGGGCCCTAAGAGACTGGCCAAGAGTCTTCAGGGAAGACATAGTTTTATTGGATAGGAAGAACTAACAAGAGACTCCATTCTGGTCCCAGGTCCAAGTCCAACTCAGCCTGACCATTAATACGGCTGATATTGTGATTTTCTGTGGCTCTATTTCTTAAGTGGCCAGTGTCTAGAAGGCAGGAGTCAATATCTCTCAAAGCTCAATGCATACTACCGTGGCAGGATGGTGGTGTGAATTAAAGTGTCTAGAACATTTCTTTTACCAAGTGGTGTCCATTATTCAAACACATGGACAAACTGAGTAACTTCATGAGGTCATCTAGGCCAACCATTTTACTGTTGACCCTCCTCTCCTAAAGAAAGGTGATCCTTGGAGTACCCATATTCTGAGAGTAAATCGTTTTCAACCCTTTTTTTCTTAAAGTTGTTTTTATTGCAGGTAAACTGTTTCATAAACAGTTAACATTTATTGAGTAATTTTATAACGAGGCATTTTCCAGATGACAAAAATGAAGCACAGGAAAGGTGTGCAACTTTCTCCAGACAACCAGTTGAGAAAGAGGCAGAGCTTGTAATCAAACCCAGGCAGGTAACTCCAGCATTGATGCTCTTAACCATTCTTCTGTACCGCCTACCATGTATGAAAGACTCCCAGGCTGAGAGTGATTACTTAAGATGCCCAAGCTCAACAAGGTAGCAGTGAAAGAGCTAGGGTTTGAATTCAGCCCTCTGTGCGACTCCAAAGCTTGGCTGTGCCTGGCCTCAGCAAGTCCCTTCCATCCTGGGCTGTGCCCATCCTGGTGCAGAGTGGGGAGCCTTCGGTCCTGTCCTCTTGCTTCTCCCTGCCCTGCCATGTAGCCAGAGGCCACTCACACCCCCTCCTTGTAGACTGCAAGGCTCTGCCTTGTTGGACCACAGGACAAAGGAAAAAGAAATGGATTTTCATTTTTTTAAACCAACATCACCCACCCTCCAGTAGTCCCTGCATTCCCCTCCCACGCAGATGGAAATGAACTAGAAACTCAGTTCCCGGAGACTACAAGCAGCACATTTTCTCCCCATAAACTGGTTATCAGCACTTTGAGCCAGTCAGAGATTATTTACTGGCATTCTCTTCTGCAACTTCCCTCGAAAAAGCTTGCACTGTAGTCCAGTCCCCGTGCTTGGCCCATCCAGGGTAGCGAAGCAGCTGATGGAGGTGAAGATGTAGGAAACTAAGATGAATAAGCTTACCTGCTCCAGCAGTGAGGACCTGGCTGGCAAGGAAGGGTGGTTGCCAAGATCCCCCACAGCAGCTCGTGAGGGTCTTCAGGGTTGGGTTACCAGCTTTAGCTTGTGTAGCTTGTGCAACACACATGTGTATATCCACGGCATTATTCATGGGCATCTGTGTACTGACAATGGAGATCAGCTTGCACCCACGTGTGAACATGTCTGTAAACCCATGGGGAATATTGGGTGAGGGCACAGACCTCTGTAACTACAAACATGTACATGCATAGGAGGAAGCAGTTGGCTGGGTGTGCAAGGACTTGACCTCTTTGCCTTTCTTTGCCGCTACAAGATCTTGGCACAAGGAGCCTCCTGTGACTTTGGGTAGGGCTGCGGTCTAGGCAGAGGGACTGGGCTAGAATCTCTTGTGGAGGTGGGCAGAGGGGCTGAGTCCTGCAGCTCCCTTTGTTCTCCTGCTTGTTGAATCTAGTTTTAGCTCTGCTCTCTTGTGGAATGAATAGGCTCAAAGAATATTTAAGAGCAGGGGTCCCCAATCCTCAGGCCACAGAGTGGTGCCAGTCTGTGGCCTGTTAGGAACTGGGCTCCACAGCAGGAGGTGGGTGCAGGTCTGTGGCCTGTTAGGAACTGGGCTGCACAGCAGGAGGTGGGTGCAGGTCTGTGGCCTGTTAGGAACTGGGCCGCACAGCAAGAGGTGAGCCACGGGCATGTGAGTGAAGCTTCATCTGTATTTACAGTTGCTCCCTATCGCTGGCATTACCGCCTGAGCTCCGCCTCCTGTGAGGTCAGCAGCAGCATTAGATTCTCATAAGAGCACGAACCCTATTACGAACTGTGCGTGTGAGGGATCTAGGCTGCACATTCCTTATGAGAATCGAATGCCTGATGATCTGTCACTGTCTCCCCACCCCAAGATGGGACTGTCTAGTTGCAGGAAAACAAGCTCAGGGCTCCCACTGATTTTACATTATGGCCAGTTGTGTCATTATTTCATTATATATTATAATATATTATAATGTAGTCATAATGAAATAAAATGCACAATAAATGTAATATGCTAGAATCATCCTGAAACCATCCCTCTCTACTCCCACCCTGTCTGTGGAAAAATCACCTTTCACAAAACTGGTTCCTGGTGCCAAAAAGGCTGGAGACCACTCCTTAAGAGGATGCGTCTTCATATTTCTGAATCACACAGTGCCTCCACGCAGCCTTGACTATTCCCAGATCACTTTCTCCAACCACAGTGAGGTGGCGCCGCCACCGACTGGCCCAAGACGCGCATGCTCATTCATGCTCCTGCCTTTGCGCCTGCCATTCCCCTTACCTAGGGTGCTTTCCCCATTCCCAACCTCCACGCCAAACACTATTGACCTTGCCATGACTACCCCAGTTTAAGGCATCTTTCCCCAGTGGGGCTTTGTCAGAGCCCATTAACTCTGTCCAGCTTTTCCTCCTTGAATTTAGTGGCTTCCTATTGCTTGCTTTAGACTTCCACATGTATTATCTTACACTATTGGCTGTTTGTTTCATCTGGGTAAGTCCTGTCTTCTGCAAATGGGGGAAATGTGGCTAACGACAAAGGAGGAAAAAGAGTAGCTTGACAGTGGAGAAACTTGGACCACACTCCTCAGCCTTGCGTCGAGGTCAACACTGAGAGGGATAAGGTACACACATCAATTGTGTGTACCCTTGATAGGGTGTGCCAAGAATGGCTCTTCAGCTGTGATCTTCCACCCCCAAACTCATACCCTCACTCTGATCATGAAGAAAACATTAGAAAAATTTCAGTTGAAGAACATTCTTGAAAATATCTGACCAGTATTTCTCAAAACTGTTCAGAACATCAAAAACGAGGAAAGTCTGAGAAATTGTCACAGTCAAGAAAGGCCTAAGAAGATGTGATGATTAAGTGTAATGTGGTGTCCTGGATGGGGTAATACCAGAAAAACCAGGACATTAGGTAAAAACTAATGAAATCTGAATTAATGGTGGACTTTGGTTAGTAATAATGTATCAATATTGGTTCACTAGTTATGATTAATGGACTATAAGATTTTAATAATAGGGGAAACTGGGTGTGGAGTAAATGGGAGTTCTGTATTGTTTTTCCAATATTTTTGTAAGTCTAAAACCATTCTAAAATAAAACGTTTATTTTAAAAACATACAGCACACCTGTGATCCCAGAGCTTTGGGAGTCTGAGGTGGGAGAATCACTTGAGTCCAGGAGTTCATGACCAGCTTGAGCAAAAGAGTGAGATCATGCCTCTAGAAAAAAAAAACAATAAAAAATTAGCCAGACATGGTCACATGCACCTTTTGTCTTAGCTACTTGGGAGGCTGAGGTGGGAGGATCGCTTGAGGCCAGGAGGTCGAGGCTGCAGTGAGCCATGATCACACCACTGCACTCCAGCCTGGGCAACAGAGCAAGACCCTGTCTCTAAAATTAATTAAAAGATACAGTAAAAGGCTGTTGAAAAATATTTGTCATCATAGATGGGATAAAAATCCTATCAAATGAAATAAATTCATATAAGAAAAAAAAGAAAAGAAACTGCAACCCAGCTAATGATGATGACACATCTGCTATGTGAGATGCTGTGCTAGGTACTTCAACGCATCTTAATTTACTCAACCCTCAACCACCCTCCAAGATAGATCTCAGGGTCTGTTTTTTTGTTTTTTTCTGTTTTTTTTGTTTGTTTTATTTTTATAGATAGGGTAGCTGAGACTCAAGTTGGGACTTGTCTGAGCTCAGGTGGTGAGTGGCAAGGCTGAGATGTGAGCTCAGGTCTGTATGATTGTAAAACCAAGCCTTTTCTCACTTCTGCAAGGCACATCTAGTTTCGAATCATTACAGCTGGGTGTTCCTTGACAGCAAAATCCACGCCCTGGACTTTTCTCAGTCCTCTGATTCTCCTACATTATTGGACACTTAATCTATGCTGAGTTAATATTGATGATTAAATTAGATGAAATGTATTAAAAACACCTAGTACATTGCAAGCCCTCGGGGGAAAAAGGCTTGTTGGTTTTTATTTATTCTAAAGAAATGGAAATGAGCTTGGAGGCATCATCTCATATTGAGGCACTTGGTCTCAGATCAGCTTCCTATTGCTATGCCCTGAATGTTTATGTCTTTCCAATATTCTTATAATGAAACCTAATTTTTAATGGGATGTTATTGAGAGGTAGAGACTTTAGGAGGTAACAAGTAGTGAAGGTGGAACCCTCAGGAATGGGATTAGAGCCCTTATAAAAGAGAACTCAGGGATCCTGTTGACCTCTTCTATCATGTGCGGAAGCAGTCAGAAGGTGCCGTCTATGAGAAATGAGCCCTCTCCAGCCCCAGGATAAGCTGGTGCTTTAATCTTGGACTCCTCAGCCTTCAGATCAGGGCCTAGCACAGTTCCATGTGCTTAACAGGGCTCATTTTATGCATTAACCTGCTGGTGAGACCTTGGCACAGATGGTAGGGCCATGGATTATGATGACAATATTTAACAATTGGCTCAGCATGGATATCCACCCATCAGAATAAACACTAGTCTTTAAAAAGAAAAGATGGAGAAGTTCTGGCGGCTGCTGGCTAAATGCCAGGCCTGGGTCATCTGAGGCTGTCTGCTCAGGAGCTGTTTAGTCTTTTTATGCTGTTATAACACATGCCATAGACTGGGTGGCTTACAAACAATAGGAATGTATTTCTCACAGTTCTGAAGGTTGGGAAGTCCAAGGTGAAGGCACCGGCAGATTCCATGTCTCATGAAGATCCACTTTCTGCTTCATAGTCAGTGCCTTCTTGGTGAGTCCTCATATGGCCAAAATGGCAAGGGAGCTCTCTGGGGTCTTTTTTATAAGGACACTAATATCATTTATGAGGGCTCCACCCTCATGGCCTAATGACCTCCCAAAGGCCCTCTCTCCTAATAACATCTCCTTGGGGGCTGGGATTTCAACATATGAATTTTATAGGGACAGACATTCAGTTCACAGCAGGAGCCATGATTGGGAGGAGCCCTGAGTTGAGAGGGCACACCTACCTTCACCTTTACTCTGTGCTGATGGAGGCAATGGCAATGCCATATAGTGATATCGAAATAGCACAGTCTTTGTAGGCAGGCAGATAGTCTGGAGCCTCACTGTAATATAGATCATTGATTAAATAATGCCTGGTTTCTTCCCTAAAGGATGGAGTAGGAGGAAAAAAATGTTATAAAAGGTGAAAAAGTGTGCCTTGGAACCAAAATGATATGCACTTTGAGGTAAACACATACCAGTTTCTTTGCTGTAGAAATGGATAATATCACCTCACATGGCAATGGTGAGGATTAACCAGGAGCTTGCAAATTATTTTCCTACTTCATAGAATATAAGTGAAAAGTCTACCACACATTAGGTGCTCGGCTCTGCTGGTGGGGTGAAGTCTGCTGCCCCCAGCTTAAGGCGCTTTGGTCTCTGCCTACCCGTCCTGGGGGCTCAGCCCTCTGCTCTCTCTCCTTTGACCCCACTCCTCTCTGTTCCCATTTCCTGGGTGCACAAAAGTTAGAAGGATGATGTGTGGAGAGGGTAATGATGGCCTCTTCTCAGGGAAGGATGGTTACTGGAAGTGAGGATATGATTTTTGACCCTTCAATTTCTATGTCCTGACTGAGAAGGGTCCCCTTGGCCTTCTCTTCCTGCCCCACTTCTGCAATTACAGTAACACAGGACAAGTGCTGGAAGAGAAAACCCAGGCCAGTCCTTCATCTAACAGAAGGTAACACTGAGGGCTGAAAGGGAGAGCATCCTCCTCCCCATCAAACAGCTGATGACCACCAGAGCCCTGACCCTCTGACCCCCTGCCCTGCAACTTCTCCTGTGAGCCACACCTCCTTCCTCTTCCTGGCTTTAGACAGGAATGACATTGATGGCAACAAGATGTCAAGTGGGATTCTCCTGCTGTCCGGGAATGGGGACTAAGGCCCAAATCTCAGCACAGAGAACACTAAGTTCCCCACCTTCTAGGTGCAGGGAGTCCCTGCAGCTGGGCCAGCAGAATCGCGCAGGGCTTACCGTGGAGCTGGAACTGATGCCTCCACTGTGCCCACCTCTGCCTCCCTAGTTCATGCAAGGGGAAGACGGTGAGAAGGGAAGTTGACTGGGGAAGAGGAAAATGATTTTTTTCCTCTATGATGAGAGAGGGAAGCTGTGAGAGAGTCACTCATATAGACCAGGGTTTCTACGAAGAGGCAAGACAGGCATTGTGTGCCCAGCCAGTGTCTGCCTATCCTGCAGGCTGGCTGATCTGTCCCTTTGTGACACAAACAGGCAGAAACAGCATGAGAGAGAGATGGCCTGTGGTTTCCCCAACTGATAAGGATGATGGAGTCTCTGGAGTTCCCCACCCTAGACAGGTGGGGTCAGCAGCAGAGATCTAGCAGCAGAGATTTGGCAGCAGGAGGTGAGAGGGGATGGCAGAGCTTGAGCAGAACTGAAGCCTCCCCCTGGGGGAATGGGGCAGTGGAGCTGGGTCCACGGCACCACAGTGTGTACCCCCTGGGAGCTGGCATGGTGATGCCCGCTGCACAGAGGGAGGTGGGTGATAGCCGGAGACTCAAGGGCAGCCCCTGAAGGATGCCTGCCAGCTGGGTGTGTCTCTGCTGAGGCCATCCCTGGGGCTGAGAACAGGCAGGGATGTCCAGGGATGCCCTGGAGTCTCACCCCAGGGTCCCCGGGTAAAATACAGGATGCCCAGTTCAAGGTGAATTTCAGATAACAATGAATATGTTTCAGCATAAATATGTCCTAAATATTGCCTAGGAAATACCCTAAAAATGCATTTGGATATTTTCATTCAATATTCAATATTCATCAGAAATTCAAATTTCACCAGGCACCCTATATTTTTATTTGCAAAATCTAGCAACACAATCCTCTTCATCCCTAACACACACACACACACACACACACACACACACACACACACACACACACACACACACACACACACCAGGCTGCTATAGCCACAGGAGGGGAGCTTTGATCTGAGTTTGAGATTGAAGTTTTAAAATGAACAAGACCAAGTCTTAAGGACCACTGTGATACTGTTCTAATAAATGAAAGTGGCTGGTAGGTGATGGAATTAGGCCAAGATGCCATTCAGGAAGCTGCTGCCCAGTGAGAGAGTCGGGGCTCTGAGAGAGAAGTGTGGAGGGACATTTGTTAGAAAAATAAAACTGTTTCCTAGTCATGGTCCCCAGGGCTGGCTGGCTACCCTCTCCTGCAACAGGACTCTGCTTTTGTAGCCCTTGTGACTTCCCTGGAAGATGCCATTTTCTCTTAAGTTCCTGTTCCTGCAGTGGATGGCATATAGCTCTTTTGTCTTGCAGGACTGGGGGCCCTTTAAGGCTCCTTGTATTCCCCTCTCCCAGGTGATATGACCCACACTTCCCTCAGGGCAAGGCTGAAGCTGCAGAAGATGGACAGGAGGTTGCTAAGGGCACATGTGGCTGACTTGACCATTTTGCTCTGAATTTAACGTATTCAAGTCTTAAATGCTAAAAATATCAAGCTCACAGGTGCTTCCTCCCAATCCTGGACTGGAAAATGTGGCCATGCCTCCTCTGCCCACTGATGTCACCCTCAATCTAACACCTGGGCTATTTATCTCCCCTTGGCCTGTGCTCTCCCTACCTTCTCACTGCTACCACCACTGTTGTCGGGCCAGAACCATCACCGCTCATAGCCTCTTCACCTGCCAGGCTGGTTCCCTGTTCCGGGTTCTTGTCCTTGTGAGCAGGTTGCTCTCATGCACCCCAGGAGCCGTCCTCTCCTCTGGGGCTCCCGTGTGGTATTATGGGTGCCCCCTCCCCATTTTTTCCAGCCTCCTTGCCGCAATGCCTATGCGCATGTCCGCGCGTCTGCTCTCTGCCTGGCTCCGTTCACATCCTGCAGAGGGGAGGGGGCCTCTGGGCTCAGAGCTGAGCCTTGTTGCCCTCACCTCCCTGTGCAGCGCCTCTTATCAATCACTCCTTCCACTGAGCGTTTGGTGGCAGTCAATGGGCTATGCGATGCTGGTGAACCTGATTTCTAGAGGGAAGACCCCAGGGTGGGGAGTTGAAGAGGGCAGTGGGGGCTGGGTCCAGTAGGCCTGAGCTAGGCTGGGCTGGGCTGGAGTGAACCCAGATAGCAGGGCTGACAGGAGCTTCACTAGGGAGAAGAGGCCCCACGGAGAGCAAGGGGAGGTGTCTGGGAGAGAAAATGTGGGATTGCCCAGAGGGAGGGAAAGCCAGACACGGAGGGAAAAGGGAAGGAGGATGGATGTGTGTGGAAACAGAGGGAAGAGTACGGAGAACGCAGGGTAGACGAGTGTGCAGAGAGGGAGGGACAGAGAGAAAGTCCAGCTGGAGGAGCTGCATTTTCAGAAAGCAGAGGTAATTTAGCTAAGCAGGGTATTTTTAAGGGAGAATGTGCCGGCCGTGGCCCCAGACTGTGTGTTGAACACACATGGCGCCATCCTATCAAACCCGCACACATCACTGACTTCTTCCTTCCGAGCCACTGCAGGGGGCATTGCGCTGTCCTCCCAGCTCTCCCGCCCCTAAACTCAGCCAGACGGTAGCACCATATGGGCTTCCTGATGTTCCTGTGTGAGGAAGTACAAAGAATCAGCTCTCCCCCACTCTCACCCCCTCGCTTGTCTTTCCAGGGCTGCTCCTGGAGCTGGAGGCAAATAGCCTAGAGATGCCTCCCTTGCCCTGTGGTTGCTTCCAGCGCAGCTACCGACAGTCAGCCTCGTGAGAGGGTAGAGCAATGGAAGGGTGCAAAGGGCAGAAGGGAGGGTCATGAGGAGTGTCTGTACGCATGTCAGGTGTGGGGAGGGAGGAAGGGCTGTGGGTGGGGCAGCATGATTGACGTCATGAGCCCACAAGATGCAAGGCTCTGAGGAGTCACCCAGTTTATCAGCTCCAGGGGTGTTCCTCCTCCCACCATTGGAGCTTCTGGGGCAAGGAGGGTCAGAGCCTGAGTCCATCCCCTCTATCCCCAGGAGGTCAGCAGTGTCTGAGGCCTCGGTGGTGAAGCTTACTGGGAGTCTGCCATTCTAGACTCTTCACTTGAAGGCAGCCTGCTTTGGCATCGTGAGACTGTGATGAATGTCTTCTGTATAACCGTGATGATGTTGATGACAAGGGCGGTGATGGTGACGAGCTCCCATTTCTTGAGAACTTACTCTGTGCTGACAGTTTTACATGTAGGAACCCAGATAATTCTTACATGCTCCTATGAGGTTGCTACTATTATATACATAGTTACATAAATTATACACACATACACACACATATATATATACACACATTATATATATTTATAAGGAAATTGAGGTAGTGGAGATACTCAGTTACTTGCCCAAAGTCACACAGCTAGAATGGAGGAACGCATGATACTATATGCATAGTGTCCACATGTGGAAAGCTCCAGTGACCAAGGTCGTCTTCACCATCATGTGCACTCCTCCAGCCTGGCAGCCTTGAGCACCTGGGCAATGAGATGCATTCTCATGGGGACACCAGGATGCATGAACCGTGCAGCCTTCCTGTGGGCCCTGGACAGCAGCACATCCTCTCTGGCTGGAGCCCAGGCTCACAGTCTCCCTACCTGGGAGAAAAAGGACTTTGACCAACATTTGGATTTTGTCCCGAGGCTGGCTGGATGAAAGAGAAAAAAGGCAATTGGTTGGTGGAAAGCCAAGCAGATGAGCACCAGTTAGTTGGAGAGCCAGGTGAGAAGCCAAGTCCGCCGGGCCTAGGGAAGCTGGGCCCTCTTTAGCGCATGATGCCATTTGTCTGTGCAATTCACACCCTTTCCTGCCTCTAAGCCACGTATGTTCGTCTCCCTCACTGAAGACCTCTCAAGGGAAGGAGAGCCAACAGCCATTCATCGAGCATTTATTGTGAGTACCAGATCCTGGGCAGGAAAGCCTTCTCCTTTCCTAACTGAGCCTGCACTGAGTTTAGACATCCACCATTCTCCACTTAGTTATCTCATTCAGGGCTGCACAGCCGTACCCTGTCCTGAGTGCAGACGATGGGTTTTGGCAAGGCATAACTTGTGTGTGTCAAGCATCCCGGGCCGATGAGGGCTGCAGGGGTTGGAGAGCTCCCGGGGAAGTTCTGTTTTTTAAAAAGATGGCAAGAATGAACGACTCCATGTCTTTCTCAGTGAATGGCAGCTGTCTTGTGACCCCGATGGGAGAGACCTGGAGAAGTTACCCTCATCTTGAACATTCTGAATGTGGCAGAGCATCAGAAACAAAACAAAGAACAGCCTCATCCTGTGAGGACGTGAAGTCAACAGAGCCACCTGTCTTTGGATTTTCCATGCTGTGAGATTGTAAAATTCCTGGTTGTTTGAGCGAGTTGAGTTGTACTGCCCGTGATTGTATTTTGTCTTGTTGGTTTTGTCGTTTGCAATGGACGCCCCACCCTGGAACAAAGTGGGTGTGAACTGAGGGAGGGCGAATCTCTGCTGCACCCTTCTCTAAAGGCTGGCAAGCAGCTCCACTTCCACATACCAGAGTTCAAGAGGTCCAGCTGCTCAAATTAGAGCTTGAGAATCATCGCAGGGGATCGCCTGGATTCCACTGGGGGGCAAAAAGACAACAAGATCTGTGAATTCTGAAGGTGCATGTCTTTGCTTTCTTGAAAGGGGGATAACAAGTATGTTTTCTCTTGGGAAGACTCTAGAACTGCCTGTACTCCCAGACCACAGAGAACATTCCCAGAAGAAAGCCTGTAGGATTTTCTTTGTGGTTTGACTCCTCCTTCCAAACCCGCCCTTAGTTTCACCTTCTCCCCTGTCCTAGCCCAAAACCTGGAGCATGCAGCCCAGGCAAATCTCCTAGGATGTATGCAGGCTGAATCTCTCATCTGGTGCTTTGTTGCAAGTCCCACAGGACCCTGTCTTAAAATCTTGGTGCTGCCATGTTGTGGGTGAGACTGGGCAGCCACGGGAAAGTGAAGCCCAGGTTGCTTCCCCAGAGAGAACTGTGGTCCAACAGGAATGTTTTGGACATCCTCCTCCAGTGGAGGGGACTTTCCTGGGGATCATGCATTACTCTGAGAGTGAAAAAGAACTGGAATAGAACTCAGAGGTCATTAAGTCCAGCTCTCTCATACTCAGATGAGAAAGTCAAGGACAAAAGAGGGAGGCATGTTCCCAAGATCCAGGGCTACCCCACTAACACTTGCCAGACTAAGCTGTTACTATTCCCCATGTCCCCATCCCCATTTCCTGTGTCTTCGTCTCTTCTCATGCTCTTTCCTCACCTGTGAAATGGGCGTTTGGACTTCGTAAACTTGTGATGAAGATTAACTGAGAGCCACTCCTAGTTCAAACTCCTGTGCAGGGTCTGGTACTCACAATAAATGCTCGATGAATGGCTGTTGGCTTTCCTTCCCTTGAGAGGTCTTCAGTGAGGGAGCTGAACATACACGGCTTAGAGACAGGCATTGGCTCTTCTGCCGACTGCTTGGGTGACCTGGGAACCCTTCTCCCAACTGGACCACAACTTTCTCTAGAGGAAGGACTGAGCCAGGATCCTCACTTAAGTAGCCACGTTCCTGGATCAGAGAGTGCTCGAGTCACAACTTAATAACAACGTTAAGGTTGTTTAAGAACCTTAAGAGTTCTAAGAACCCATTTATTGTGTCTAAGAACACATTTATTAGAGAAAAAGAGAAGAAAGAATAGGGTTTTTGCTGTTTTAAGAGGATTGGCAGAAGGCAGGAATCAAGGGAGAAAGAAAGTGGAGCAGGAAAGCCCAGTTTCATGGTCCTGCCTCCAACTGAGCCAGTCCCTCAGCAAGGTCACTGGCCCCCCATTGTATCCTTCATTGCCACCAAGCAGCCTTATTAAGTGACTGCTGTGTATCAAGAAAGTGCAGTGGGAACTGGTCAGCTCTGGATGGACAGAGGCAAAAGTCTGTAGGCATGAGAGGCAGATGGATATCTAATATCATAGCCAAGTATTGGAGCCAGGGCAGAGGTGGGACAGATTAATTACAATTGGGGCAGACAGAAAAAAGCCTGGCCACTGGCCCCTGGATTCTGTTGGTGGGAACAGGGTTTCAACCTCACCGGCAAGCCAGTGTGCAGACTGCATCAAGGCATTCTCGCAAAAGGATGAAGCTTAGGAACACACTTCCAGGAGGGATGAAACCCAGATAACCAACCTGCAGGCAGTCAGCCTCAAATACCCTCCTGAGTTGCTTGCAGAGTGTGGCACCCTAGCCACTAGTCTTCTCCCCCAGGGCTAGGACTGAGTGGCATGCAAAGGCTAACTGGAATCCTAAGAAACACACAAGGAAAAGATAGTGTATCAGAACAGGAACTTGGTACAGGGATCTAGGCAGGATACAAAGGTGAACTGGAGAGCAGGTCTGGGTCACGGGGATGCTGTCAGGTAAAAGGAAGTGTTCATTTCTCAGCACTGGAGCACTGCCTACTCCTAACATGGGAAGTAAATGGAGGCTCTGTCTAAGATAGCCTGCATCACATTTGGTCATGGAACCCTGGGGTAGCAATGAGCCTGCAGTAGCTCTGCTGAGAGGACGATGATGACTGCAGAGGCCCCAAAAGAACCCATCTGATGAACATTTCCCTCCTAAGAGCTTCCAGAAGCCAGGTAGCCAGTACAGGCACAGCCCCATGACTGAGTCTTTCTTTTTGGACTTGGAGGTGTTTAACTCTCCTGTGGGGGGCCCACAAGGATTTACGCAGGAAATGGCCATAATTAATTAGAAAGGATTTCTCTCTTCTCTTTTTCTCTATTAAATGTATTCTTAGACCCTGTATTGTCATTAAGCTATGACTCCAGCACTCTCTGATCCAGGAACGTGGCTATTTAAATGAGGGTCCCAGGCTCAGTCCTTGCTCTTAAGAAAGTTGTGGTCCAGTTGTGGACCTTTCTAATATCTTTCTAATTCATTATGGATATTTCCTGCTTGAATCCTTGCCTGCTTCTCTTTCTACTCTACGAAAGTTCTAAGGGAGATTGCATCTACCCCTAGGGCTTTGGGTGGCCCCTGCCAACCACATGTCAGGCTGTCCCTGCCAGGCCTCGCTCCTGTGCTGTGGAGCCACTTCCTGGAGCTGCTTTCTCAGCTTCCTCTCTTTTGCAGCTCGCAAGCACTGGAGACTCAACCGCTCTGAAAGTGAGCCTGTCATTTCTCCCTTGCAAATCTGCTTCTCACACTGAATATTTTTATTCAGCAAATGTCATTGTCATCCACCCAGTCACCAAAATGAGTAATTGAGGATTACCCCCTCCTTTTCTTTTATCTTCCCTTCCTCTTACCTCTATCATGGAATCATTTCCAAGACCTGCAAATTCCACCTTCTAAACATGCTCCACTCCCAGACCACCCCCTACCCCCGGCACCCATCATTACTGTAACAACCGTCTGCATGGATTCTTCTCTCATCCTCAGTCTTGGATGACTTCCCAACCACAATTCCATCTCTCCTCCTTGCAATGGGAGTCCTCTTTCTAAAGCACAAACCTGATCATGTCACACCCTTACATCATATCTTTCGGTGGCATCCCAGGCTCTCTGGGAGAAAATCCAGACTCCTTAGCATGATGTGCAAGGTCCCACTCCTCTCTTTGATCATCTCTCACTTCTTCCCCATAGAAACGGTTCTTTTTGGCCATATGGAAATACATGTGATTGGAGAAATGTACTTTGTCTTTTAAGTGGCCTAACCTGTGTATATTTTATTCCCTCTACTTAACCTTCCAAAGTCCACCCAGGCAGGCATAGCTTCTGTTTATCAGCATTCCTTGGCTCTGAGCAGGGTGTGGTACTGTCGCCACTATCCTTCTCCCCCAAGACTGGCAGAAACTGGCCCTTCCTGCCCCACTCTCCGAACAGAGCTTGGTGTCCTCTGTGCTTTCCACTATCAGAGCATTAAAAGTGCTAATTTCACTGATTGTTGTCCAATTATATGCTTCCAGGCTGTGAAGTTTATCTCTGTACCCTGGAGCCTAGCACAGTGCCTGGCACTTAGGAGGCACTTCGTCAAAAGCAGATGAATGAATAAATGAGTTCACTGGACACAGTTTTATTTTGATTTCTGTGTTTGTCCTTGGGAAACAGATCAAGGAAGGGAGATTTCCAGGTGTCTTCCCTTTGGAGGCTCCTATATGCCAGACACACACACCTTCCCCTCCTCTCCTTGGGGAGAAGGCCTGGTGCCTCATACAGCTGTGTCCTTAGCTAGTTAACTCAGAGGACACTCCTTCTGCCAGATGCTGCTTGGGTGAGAGGAATGGCTCGTAGCCTCCTCCATTGCAGCAGAGAAGGTTATAAAACTCCACAAAGAGAAAAGGTTGGCTTGCTGCTTCCAGACAAGAATTAATAGGTGCAACCCATAATCCTGTCTTGAGGGAGATGAAGGGAAAAAGGAGAGCGAGAACATAATGGCCAAATCCACCCGTCTTGCTGCCTGAGTGCCTCTCTGGTGTTTGAAGTTCAATGCATAGAAAACGAGCAGAGAGGCTCAGGAGTCAGCACTTTGGGGGAGTCCAGCATGTGGCAGCCTCCAGGGAAGCTCCAGCTCACCCCTGCCATCCAGCAGAGACGCAGAGGAGATCAAGGGAGCAGAGCTCAGGCTCGCTCTCATCCCACCCGCTGGGATGGCAGCTGCTGGGGATATTTAGCCTATTCTGGTACCTCTGACCGGAGGAGTCAGACAGCCACTCGGTGCTGAAGGAGATAGTTGGGATGCTGCGGTACAATCCCCTTCACCTTTTCAGGTGAGGAACCAGAGGCCAGGCCAGGGCAAGGGACTCTTCCTCTGGAGTCACACGAGGAGGGGAGGCTGACAGGGGCGGGGTTAGTGGAAGGGCCGGTTAGCTCACACAAACATACAGGATCCTCCCCATCTCGACAGCTTCAAAGTGGCCTGCTCCCCTAGGCCTGTGCTGGTGGGTTTGTCCATCCCACTGGGGACTTAGCCTGAATGCTTGCCCATCTATCTGGGCACAGAGCAACTGTCTCAAGCACCTGAAGTGGTGTGGGGTATGCTCCTCCCAGAGTTAGAGGCCCTCACCTGAGCTGATTTGGGGGCCCTTTTCAAGTAGGCCTTGCTTCTTCTCCAACCAACCCCAGCGTCAACCCCTCATGCCCAGAACAGTGATGGCCATGAGGGAAGGGCTCAGTACAGGGGTGTGGATGACTTGGATGATGTTGATCATAGTAGCAATTGTCAGCATTTATTGAGAGCTTACTGAGAACCTTGTACTTTGGATACATGACCTCATTTGTTCTTCCCAGCAAGTCATGACAGGCTCCTGCTCTTATGTCATGGGGATCACAAAAACGCCTGCCTCTCAGTCAGGGTGAAGATAGAAGGGGTTAATACCTGGAAAGCACTTTCACAATGCCTGATACCTAGGGAGTATTTAATCAATATCACTCATTCACCCCCTACACATTCATGCATTCCTTCAACAATTCATTCAACAAAGGCTTACTGTGTGCTCCGTGTTGGGAACTGTTCTCATCTCTGGGGATCTGTCTGAAACTAAACACTGTGCCCTCATAAGGATCAGTGCAAGCAAAGGGAGACAGACAATAAATAAATAAGTAAAAGGAAGATAATAGGCTAGATGGCAATAAGGACCATGGAGAAAGATGAAATAGGGAGGTCAGAGAGGAAGTGCCAGGGCTGGGGTTAGAGAAGTTCTCGCTGAGAAGGTAACATTTGAGCAAAGTCATGGAGCAGGTGAGGGATGTGTCCTCACATGTATATCTGGGGTAAAGGCTTTGCAGGTAGACGGTACTACAAAGGCAAAGGGCTTGAATCTGGAGGGTGCGTGGTCAGTTCAAAGAATAGAGTTAGGCTGGTGTAGTCTGGGCAGAGAGGACCAGTGAGATGAGGCTTGAATGGGAGCCAAACTGTGAGGGCAGAGCCTGTGAGGCCTTGTAGGCTCCAGGGAATGTTTTGGCTTTTACTTTGAGTGAGACGGAGACCCTTTACAGGATTTGAGGGGTGCAAATGACTTACATTATAGTAGGATCACTCCACAACCTTCCTGCAGCTGTACACTGGGAGCTAGGGAAGCTTAGAGATAAGCCAGGAGCTGATGCAGTAGAGGAGTTGGTAGCTTGGAGCAAGGTGGTGGAGATTTAGTTGGGAAGTAGTAGTTTCCTTGATACATTTTGAAGATAATCCTGGGAGACTGGGTTATTGGGCAGGAAGGACAAATCTGAGAACTGTGGCTTGAGCAAGCAGGAGGATGGAGCTGATGTTCACTCAGACAGGGAGACCAGGAGAGGCCTGGTTTGGAGTGGGAAATCAGAAGTTGAGCTTCAACCTGCTAAGTTTGAGACTCCTACTTGATATTCAAGCAGAGATGTCAAGTAGCACTGGATATAGCCTTCTACCATTCAAGGGAAAGGTATGTGCTGGAGTTCTAAATTTGAGAGTTACACGCTCACTTTACAGTAAATAAAACTGAGCGTGGCGGCAGGCGATTAACTTGCCAAGGGCTAGTAAGTGTGGTGGGGGGTGAAGCTGGAGTCCGTATCCACTCTGCTTTATTTTCTACCCTGAGGCATCCCGAGGACAAGGGCTGAGTCTTCTTAAGGATGGGAAGGAAAGAGTAAATGTGACTCAAAGGCTGTCTATGCAGGATGAGACCAGGGGAGAGAGGGTGACCTAGAACTTGGCAGGCCAAAGACAAGGCACTGTCCTAAGAGCAGTCCGGTAGTGCTAACTGGATGGGGGCACAGAGCCCTGTTGGTCTAAGTTTGGTCTGTGTGAGACAGTTACAGCTAAAGGATGGGAGAGTATTATTTTTTGGTCTTGCATGCCCCATGTGCTGAGGACATGTACTACCTATCCAGCATAGTTTGAAGTCCAACAGGAGAATGCAAAGTGGTCTGTATGCCTGGCTCTGCCCTAGTACATGCAGCATCTTAGCAAATACTTATTCTCTGAAAGGTTAGGGGGTCAAGGGAATGCTTTCTGTTGTGTGGAGTCTCTGGAGGTAAGAGATCTTCTGGGCACAACCTGCAACCTCTTCTGGTGGAGCGAGCATGGATGAGATCCCTCCTAGGTCTGGTGGTTGGGATCCTTCTTTCACAAGTCTGAAAATTCCCAAGGGGGCGTCCAGTGGAGTCACCCTTCCATGGCCAAGGTCATGACTGATGGAATGCTTGACATGATTTGAAAGGCAGAAACTCGCCCACATTCCTCTTCCTGCAGCCATCTCGGCATCACTCTGCTCCTGAGGCCTGGTGCTCCACCACTGTGGCTGCAATCCAAGGCACTAAGGCCTGTCTCACTTTGAGTTAAGATCTCACCAAGATCTTCTGCTTGTGAAGCTGTTATTAGCTGTTACTGCCTCGGCTTAGGGTATTATTGTAGCCAGCTGTGGGCAGGCATGTAAGGGGAGGTGGGGAGAAGCTCCAGAGCAGGGGCAGTGAGGAAACTTGACCTGAATGGAGGCTTAGGGCCTACAGGAAATGGGCAGGCTGGGCAGGGATGCTGCGGGGCAGGGTCCTGGGAGTTGGAAGGAGGAACATGCCAGAGACCCTAGTGAAGGAGTCATATGGAAGCCCCTGTTGATTGTGTTGCAGACAACCTTGTCAGAACTGATCCCCCGTGCATGTGTATGTTAGTGTGTGAATGTGGGTAGTGTGTGTGCAAACATATGTCAGATAGTGTGTGTGGGTATGAATATGTGAGTATGGATGTGAGATTGTGTGTGTGTGAGAGAGTGTGGATGAGTGTGGGGGTCTGTAAACGTGTGTGTGTAGAACTGTGTGTTAGGGTGAGTGTGTGTGAGATGGGATGAGTGGGCAAGTGAACTTACGAGTGTGTGAATAACTGAGATAATGTGAGTGTGTGTGAATGTGTGAATGGGTACATGGGTATGACTGAGTATGAGGTAATAGTGTGCAAGGGATGTGAACATGTGTGTGTATTACTGACATAATGTGTATGAATGTGAATTCTGAGTGTGTATGTCTATCAAGATAGTGTGTGTGAATGGTGTGCATATATGACTGTGAGACTAAATGTGAATGTTGGGTATGTGTATGCCTGTGTGTGAGACTGAGTGTGAATGATGAGTGTCTATGGCTGAGTGTGAATTTGGAGTGTGAATTCAGAGTGTGAGATTGTAAATGTTGAGTGTGTTAGTGTGTATGACTGAGATAATGTGTAAGTATGAATTCTGAGTGTGTGTTTGACAGTGTGTGTGAGTGTGAACGTCGAATATGTGTACGACTGTGAGACAGTGGTGTGTGAATTGAGTGTGTATGAGTGTGAGATAGTGTGTGTAGGTTAATGGTGAGTGTGTATGTGTGAGACTGTGAATTCTGACTGTGTATGACTGTGAGTTAGTGTGTGTGAATTCTGAGTGTGTGCCTGTTAGTGTGTGTGAGTGTGAATTCTGAATGTAAGTACGACTGTGAGATTATGTGTGAGCTAGTGTGTGGCTGAATTCTGAGGGTGCATGATAACTGCGTGTGATAACATGTGAGTGTGAATTCTGTGTGTGTGTGTGTGAATGATGACTGTGTGTATGACTGTAAGTGAGATAGTGTGAGTGAATGTGGTAGGAATGTGAAAGCATGGATGTTTGAGGAAGGAGGGGTGGACACGGGAAGAGGTTCCTCCCAGGGCAGCCCTTTACTAACCTGCTCTGGGTGATGCCCCATGGGAGCAGACAGGAGGCATCCCTGGCACCTGTGTCTGCATCTGTAGTTTTGAGAGCTTGCACCCTGCCTCCTTTCCTTAAGCATTTACATCACGCCCTTGCAAAAAGCTCCCCTCATCCCAACAGTGAAATAAAACGCAAAAGGCACAGGCCTGTGTGGGGAGATCAAAGCCTGCCCTCCTAGCCTGGGCTCCCCACTCACCTCCCGCCCCCTCCCCACCCCCGCTCCCTCTCTTTATTCTGATCACTCGCCTTTTCTTCAAAGGCCTCCTTTCTGGAAGAGGAATTGTGCATACTTTGTCTCAAACATGCTGTATTTTTTGTTAACAGCAGCACTGCACCAAAAGAGATCAAATGAGGGGCAGGGAAAAAAGAAAAAAGAACCCACCCCCCAAATAAATAATTTCACCCTCCCCAACCTGGGAAAGGGGGGCTTGAGAAGAGGAGAGGGTACAGAGACTTCAGCCCCCCTCGGTTCTTCCCGTGAGGTGGTCTGGAGGAGCCAGTGAGGGTCTGTCGGCATCCCAACACCACCTACTGCTATTTTACTGACACTTTCTAATTCTGCCTCTAGTCTGATTCTTGCCTAAAATTTTTGGCTGCCCTGTTTGTGGGTGAGGGAGTGGTGATTAAGGAAGGAAAAGGCATCCTGCCTAACTGGCCTCTGCCAGGCCTGAGCCCCCAGCCTCTAGACCCTGCCATATTCACACACTCTGATCCAGACAGAATTGCATTTTGTTTTTTAAACTAACCTGTCAGATCTGGTTATATTGCTGGCATGTATTCTTTTCTCTTGCATTCTCCCTGAATTCCCTTGTGTCCTTCAGGCTGAAAGTGTGGTGCAACTAGGTTGCAGAGTAAATTCAGCAGAAAGAGTAATTTCCAACTCTTGTAGGATGTAGAGTCTGGGATTCTAGGACCCTCGGGATTCCTGGCAAGCGAGCACAGATGAGATGGGCCCGGGCAATGAGAGTCAGACTACCAGGCAGTCTCAAAGGCCAGGTGGCCCTGCCCAGCCAGCCCTCTGCTCAGCACAGCAGGAGTGGCCCTATAGTTCCCTATGGGGTATGAATTTACACCAGATCCCAAAGGTTATCAGATGAGTGAGCTGACCAATGAAGGCAGGAGAAGTAAATCATCAATATCCTCTCTTTCACTGAGCACTTGATACTTTTAAGTCACCATAGAGGCTGGACATGGTGGCTCACACCTGTAATCCGAGCACTTTGGGAGGCCAAGGTGGGCAGATCACCTGAGGTCGGGAGTTTGTGACCAGCCTGACCAACATGGAGAAACCCCATCTCTACAAAAAATACAAAATTAACCAGATGTGGTGGTGTGTGCCTGTAATCCCAGCTACTTGGGAGGCTAAAGCAGGAGAATCGCTTGCACTGGGGAGGCAGAGGTTGCAGTGAGCTGAGATTGTACCATTGGACTCCAGCCTGGGCAACAAGAGTGAAACTCGGTCTCAAAAAAAAAAATTAACTGGGCATGGTGGTGTAAGCCTGTAATCCCAACTACTTGGCAGGTTGAGGCAGGAGAATTGCTTGAGCCCAGGAGGTGGAGGTTGCAGTGAGTTGAGATGGCACTACTGCCCTCTAGCCTGGGTGACAGAGAGAGAGACACTGTCTCAAAAACAACAACAAAAAGAAAGTCACCGTAGAATTACAGAGATGTGTATGACCAGTGTCTTAGTCCATTCCAGCTGCCATAACAAAATACCTTAGACCAGGTAATTTATAAACTACAGAAATTTATTGCTCACAGCTCTGGAGGTTTGGAAGTCCAAAATTAAGGCATCAGCACATTCAGTGCCTGGTGAGGGCCTGGACTTCATAGATGGCTCCTTCTATGTGTCCCACATGGCAGCAGGGTAAGGGAGACAAGCCTCTTTTATAAGGGCATTAATCCCATTCATGAGCCCTCATGATCTCATCACCTCCCAAGGATACTTTCTCTTGATATTTTCATAGTGATGATAAAGTTTCAACACATCAAACAGCAACATTAAGAACACAGCAATTGGTCTATGCAATTTAGGCATGTGTATTTTAGCTGAAAACTTGAGAATGGCAGCAGGAAACAAGCCAGGAAGGGACTGTGGATCAAGAAACAGTGGGATCCTGGGGGTAATGGACAGGGAAAGCCCCAGGGAGGTTGTGTCTGCACCTGGTATTGAAGGCCTGGCAGGATGTCAAGGTGCATGGGTAGGCAGAGAGTTGGCAGGAAGCATGAAGAAAGGCTTGAGTTGAGAAGCAAACAAGGTATGGTAAAAGGCTCCACTGGAGTGGATTCCTTGCAGAGGAGTTAGGAATCAAATGGCCGATTCTGGCACAGGCAACTAAGCATCCCACAAATAAATATCACTCTGGGTATTGGAAATCAATGGACATTTAGTGTTTCAAATAAAGATCGTTTCCAAGGTCATATAGGTTTTATCCTGTTTCCTTCTAGGAGTTTTATAGTTTTTCATTCTACATTTAGGCTCTTGGTCTATTTTGAGTTAATTTTTGTGGAGGATATAAGATCTGTGCCTAGATTCAATTTTTTGCATGTGGATGTTCAGTTGTTCCAGCACATTTGTTGAAAAGACATTTTTTCTCCATTGTATTGCCTTTGCCACTTTGTCAAAGATCAATGGGCATTTAGTGTTTTGTATGTGGTATGACACTTAAATAGTAGAAAATGGTATGTGGAAGATGGTGAGTCTCACGTGCACCCTGTCTCTCAGCTGCTCAGTTCTCTCTAATGGTAACCTGCTTTATGCTTCTTGCATGTTTCAGAGCAATTCTTTGCATATTCAAGAACTTATGAACACTGTTGATTAATTTATTTGTGGATATAAATGGCTATTAAACACATTGCTATGCATCATTCTTTTTTTTAATCTTAAGACTATTTTTATTTTTTATTTCCATAGGTTTTTGGGGAACAGGTGGTATTTGGTTACATAAATAAGTTCTTTTTTTTTTTTTTTTTTTTTTTTTGAGTTGGAGTCTCATTCTTCACCCAGGCTGGAGTGCAGTGGCACAATCTTGGTTCACTGTAACCTCTGCCTCTTAGGTTTAAGTGATTCTCCTGCCTCAGCCTCCTGAGTAGCTGGGATTACAGGCATGCACAATCACACCCAGCTAATTTTTGTGTTTTTAGTCGAGATAGGGTCTCATCATGTTGCCCAGGCTGGTCTCGAACTCCTGACCTCCAGTGATCTGCCCATCTCAGCCTCCAAGAATCAGTTCTTTAGTGGTGATTTCTGAGATTTTGGTGCACCCATCACCTGAGCAGTATACACTGTACCCAATTGGTAGTCTTTTATTCCTCACCCTCCCTTTCCCTGCAAGTCCCCAAAGTCCATTGTATCATTCTTATGCCTTTGCATCCTCAAAGCTTAGCTCCCACTTATGAGTGAGAACATAAAATGTTTGGTTTTCCATTCCTGAATTACTTCACTTAGAATAATGGTCTACAGTTCCATCCAGGTTGCCGCAAATGCCATTAGTTCACTGCAAAATTCCTTTTTATGGCCAGTGGTAGTCCACGGTGTGTATGTGTATGTATATGTATATGTGTGTGTGTGTGTGTGTATACATACACACACACACACACACACACACACACACACACACATAGTATTGAGAAATTTTGATTATATATACGCCAAAATTTCTTTATCCACTCGTTGATTAATGGGCATTAGGGCTGGTTCCATATTTTTGCAATTGTAAATTGTGCTGCTATAAACATGCGTGTGCAAGTATCTTTTTCTTATAATGACTTTAAAGAGTCTACTTCTAAATAGAAATTTCAAGTTCACTGAAAAATTGAGAGGAAGGTACAGAGAGTTCCCATATAATCTCTGCCACCACACATACACAGCCTTCCACACTATCAACATCCCCCAGTAGAAGAGCACATTTGTTACAATCAATGAATCTTTCTCCTCCAAATCCAGGGAGACTTCATTAGTTCAATTAATGGAGACTCCATTAGTTCAATGGAGACTCCATTGACACATCATTATCACCCAAAGTCCATAGATTATATTATATTAGGGTTCACTCTTGGTATTGTACATTTTATGGGTTTAGACAAATGTATAATGACACGTATCTGCCATTTTATATCGAACATTATGATACATCATCACACAGAGCATTTTCAGTTCTGTAAAAATTCTCCATGCTGCTGCTATTCATTCCTTCCCCACCCCTAACGCTTGGCGACCATTGATCTTTTCACTATCTCCGTAAGTTTTGCCTTATCCAGGATATCGTATAGTTGGAACCATACAGTATGTAATCTTTTCAGATTGGCTTCTTTCACTTCATAATATGCATTTAAGGTTTCTCAGTGTCTTTTCATGACTTGATAGCCATTTCTTTTTAGCACTGAATTCTATTGTGTGAATGTATCACAGTTTATCTGTTCACCTACCTAAAGAAATCTTGCTTGCTTCCAAGTTTGGCAGTTATGAAAAAAGCTGCTATTAACATCTGTGTGCAGGTTTTTTTGTGGATGTAAGACTTCACCTCCTTTGGGTGGATACCAAGGAGTGCGATTGCTGATCATATGGTAAAAGTATGTTTATCTTTATGAGAAACTGCCAACCTGTCTTCCAAAGTGGCTGTCCCATTTGGCATTCTCACCAGCAAAGAATGAAAGTTACTGGGCCAGGCGCGGTGGCTCACACCTGTAATCCCAGCACTTTGGGAGGCTGAGGCGGGCGGATCACGAGGTCAGGAGATCGAGACCATCCTGGCTAACATGGTGAAACCCCATCTCTACTAAAAACACAAAAAATAAGCCGGATGTGGTGGCGGGTGCCTGTAGTCCCAGCTGCACAGGAGGCTGAGGCAGGAGAATGGCATGAACCCGGGAGGCAGAGTTTGCAGTGAGCCGAGATTGCACCATTGCACTCCAGCCTGGGCGATAGAGCAAGACTCCGTCTCAAAAAAAAAAAAAAAAAAAAAAAGTTACTGTTGTTCCAAATTGTTATTATCATTTGCTGTTGTCAGTGTTCTGGATTTTGGCCACTCTAATAGGTGTGAAGTGGTATCTTGTTTTAATTTGCATTTCCCTAGTGACATAAGATGTGCAACATCTTTTCCTATGCTTATTTACCATCTGTATGTCTTCTTTGGTGAGGTGAAGTATTTGTTAAGGTCCTGGCTCTTTTTAAAAAGTGTTGTTTGTTTTCTTATTTTTGAGTTTTGAGAGCTATTTGTATATTTTGACAACAATCCATTATCATATGTATCTTTTGCAAGTATTTTCTCCCAGTCTGTGGTTCGTCTTCTTATTCTCCTGACATTGTCTTTTGCAGAGCAGAAGTTTATAATTTTAATAAAGTCCAGCTTATCAATTATTTCTTTCATGGATCATGCCTTTGGCATTGTATCTAAAAAATTATGACCATATCCAAGGTTGCATAGATTTAGTCCTTTTACCTAATAAGTAAGGTTTTAAAGTTTTTTAATATACATTTAAGCTTATGACCCATTTTGAGTTAGTTTTTGTGAAGGATATAAGATCCGTGCCTAGATTCAATTATTTGCATGTGGATGTTCAGTTGTTCCAGCACCATTTGTTGAAAAGACATTTTTCTTCATTGTGTTGCCTTTGCTGCTTTGTCAAAAATCGGTTGACTATGGTTATGTATGTCTATTTCTGGGTTCTCTATTCTTTTCCATTAATCAGTTTCTCCGTTCTTTCACCACTACTACACTGTCTTCATTCCTGTAGTTTTATAGTTAAGTCTCAAAGTCTGTTAGTGTCAATCCTTCAACTTTGTTCACCTTCAATATTTTTTTCTTTTTAAATTTTTATAGGTTTAGAAGGGTACAAGTGTAGCTTTGTTAAATGGATATATTGTATAGTTGTAAAATTTGGACTTTTAGTGTAGCCTTCACCCCAATAGTGTGCATTGTACCCATTAAGTAATTTCTTATCCTTCATCCACCTCCCACCCTCTCACACTTCCAAGTCTCCACTGTTTCTTATTCCACTTTGTGTGTCCATGTGTACACGTTATTTAGCTCCTACTTATATGTCAGAACATGCAGTATTTGACTTTGTTTCTGAGCCATTTCACTTATGATAATGGTGTACACGTTATTTAGCTCCTACTTATATGTCAGAACATGCAGTATTTGACTTTGTTTCTGAGACATTTCACTTATGATAATGGTGTACACGTTATTTAGCTCCTACTTTTATGTCAGAACATGCAGTATTTGACTTTGTTTCTGAGCCATTTCACTTATGATAATGGTGTACACGTTATTTAGCTCCTACTTATATGTCAGAACATGCAGTATTTGACTTTGTTTCTGAGCCATTTCACTTATGATAATGGCCTTCAGTTTCATCCATGTTGTTGCACAAGGCATGGTTTTACTTTTTTTGTCTGAATTTTCCATCATATATACATGCATACATACATACACACACACATACACATATATACACACATACTGTATTTTAGAAAATCTAATCATTCATTGATGGGCGCTTACATTGATTCCACATCTTTGCTGTTGCAAATAGTACTATAATAAACATAGGAGTGCAGGTACTATTCTGGGTCTTTTGCCTCTCTCTAAAATTTTAAATCAACTTTTTAATAACTGTAAAATAACTTGCTTGTATTTGGATTAGGATTGCATTGAATCTATATGTGAAGTTGTAAAGAACTGACATCTTGACTATATTGAGTCTTCCTATCAATGAACACGGAACATGTCTCCATCTACTTAGTTCTTTTATTTCTTTCATTAGAGTTTTGTAGTTTTTTTTAATACAGATCTAGTATGTATTTTGTCAGATTTATACCTAAGTATTTAATTTTTTGGAGTGCCAATGTAAATGGCATTGTGTTTTTGATTTCAAATTCTACTTATTCATTGCTGGTACATAGGGAAGCAATTGATTTTGTATATTAACCTTGCTTCTTGTAATGTTGCTATAATCACTTATTAGTTTCAAATATTTTTGTTGTTGATTCTTTCTGATTTTCTACATAGGAACCCTGTCATCTGAGATCAGAAAGTTTTATTTCTTACTACCAATCTGTATACCTTTATTTTTCTTTATACACAATATGTTTACATACTTATGGGGTACATGTGATATTTTGTTACATGCATGGTATGTGTAATGTTCAAGTTGATGTGTTTAGGGTATTCATCTACTCAATGTATTTATCATTTCTGTGTGTTGGGGCCATTTCAAGACCTCTCTTCTGACTATTTGGAAATATACAAGATGTTGTTAACTGTAGTCACTTGACTCTGCTACCAAACATTAGAATGTATTCCTTCTATTTAGCTGTATATTTGTACCCATTAAGCAATCTCTCTTGATCCCTTTCCGTCCCTACCTACCCACATTCCCATACTCTGGCATCTATCATTCTACGCTCTACCTCAATGAGACTCACTTTACTAGCACCTACATATAACTAGCACCTACATATACTAGCACCTACATTTACTAGCACCTATGTATAACTGAGAATATGTGATATTTGTCTTTCTGGCTTATTTCACTTATGATGACCTCCAGTTCCAGTCATTTTCCTGCAAATGACATAGTTTTAGTCTTTTTTATCACTGAATAATATTCCGTTGTGTGTATTTTCATATTTTCTTTATTTGTCTGTTGATGAACACTTAGTTTGAGTCCACCATATCTTTGGTATTGTGAATAGTCCTGCAATAAACATGAGGGTGTAGTTATCTTTCTGAACAGGCTGATTTCCTTTTCTTTGGATAAATAACCACTATTGGGATTACTGGATTACATGGTCGTTTTATTTTTAGTTTTTGGAGAAATTGCCATACTGTTTTCCATAGTTGCTATACTAATTTACATTCCCACCAGTGGTATGTAAGAGTTCCTTTTTCTCCATGTCCTTGCAGCATCTGTTAATTTTTGTCTTTTTAGTAATAACCATTTAACTGGGGTAAGATGATATCTCACTGTAGTTTTCACTTGCACTCTCTGATGAACAGTGATAGTGAACATTTTTTCATATACCTGTTGACCATTTGTATGTCTTCTTTTAAGAAATGTCTATTTATGTCCTTTGCTTTATTTTTAATGGGATTATTTGTTTTTTGACTGTTGAGACATTTGAATTCCTTGTGTATTCTGGATATTATAATGTCCCTTCTCAGATAAATAGTTTGAAAATATTTTCTCTTATTCAACAAATTGTCTCTTCACTCTGTTGATTGTTTCCTTTGCTTTGGAGAAGCTTTTTAGTTTAAGATAATTTTATTTGTCTATTTTTGTTTTGTTGCCTGTGGTTTTGAGGTCTTAGCTGTAACATCTTTACGTAGACCAATGTCCTGAAGTGTTGCTTCTGTGTTTTCTTCTAGTAGTTTTGTAGTTTGGGGGCTTATGTTTAGTTCTTTAATCCATCTTGACTTTACTTTTGCATATGGTGGGAGATAGGGGTCCAGGTTCGCTCCCTGCATATGGATATCCAGTTTTCCTAGCACTGGTTGTTGAAGAGACCATCCTTTTCCCAACATATATTCTTGGCACCTTTGTTGAAAATCAGCTGGTTGTAAGTACATGGATTTATTTTCAAGTCTCTATTCTGTTCCATTGGGCTGTGTGTCTGTTTTTATGCCAAATATCCTGCTGCTTTGGTTACTATAGCCTTGCAATATATTTTGAAGTCAGATAGTGTTATGCCTCCAGCTTTATTTTGTTTCTTTGTTTAGGGTTGCTTTGGCTACTCAGGCTCTTTTTTTGGTTCCACATGACTTTTTTATATTCTTTCTATTCCTGTGAAAAATGACATTGGTATTTTGATAAGGATTGCATTGAATCTGTAGATTACTTTGGATAGTACGGTCATTTTAAAGACATTAATTCTTCTAATTTATGAACATGAGATGTTCTTCAATTTGTGACATCTAAAATTTCCTTTGTCAGAGTTTTGTAGCTTTTCTTTCACCTTCTCAGTTAAATTTATTCCTAGACATTTTTTTGTAGCAATTGTAAATGGAATTCCTTCTTGATTTGTTTCTTAGATAGTTCATTATTAGTGTACAGCCATGCTACTAATTTTTATATGTTGATTTTGTATCCTGCAAGTTTACTGGATTTATTTATCAGATCTAAGAGTTTTTTTTGGTGGAGTCTTTAGGTTTTTCTACGTAAAAGATCGTGTCATCCGCAAAGAGGGACACGTTGGCATCCTCTTTTCCAGTTTGGATGCCACTTATTTCTTTCTTTTATTTGATTGCTCTGGCTAGGACTTCCAGTACTATGTTGAATACAAGTGGTAAAAGTGGACATTCTTACCTTGTTCCAGTTTTTTTTTTTTTTTTTTTTTTTTGAGACGGAGTCTCACTCTTTTGCCCAAGCTGGACTGCAGTGGCGCTATCCCGGCTCACTGCAAGCTCCGCCTCTTGGGTTCATGCCATTCTCCTGCTTCAGCCTCCCGAGTAGCTGGGATTACAGGCGCCCACCACCACGCCTGGCTAATTTTTTGTATTTTTAGTAGAGACGGGGTTTCACCGTGTTAGCCAGGATGGTCTCGATCTCCTGACCTCGTGATCCGCCCGCCTCGGCCTCCCAAAGTGCTGGGATTACAGGCGTGAGCCACCGCGCCCGGCCTGTTCCAGTTCTTAGAAGAAAGACTTTCAGCTTTTGTCCCTTCAGTATGATGTTAGAGGTGGGCTTATTATATATGGCCCTTATTATGTTAAGGTATGTTCATTCTGTGCTGTTTGTTGAGAGTGTTTATCATGAAGGGACATTGAATTTTATCAAATGCTTTCTTTCTGCATCTATTGAGATGATCCTATGGTCTTTGCCTTTCATTCTGTTGATGTGATGTATTGTGTTTATGGATTTGCATATGTTGAACCATCTTTGCATCCTTGGGATAAATCTCACTTTTTCATGGTGTATTATCTTTCTGATAAACTGATTTTGTGTCCGTGTTCATCAGGGACATTGGCCTGTAGGTATCTTTTGTTGTTGTTGTATCCTTGTCTGGTTTTGGCATTTGGGAAATTCTCACCTCATGGAATGAGTTTGGGAGAATTTCTTCGTCTTCAATTTTTGGAAATAGTTTGAGGAGACTCATTGTGAATTCTTCTTTGTAACGTTGGTAGAATTTGGCAATGAAGCCATCCATTTCTGGACTTTGCTTTTTTGGGAGGCTTTTTATTACTGATTAAATCTCATTACTTGTCATTGTTCTGTCCAGGTTCTCTATTTCTTCCTGATTCAATCTTCATAGGATGTACGCACCCAAGAATGTATTCACTTCCTCTGTCCCTAGGCCCCCCAGTGGTATGTGTGGACACTGGCTGTGCTGTAGTAGGCAGGAGCAGGGTGATCCACAGGCCCCTGAGAGAATGCCTGGGTGGGAGCAGCGGCTATACTAAGGCCCTGTTGCTGGGAGGGCAGGGTGCTTTCTTTGTCAACAGCCATAAATAGGTGGCTTGGAAGTGCACACTTCAGCCCTCACTGGTGGCTATAAGCAGGTTAATATTTCCTCAGAATGCTTTTAAATGCATAGTAGTCCTGCTACCGTGAGTGGTGGAGTTGCTACCAATGACACTCTTCAGCCCTGGTAGCAGCAGCCAGCAGTGGTGTCCAGCTGGGGGTAGGGGATGTCAGTGAGTCTCCAGGGATCTGAAGATGCAGAGACTATTGGGCCGTAGGGCAGATGCAGTTTGGTGAGTGCTAGGCTCTCAAAATGGTGCTGTGCTGTAGCTGCTTTGGACTTGGGGGAGTGTAGGACCCAGTTTGAGCTCCCTTAAATGCTGTTGTGTTGTATCCAGGCAACTGCCTATGTTAGTCTTAGGGCCCTCATGTAATGAGCCTCCCCTGTGGCTCGGACTGCAGGAGTCCATGGTGGAAATGTAGAGTACTGGAGGTCATTCATTTCCTCCTTTTCTGCACTGGGGAGCCTCTCTAGGCTCCCAGCAGATCCCAGTAGAGTAGGCCATCTCACTCTCCTCTCCTTTCTCACCTTACGTGTTTTCTTTTACTTCTCTGTGAGTTATCTGTTGAATAGACCATGCTTTAGATGATCTAGTTGAAGTCTAAGTATCTACTTGCTATTTTAGTCCTTCTTTATGGAGGAGGTGGGTACCAGATGTCTAGTCAGGCATCTTGAAGCCTCTCCTCCCAATCTGTATCTCTTTTATATCCTTTTCTTGTGTTATTACATTAGCTAGGATTTATAGGACAATAATGAAAAAGATGCACCTTGTTTTTTAAAACTAAAAATGTACCTTAAGTTTTTATCATATAGTTAATTATAAAAGTGTCTTGTTGTTTTAATGGCTACATAATATTTCATTGTAATACGGTACTATTTATTTAGCCAGTGCCCTTCTTGTGGGTGTTTAGATTTTTTTTTCAATCTTTGCCTGTTGCAAAAGATGCTATGATTAATCATCCAACATATTCATTAATTTTGCATGAGCATGTTACTCTGCAGAGTAGGTTTAGTAATGAATCATTGGCTCAAAAGATAAATGCATTTTAACTTTTATAAATATCATAAAATTGCCCTTCAAAATGTCATAAACTTGCACAATGACTTAGAATTCATGAAAACAGCTGGTTTGTCCTAATCTTGCCAAATAGTGTTATTATGTGTTTTATTTGTGGCTAATATGATAGATGTAAACATGGTTTATTATTGAGATTCCATTGTACTACCCTTATTAGGAGTGGGGCTGAATACTTTTTATTTAGGAGCTATTCATAATTTTTTCTATACATCAGTCTTTGTATATTTTCATATTGAGTTTTTGGTGCTTTACTGATTTGTGGGAGTTCATTGTATATTTGTTTGGATAAATATTTCTGATATTTTACATGTCATTTTTCTTTTAATTTTTTATAGTACTTTTGTTACTGAGAAAAAGTTGAAATTAATGTAGCAAAATTTATCTTGATAAATCATAATTGTACTACAGTCTTTTTTTAATGGCTTTGCCAAGTTGAGATTATTTTTTAAAAACTAATGTTTTCTTCTGGTACATTTGTGATTCCATATTTTGTATTTAATGTGCTGATTATTCTATAGGGTATAAGCTAGGGATTGTAACTTTCATTTTTTGTTGGATGGCTATTCTGTGAATACAATTTATTGACTCATCCATCTTTACTAATATGTGAAACCACATTTATTACATACTACATTTTTAAGTGTATTTGGATATATTTGTGGATTCTATACTCTGTTTTATTGATACACTTATTCTTTTTTGTTTGTTTGAGTCAGAGTCTCACTTTTGCCCAGGCTGGAGTGCAGTGACACAATCTCGGCTCACTGCAAGCTCTGCCTTCTGGGCTCAAGCGATTCTCGTACCTCAGCCTCCCAAGTAGCTGGGATTATAGGGCATGTGCCACCATGCCCAGCTAATTTTTGTATTTTTAGTAGAGACCCGGTTTCATCATGTTGGCCAGGCTGGACTCAAACTCCTGACCTCAGTTGATCCACCCACCTCAGCCTCCCAAATTGCTGGGATTACAGGCGTGAACCACTGTGTCCAGCCTGATAAACTTATTTTTGATTTGGTACCGTAATGTATTAATTGCCATAGCTTTGTAATATGTTTTAATATCTGATAGATATTTATGGAGGTTCTCTTTTCATCTGATATGGCCAATTAATAGAGTCAAACTATCTTTGCATTTTTGGAATATACATCATTTATTCATGGATAATTATTCTTTTGGTCTTTTGCCCGATTCTCTGCATTATTCTTTCATGTAGAATGTACACACTGATATTCATCAAATGAAAGTAGTTTGCCGGTTTACTTTGTATTTGATTTGTCAGGTTTTACTATTAATGCTATTCTAACTTTATAAAAGTAATTTGGAAGTGATCTTTTGTTCTAAACATATTGAGCAATTTAAAATAGTACTGGAGATACATGTTAGTTACATGGTAGACAATTATTTTGTGAAACACTTTGGCATTATTTTTTTTCTTGCAAGAGCTTCTTGACATTAAAAAAAAAATCAATTTCTGCCAGGCCTGCCCTCCTAGCTACTCAGGAGGGTGAGGCAGGAGGATCACTTGGGACCAGGAGTTCAAGGCTGCAGTGCATTATGATCAGACCTGTGAATAGCCACTGCACTCAAGCCTAGGGAACATAGTGAGACCGCCATCTCTCTCTATTTTTTTTTAAGACGGAGTCTCACTCTGTTGCCCAGGTTGGAGTGCAGTGGCGTGATCTTGGCTCATTGCAACCTCTCCCTCCTAGGTTGAAGCCATTCTCCTGCCTTAGCCTCCTGAGTAGCTGGGACTACAGGTGTGTGCCACCACACTTGGCTGATTTTTGTATTTTTAGTAGAGATAGGGTTTCTCCATGTTGGTCAGGCTGTTCTCAAACTCCTCACCTCAAGTGATCTGCCCTCCTCAGCCTCCCAAAATGCTGGGATTACAGGCATGAGCCACGGCATCTGGCAAGAGCCCCATCTCTTAAAAAAGAATAATAATAATCAAATTTCTTCTTTGGTAAATGATGGGTTTAAGTGGTGTGTCTCCTCTGTAATTTACTTTAGTAATTTATGTTTTTCAAGAAAATGAGCCCTTTTTTTCAGGTTTTCACATCTATACACATATAATTGGATAAGATTATATGATTCTTTAATATCCTCTATATCAGTTTGGTAGGCTTTTCTTAAAAGTAACCCATGAAATATTTTAATATGATTAATTAGATGTTTTATGCAAAAGGAAAACAAGTTTAAATGTGAGATATTTGCAAATGGCAAACTTTATGATTATAAAATGAAGGATACAGAGGTGGTTCCATGCTACTACCTTGAGAAGTTTTTGAGATCTCATCATTTAAGGATCAAAGGTCAAGGATAGATAGTGGTTTGTTTTGCCAGTTGAGAAGAATCCTCACCTCCTTTGCGGGTTTCATCATTCCCATTTTATTGATGGTCAGTGACCAGGCTAAAGGAGTCTAACCGAATTCCTCCCACTGAGATGATCTCTTTCCTGACAGCCACTTATTCCCATGCCTGGTCTAGAGTCTCACTTGGTCCTTTACAGTCTCACTTGGTCCTTTACAGTCTCAGGCTGGTCTTTTTCTGATCCTTCAAACCAACCCAGCTACGAGTATGAAGATCCCCCTCATCTGGCTCTTTTACTGTTCCCATAGCTTCCCTGTGGATCTAAGATAGCTAAACATATATGTATCCAAGAACTTCCATTCAGCCTTCTCCCAGGGAAGAGAAATGTGAAATGTCAAAAGATTCTCTTGTTCTTACATTTTGCTGGGACCTTCTGGAAAACACAGATGGTTCTTGCTCTTGATTTGCTGAGTGTGGAGGTGTTTCCTTCCCTAGCAGATTCATCTTCTCACTCTATGAGGGAGAATGCACAGAATGCTATCCTGAATTCTAGCAGAATTTGGTCTGTAAGCTCCCAGAGAGAGACAGGGCCAGGATTTTTATCTGTGTGGCTTAGTGCATTGAAAATAACTGTATGTGTTCTAATATCTGAACAGTCCTATATGTAAATATGATACTTTTTATGTGTAAGGGTGTGTGTGTGTGTGTGTGTGTGTGTGTGTGAGAGAGAGAGAGAGAGACAAAAGCTGATGGTTTCTAGAGAAAGGTACCCCTCTCTTACCTATAAATATAAGCCAATGAATATGATAAACAATTTTATCTAAAATTTAACTAAAATTTCATTATTTTTAAAAATAATTTTAACTAAAACGTGGAGCCCCTAATACCCGCTAGACATTGTGCTGGGTGCTTTGCTACTTATTGCTGGGTGTCTCTGACCTAAAAAGGTACAAAGAGTGTTAAGAGACGCTTCTTGTAGAGAGAGAGAGCAGTGAGATGTTAGAAGGTTTTCAGGAAGCTGGAGGTGGGCCCCAGACTGAGGCACACCAGAAAAGGTGAGATGTTGACAAGGCGTCATTCCCAAAGCCGCACTCTCCATCCATTTGGTTGGCCCATCTTCATTGACTAGAGCAAAGCAGGGTTTCTAAAGGCCTTGAGGAGCCAGGGACAGAGTGTAAATAGCTGGTAAATGGTATTGGGAGGAAGGCAGAAAGAGTGCTCTGGTGCCATGAGGCACCACCACCCCCAACATATGACTATGTATTGCTAGTGTGTAGGGGAAGACACGATACTTTCATCTATTGCAAGCCAGTTTTTCCACTCAGGTTTCATAATGGCTCCCCAGATTCTATCCTTCAAGACTGCTTTCTTATGGCTCTTTCTTTGACTCCTCATCTTTTCCTTCTTTCTTAGATAGTGATGGTCCTGACCTCTGTATATTCCTATAGAAATTGGCAAATAACCTCTACAGTAGCACCCCCCACAGTGTGTGGCAATGACCTCTTTCTATGACTTTCTCTTCCCCTACATCCTCAGTGCCTAACCCAGTGCTTGGCACATTGTAGACGTTTAGCAAATGTTTGCTTGAGAAATGAATCAAATAACTTCATAATGAATTCTGCACCTGAACCTAACTATCCTCAATACTATCTGAATGGTTGAGACCAAGCCTTAAACACTGAGTCCATTCACTGAAATATGATGAGTATATTTGGGACCAGCATTGCCTCTGCCTCTCCTGTTGTCCCAGGATTTGCTGGAGATGCATGACAAAACAGATGTGCCAGGGCAGCTTTTCCTCATGCCTTATTAGGGAATCTGTTATGTGAATTGGCTTGCAGATGAGGGAGTTTACTTTTGCTTGTCTGGGAACACCAGTCAGTTGCCTGGAATCCTTAATCAGGCTGCAGTGGGGAGGGATGGAGTGAGCCGGGCACACCCTGAGCAGGTGATTCCAATTTGTAATTTGGAAGAGCAGCAGTGGATTTAATTATTCCAACATTCTAGGTCAGACTTTTTCTTTTTCTCCAAGCTCTTGGCACACCTCCTTGGCTTTTGTTTTACAGCTGATTAAGGTGTTCTTTTAAATGAGAAGTCATGTGTGAAAGACAAGAGTTGAGGCTGGAGTCACAGGCATTATAATCTATGGCTACTTCCTTACCAGATGCTAGACTCATAAAGATCATCACATAGATTTTTAAAAATTGTACTGGATTACTCTGATGAGGCTGTGTGTGTAGATGAGGTAGGGTTAGGTGGGTGGGTGTTATCTTGAGGTCTCCTGGCTTACTGAGGCTCCTCATGTGGCTCACAGAGAGCTCTGTCCTTCTGGGCTCACTGACCTGGCTCTTCCCTCAGTGGAGGAGAGAAGGAAAGCATCTCAATCATGACTTTCCCCAGCACACGACCGACCAGTGACAAAGGACCCTTGGGAAGATGGATGGAGCTGGAGTAACTGTGTTCTGGCATACATGAATTAGAAGAGTTGTTCAGACAGAGGATTCACAGGGTGGGATGCCTGTCAAAGTCAGCGTATAGAGCTGGAGTGATGGGGACATTTAAGAACAGCGGGTGTACCAGGGAGCTCATGAGAACAGCATGCTGAGCAGCATGACACGTGCATGTGTTCTGGGGTATAAATAATGTCTAATTAGTAACTAAACTTTGGAAGAAAGCTTTCAAGATGGGACGGCAAGCATGGGCATTACTTTCTGTGGGTAGAGGCTAGGGAGAGGCAGGAGGCTTAAAAAAACAACAACTCATCTCTGCCTAAATGAATAGGAGATCCCTAGAAAAGTATCCCCAGAATCTTAAAAATCTGAAAAGGAATGTTAGCCAGTCTCTGGGTCCAGTCTTCTGTCTCCAAGCCGTTGATTGGCAAGGGGCTGAAGCCTAGCAGAAATCAATAAGGAAAAGCTTCCCAAGCGGGCACTAATGACTCAACTGCCAAAACCATGACTCATCCTAGCAAAGGGGTGAGCAACTAATTCCTGGAAATGCTGCCCACTTGGTAGCTAGTTATTTCCCTTGGTTTTACTTTTTCCCCTATGTTTATCCATATCTCAAGATGGGAATGACTTCATGAAGCCACCTGGTTAGATCCTCACAATGCCAGTCCCCAAACCAAAGATGTAGGTGTGAAAAGCACAGACATCATGCCCCCGCTCAACCTATAAACTCCCACAGTGAAAATTCCATCACCCATTAATAGGTAAATGACTTCTTGTTCTCTGGGAATATCTCCTTGATTCTTTTGAGATAAACATATCCAGTAGGTTCATCTCTCTATCTAAACATTAATTCTTACTTTCATTTATGCATATGAATATATAAGTGTGTCTCTATGTATATATGTATATGTACATGCTTATATGTATATCATATTTAGTAGAATATATGTAAATTTAGTGGACTTACATATAATATATTATTATATGTATATATTTTACATACACCCACATGTACCCTATTACAAAAAGGTAGCCATAAAACTGCCCTGCCCTCCTAGTAGAGAAGTTAAAAGGTATACTCAAGGATAAATTATTAGATGACTGGATAAGGCAAATTACAAGGGAAACCATAAAGTCCCACGGTCTAAAAAGTGAGAACAACTGGGGCCTGAGGAGGAGGCTCCCTGGTGCCTGGGTGATTTTCGAGGCATAACAGAGGAGGAGCATGAGCTGGGTTTTGAAGGATGGGCAGAATCTGTCTATTTGGAGAGCAGGTGGGAGGCATTCATTTGAGTGTTTTGTATTTTGGAGATACTCACACTTTTCAGAAGCGTGTTCTTCCCCCTCTACCCTCTAGCACCATCTTTGAAACAGCTTCTTTTGTTCTTTCTTTCCCAAGAGGACATGTAGCCCATGAGAATGTTTCTCCTGCTGCCTGCTTCTCATCTGGAATAGGTTCCTCTGTGATTGCATCTGAGCACAAAGACAGCTTCCCCCACCTAGATAGCAATCTCAACTTAAGGGTTGGTAGGATTGGGATTGAAGATGAGAGCCCCTTGCCTGGATGGTCCAGGCGACACCTCCTTTCACTCTTAAAAGGATTCTTATTTAGATGATAAGTTAAATGTGCCCCCCACCTACAACAGAGAGGGGGAGGGAAAGGAGGGTGAGTGGTATTAGTCTTTGACAGAAACCCTCCTGGAAAAGTATTCAGCCTTGGGGTGCAGCAGTGATGGTCAGTACCCTGTTGGGCTAAAGACGTAGCACCAACTCCTACAAAAATTCAAAGATGATTCCGTCAGAATCCAAGTGACTGCCAGAGGTTCTCAAACTTATCTTTCTGTCCTTGGGCCAATGGCACCTGCCCCAGAGATGTCTGTGCTCTGACTTGGTGACATCTGGGCATGGGATATGCCAACTGTGCTCACCTGCAGACTCTGCCCAGCCAAGGGCCAAGGCAGGCCCCTGAGATAGCCTCATTGAGCCACAAACAGAATCATTCCCCCATGTCCCCCTCCATCTCCTGCTAGGATCTACACTTCCACTTCAGAAACCAGATGGAAGTCTAAGAGAAACTATACCAACAGTTAGATGCCTGGCATTCTGTCCCTCATTGGCCATGCATTGTTAGGAAAGGTCACTTGCTTCCTATGTTCCTCAGTTTTCTTACTGTAAATAACAGGAGATAATGCTGCCAGACAGGCAAACTTTTTTTTTTTTTTGAGACTGAGTTATGCTCCTATCACCCAGGCTGGAGGGCAGCTGTGCGATCTTGGCTCACTGCAACCTCCACTTCCGGGGTTCAAGGGATTCTCTTGCCTCAGTCTCCCAAGTAGCTTGGATTACAGGCATGTACCACCACACCGAGCTAATTTTGTATTTTTAAGTAGAGATTGGGTTTTACCATGTTGGCCAGGCTAGTCTCAAACTCCTGACCTCAGGTGATCTGTCTGCTTTGGCCTCCCAAAGTGCTGGGATTACAGATGTGAGCCACCGTGCCCAGCCAGCCAGACAACTTTTGACAGTTGTTTGTAATGTCTGAAATTTTTTTGGTAGTCAATTGCTATTTGGGTAAGGGCTTTATCTTGCTGGATTTCTATGAGGGAGCTTGGCAAAGAAACTTTCTCCTTTCTAAATCCTGCTCTGTCCTTGGGCAGGTTTTGGAGTTATCTCCCTTCCAGATTCAGACCTGATATGGGGAAAGTCTCTTCCACCAGCAACCACTTCTGAGCAGGAAGGAAAACTTCCCAAGGGGTGGGGTCATCCTCTTCTTAGAAGTCAGTAAAAGCCTGAAGTTCTAGATTCTTGTGCTTATCTCAAAGGAGACCTGAGAATCATCTTAGGTAAGTGCTTTGACTTGTAATTTTTTTGTTTTGTATTTTAGGCCAATATTTATTCAGCATCTTTCTGTGCCAGGCACTGTGCTAAGATCTTAGCATTTATTATTTTATTTCATCCTCCTGGTATCCTGTGAGGCAAGGTATTGTTATTATCCCGATTTTACAGATAAAGAAACTGAAGCCACACCCATAATAACTGGAGAAGTTAAGATTCTAACCCAGGTTCATTTGCCCCACAACCTTTCTGTTTTTCACGTTTGGTATGGTATTCATAAATTACATGAGCTTCTGAACACTTTATTATAAAATAGGCTTTGCGTTAGATGATTTTGCCTGACTGTTGGTGAATGTCAGTGTTACAAGCACGTTTAAGGTAGGCTAGGCTAAGTTATGATGCTCAGTTGGTTAGGCATATTAAATGCATTCTGATGTAAATATGTTCAGCTTACAATGGGCTAATCAGGATGCAATCCCACTGTAAGTCAAGGAGCATCTGTATATGTTTAGGCTCACTCAGACTGAACTACTGGCACATTAATCATGATTCCAGGCAAGAGAGTGAAGACCCATAACTATTACCACTCCCTCCAGCATCTTCCTTACCACAGGCTTCCCCAACTATCTAGTGTTGTGAGTCACCAGCCCTTTTTAGGTGGATTGCCCAGAAATGATCTCATTGATTATCCCCAAAAGACACTCTTGAGAGAGAAAGATGCTCCGGAGAGACAGGAAGTCTCTGATCAGTGAGGTGGCTGGCTCAAAGCTAACAGGCAGTGGTTGTTTTGAGATTTCAGTGAATCCTAGGGAAGATTCTTGGAACTTGGAAACTATCTGGGCCAGGAAAGACCTTTCCATTCCACCTGAACATTCATTGAGTCAGGTGGTGTCAGCTGTGTCTCGACCTTTCCCACCTCAATTCTTGCTGCTTCTCCAGATGCCAAATTCTATTCCAGCCATTCAGAACCTCTCATCTGTCTTCAAACAGGTCACTGTTTCTTGGCCTCCGTGCATTTGCAGATACTTTTTCTCTTCCTTTCTTCTCTTTGCTAAATCTTGTAGTTCTTTCAAGACTCTGCTCAGAAGTCCTCTTGCCCTGAGAAATGGGCCCCGCTCTGTTCCTCCCTCCTGCCCTTCACCTTGAGCACTCCCTACTGGCACACACACACACACTCAGTGCTGGGTGTGTGGGGTTATCATCCTCTTCTACACTAGATCAGGAGGTGCCATGCCACCATCCCTGCATTGCACTTACCCCTTGCTCAGTGTCTGGCCCTTGAGATGTAGATAATACATCCATGCCTGAGGATGCATGTTTACCTCCAGGATGTCTACCCCTCTTCTCCCACATGCTAGTGCTACCAAGGTATGAAGAGTTACTCCTCTAGGGCATATTTGCTCTATAAAGGAGGAAACAGAGGGAGAGAGCCCAGTGTGACCCAAAAATTGCACTGGAAAAGCTAAAGTAATAGCAGCATTTTGGAAAATGACAAGCAGGTGGGAAAATGTGTCCGGGTGTGAAGAGACTTAGGGTGACTCCCAGCTCCTTCATGGCTAACACCTATCCCGTCGCTCTGGGCCTATCTCCTTTCCTGCAAAGGAGGACAAAGGACAGACTCTGACCCTCCAGGGCTGAGCTGTGCCTCTAGCCAAGGTCTATCCAGTGCCAAGCTCAGATGTCAGAGCAGCTTGTCTCTGTCCACGGAGCAGACCTTCACTCCTGCCGGTCATCTGTGTTCATCTCTGCAGCCCTCTCACCCTGCTTGCCCTCTTTTTATTTATGCCTCCCCTCTCTTGCTCCCTCTCTGTCCTCAAAGCTTTAATTTCCATTTTTCTTGGTGGGGGAAGAGGTTGAAGACTGGGGGGGCCTGAATCAGGGAGTGCCTCCTCACTCGTGAGCCCAACTCCTCCCCACCACACCTCCAGACTGGCATGGTGCCTGCTCACCCCTCCACTGCGGTCTGCTCACTTGGAAGCTAGCATGTTTCCTGCTGCAGCCTGATTAGATGATGCCACGAAGCCCTGTACTGCTGAGCCACTTCTTAAATCAGATGCTCGCTTAGCACAATCACCTCATTATGGAAAGCTTAGCACTGTTGTAATTTTATGTGCACTTTGACAATTGATTTTGGGGTACAGAAGAATTCAATTGTTGTGGGGTTTCACATGTTGAGTTTGCATGCATATTACATTTTTAGAGAAACAATTTCTGGCCATGGAGGTATTTATGAGGTTGGAGCTCTAACAAGAAACCCACAGCTGGTGCGACAAGGTGGGAGGCTTGCTAAGAGAAAACAAATGAGAGAGCAGGTTGGAAAAGGTGCTAGAAGAAAATTTCTCCTCAATTTCCATCCCTGGGGCCACATGCAGGGTCTGTAAGTTTGGGAGAGGACTTTTGAGGATTTCACATGTCCCTGTTTTACAGATGAGGCCATGGAGGCTCAAGCTAGTGGTATAGGCCCAGAGCCATACAGCCCCCAGCTAATGCTGTTTCCTATGACCTGTGTTAAAGGTGACTTTTCCTGGATGGGTCTCTTGGTCGCTATTACTAGAATTTCCCTGGTAATGATCTGCCTGGCTACAGGGCCATTTTGATGTTCTACAGTCTTCAACATTTTTAGAACCGAGCACTTAGCTGCTCTTACCATGGTCTTTCCATTCAAAGACCATAGAGCAAAGTTGTGTCCCAGCTGGTGAGGCTCACAATGCAGAAGCTGGTGGATTTTATCCCCCACTTCTTCATGGGTATCTTCCAGTGTGGATGGTTGTCATTGACTCTCCTTCATCCTTGTTCTCTCAAAATCAGCCTCTTAAGAGTTTATCCCACTGATTTTTCCTAGGGGTTTATTTGTTTCTTTGACAAGGTCAAGCTTCCTCACTGCCCCAGCATAGCTTCCTGGGACCTCCTTCAATTCCTTCCCCCCTCCCTTTATCCCATCATTTACACACTGTCCACTTCAGGGCAGTTAGAAGTTTGGCATAATATCCTAACTTTAACATGCATGGTAAAACTAGGGTCCCCTTCTCATTTAAGTGAGTCTGAGGGTCCTAGAAGGCCAAAAAAAAAAAAAAAATCTGACCACATTGTGCTGCTGGAACAAGGCTTGCATTTTCTTGTAGGCTTTTATCATCAAACCAAACTCCTTCATAGTGTCAGAGGGAGCATAGCTCGCTGGCTCTCATTCTACAGATGCAGGCCATGGGTGGTTGCAGGGTATCTGGGGAGGAGAGGATGGATACAGCCGTGAAAAGCATCGCACCTGCTGCAGAAAAACAACTCCAGTGCATATGGTGGGGCAGCAGTACTATCCCATGGGTACAAATTGATGGAAGGGATGGTGGAACATATGGAGTTCTTGGGTTACAGAGGGGTGATCTCTGTTGGCTCCATTCCTTCTGGGATTAACAGGGAGTGGTATTCCTGAAGAGTACAGGTTTGGGAGGAGAGAAGATCATCCAGGAGATCTGTGAGATCTCACAGAGACGTTATTGTTATGAGTTGAATTGTGTTTCACAAAAAGACATGATGAAGACTTGACACTCGGTACCTCAGAAAGAGACCTTAGTTGGAAATAGGGTCATTGCAGATGTAATTAGTCAAGATGGGGTTATAATGGAAGAGGGTAAGCCTTTAATCCGATATGACTGTTGTCCTTATAAGAAGAGGAGAAGAGACACAAGGAGATGCCATGTGACAGCAAAGGCAGGGATTGGGGTCATGCAGCTACAAGTCAAAGCCTGCTGAGGATTGCCAGCAACCAACGGGAGGGGAGGAGGGTGATGTGGCTCTTCCATCGGGTTCTCCTTCAGAGCGCTTGGAGAGAACCAACCCTGCTGATGCCTCTATTTTGGGCTTCTGGCCTCCAGAACTGAGAGAGAATACGTTTGTTGTTTTAAGCCACCCACTTCACTATGGCAGCCCTGGGAAACTAATACAGTCGGCCCTGCATATCTGTGCATTCATAAACCATACCAAACTAGCCACAGATAAAAACTATTTGGAAAAAAGGAATAAAAATAACAACACAACAATAAATATAATAGGAACCAAAACCACAAAATAACAACTACTCATATCATTTACCTTTTATGAAGTATTATAAGTAATCTAGAGATGATTTAAAGTATACCAGTAGAACGTACTCAGGTACCCAACCACCAACTGCTCCCCAATAACCTATGGAAATACAAATTTCTTTAAAAAATAAAGTATATGGGAAATGTGCATAGGGTATATGCAAATACTACTAAATGGAAGTAAAACACTCCTCAACAAATGCAAAAGAACTGAAATCATAACAAATAGTCTCTCAGACCACAGTGCAATCAAATTACAACTCAGGATTAATAAACTCACTCAAAACCACACTAATACATGAAAATTGAACAACTTGCTCCTGAATGACTCATGGATAAATATTGAAATTAAGGCAGAAATCAAGAAGTTTTTTGAAACCAATGAGAACAGAGACAATGGACCAGAATCTCTGGGACAAAGCTAAAGCAGTGTTAAGAGGGAAATTTATAGCACCAAATGCCCACATTAGAAAGCTAGAAAGATCTCAAATCAACACCCTAACATCACAATTAAAAGAGCTAGAGAGGCAAGAGCAAACTAATCCAAAAGCTAGCAGAAGACGAGAAATAACTAAGATCAGAGAAGAATTGAAGGAGATAGAGACACAAAACGCCCTCCGAAAAATTCAATGAATCCAGGAGCTGGTTTTTTGAAAAAATTAACAAAATAGACCACTAGCTAGACTAATAAGAAAACAGAGAAGAATCAAATAGGTACAATAAAAAATTATAAAGGGGATATTACCACTGACCCCACAGAAATACAAACTACCATCAGAGAATACAATAAACACCTCTATGCAAATAAACTAGAAAATCTAGAAAAACTTGGATAAATTCCTGGACACATACACCCTACCAAGACTAAACCAGGAAGAAGTCAAATACCTGAATAGACTAATAACAAGTTCTGAAATTGAGGCAGTAGTTAATAGCCTACCAACCAAAAAAACCCCAGGACCAGACGGATTCACGACTGAACTCTAGCAGAAATACAAAGAGGAGCTGGTATCCCTTCTTCTGAAACTATTCCAAACAATTGAAAAGGAGAGACCCCCCCCCCCAACTCACTTTATGAAGCCGGCATAATTATGATACCAAAACTGGGAGGAGACACAACAACAAAAAGAAAACTTCAGGCCAATATCCCTGATGAACATCGATGTGAAAATGCTCAAAAAAATACTGGCAAACCGAATCCAGCAGCAGATTGAAAAACTTACCCACCATGATCAAGTTGGCTTCATTCATCCCTGGGATGCAAGGCTGGTTCAACATACAGCAATCAATAAATGTAACCCATCACATAAACAGAACCAAAGACAAAAACCACATGATTATCTCCATAGATGCAAAAAAGATCTTTGATAAAATTCAACATCCCTTCATGTTAAAAACTCTCAATAAACTAGGAATTGATGGAACATATCTCAAAATAATAAAAGCTATTTATGACAAACCCACAGTCAATATCATATTGAATGGGCAAAAGCTGGAAGCATTCCCTTTGAAAACAAGTACAAGGCAAGGATGCTCTCTCTCACCATAGTACAGCATCATAGTATTGGAAGTTCTGGCCAGGGCAATCAGGCAAGAGAAAGAAATAGTTTTCAAATGGGAAGAGAGCAAGCCAAATTGTCTCTGTTTGCAGATGACATTATTTTATATTTAGAAAATCCCATTATCTCAGCCCAAAATCTCCTTGAACTGATAAGCAACTTCCGCAAAGTCTCAGGATACAAAATCAGTGTGGAAAAAATCACAAGCATTCCTTTACACCAACAATAGGCAAACAGAGAGCCAAATCATGAATGAACTCCCATTCACGATTGCTACAAAGAGAACAAAATGCCTAGGAATACAGCTAACAAGGGATGTGAAGAACCTTTTCAAGGAGAACTATAAACCACTGCTCAGGGAAATAAGAGAGGACTCAAGCAGATGGAAGAACATTCCATCCTCATAGATGGGAAGAATCAACATCGTGAAAATGGCCATATTTCCCAAAGTAATTTATAGATTCAATGCTATTGCCATCAAACTACCATTGACATTCTTCACAGAATTAGAGAAAACTATTTTAAATTTCATATGGAATTAAAGAAGATCCCGTATAGCCAAGACAATCCTAAACAAAAAAGAACAAAGCTGGAGGCATCACACTACCTAACTTCAAACTATACTACAAGGCTACAGTAACCAACACAGCATGACACTGCCACCAAAGTAGACATCTAGACCAATGGAGCAGAACAGAGACCTCCAAAATAACAAATCTACCCACATCTACAAACATTTGATCTTCTACCAACCTGACAAAAACAAGTAATGGGGAAAGGATGTCCTATTCAGTTAATGGTGCTGGGAAAACTGGCTAGCCATATGCAGAAAACTGAAACTGGACCGCTTCCTTAGACCTTATGCAAAAATTAACTCAAGATGGATTAAAGACTTAAATGTGAAACCCAAAACCATCAAAACCCTAGAAGAAAACCTAGGCAATACCATTCAGGACATAGCCATGGGCAAAGACTTCATGACAAAAACGCCAAAAGCAATTGCAACAAAAGCCAAAATTGACAAATTAGATCTAATGAAACTAAAGAGCTTCTGTACAGCAAAAGAACCTATCATCAGCATGAAAGGCAACCTACAGAATGGGAGAAAATTTTTGCAATCTAACAATCTAACAAAGGTCTAATATCCAGAATTTACAAGGAACTTAAACATATTTACTAGACAAATAAACAACTCCATCAAAAAGTGGGCAAAGGATATGAACAGACATTTGTCAACAGAAGACATTTACATGGCCAAAAACATGAAAAAAAGATCAATGTCGTTGATCATCAGAGAAATGCAAATCAAAACCACAATGAGACACCATCTCATGCCAGTCAGAATGGTGATTATTAAGTCAGGAAACAACAGATGTAGGAGAGGATGTGGATATATAGGAATGCCTTTACACTGTTGGTGGGTATGTAAATTAGTTCAACCATTGTGGAAGACAGCATGGCGATTTTTCAAGGATCTAGAACCAGAAATATCATTTGACCCAGCAATCCCATTACTGGGTATATATCCAAAGGATTATAAATAATTCTACTATAAGGACACATGCACACATATGCTTATTGCAGCACTATTTACAATAGCAAAGACATGGAAGCAACCCAAATGCCCATCAATGATAGACTGGAAAAAGAAGGTGTGGTACATATATACCATGTAATACTATGCAGCCATAAAAAAGAATGAGATCATTGTCCTTTGCAGGGACATAGATGAAGCTAGAAGCCATCATCGTCAGCAAACTAACACCGGAACAGAAAACCAAACACTGCATGTTCTCATAAGTGGGAGCTGAACATTGAGATGATACGGACACAGGGAGGGAACAGCACACACCAGGGCCTGTTAGCGGGTGAGGGTTGAGGGGAGGGAATTAAGAGGATGGGTCAATAGGTGCAGCAAACCTCCATGGCACGTGTATACCTAGGTAATAAACCTGCATGTTCCGCACATGTATCTCGGTTTTTTTTTTAAGAGAAGTAAAAAAATGTTCTCCCTTAATTTATTTTTAAGATTTTTAAATGGTTCTTGAAATTTAAGGATGGGAACTACTATGTAAGCTCTTACCAGGACCTCTCAAAGCCTGCGTCCTGCTTGAAGCCTTCCTTGATACTTCCAGAACATTGGGTCTCAGGAAACATTTGACAATGTCAGGAGACAGCTTTTGGTGGTCACCACTTGCAGGGGAGGTGCTACTGGCATCTAGTGGGTGAGAGGCCAGGGGTGCCGCTAAACGTCTTAGAGTGCGCAGGCTGGTCCTTGTATGACAAAGAATTATCCATTCCAGAATGTCAGGAGTGTCAAGTTGTCAAAACCCTGCTCCGTATCAATATAGGTTTACTCTTTTATGGTATTTTCAGCATTTACTGTGTGTCCAAAATCTGAATATGCACTTGTCCTGCATCTTGTTTTATATTGTTTAATTATTTCCAGGGTTAAACAGAAGTTTCAATCCTAGCTCTCCCACATATCTGGCTGTGTAATTTTGGCCACATCACTTAAGTAGTCTGTACTTCAGTATTCCATCTGTAAAATGAGATAATGATATTTAACTTGAGGGTTGTTTTAACGATTAAAATTAATGCATGTAAATAATGCAAAAAAAATGACATTTATTTAGTGCTTGTCATGGGCCAAAAAACTGTGGGCCAAAGATTAAGTGGGACAATAAACCTAAATCTTTAAAAAAGGAATAAACTTTATCATCTGACTTAATCTTCAAAACAACTCTATAAGATGAATATAATCATTATCCCTTTGTTTAGCATAAGTTCAGTAAATCATAGCCGTTTATGTAATTATTGTTTCTTCTACATGGGTGCTCTGTGTTGGAGATGCTGAGAGTGAGAGGAAGTACGTGATCCAGGCTCTTGACCGTGGGCATCTAATCTGCCTGTTTGGATCCTGGGTCCATGTCTAGCGGGAAGGGAGCTGGCTCAGCCCCATGTGTCTCCTCTTTCTGGGACCAGCGAGCTTACCCAGGGACGTCCTTCTGATGGAGCAAGAAACATGCTTCTGTGAGCAAGTTCATTTAAAGCCTGTATGCGTCAGGATTCTCCAGAGAAACAAAACCAGTAAGATATACATAGATGTATAGAAAGAGCGTTCTTAGTAGGGATTGGCTCATGTGATTATAGAGGCCGAGAAGTTCCGTGATCTGCCATCTGCAAGCTGCAGACCCACGAAAACTGGTGGTGTAGTTCCAGGCCAAACCCAAAGGCCTGAGAACTAGGGGGAGTCAATAGGGTAAGTCCCAGTCCAAGTCCAAAGGCCCGAAACCCAGAGAACTCAAGTCTTGAGAGCAGGAGGATAGATGTCCCAGCTCAAACAGAGAGCAAAATGCCCTCCTCCCACCTTTTTGTTTTATGTGGGCCCTCAGTGGGTTAGTTGATGCCCACCTGTATGAGGAGGGCCACCTGCTTTACTTAGCCCACCAATTCAAATGTTAATGTCTTCCAGAAACACCCTCGCGGCCACACTCAAATATAAGGTATTGCTGCTATCTGGGCATCCTTTAGCCCAGTCAAATGAACACATGAAATTAACCATCACAAATTCTTAGCCTGCTTTATGTCTGCTAATATCCCATTGGCCAAAGCAAGCCGCATGCCAAGTTCAGCGTCAAGGTGCACTGAAAAGTGATACGGCAAAGGGTATGGATCAGGAAAAGGTAAAACATTAGTTCAGTCTGCTGCAGTGCTTGCAGCTTGAACCCATTCAATCCACCACACTCTGGCCACTCAGAAGGAAGCTCTCACCACAAAGAAGAGAACCTCTTTCCCTGCCAGAGAAGTCAGGGGCAGCTTTGCAAGAGGTTCTGCCTCCTTTTTTCTCTCCATGAGTTATGCTGCACTCCAGGAATGCAATGTTGAATGAAGGTTCTTGGCCAGGGCCCAGTGCTGTCTTGCTAATGCGTTCCTAGCCGGGGCAGGCCTGCCTGGAATTTTCTAGGGAACCAGAGAAAGAGACTCAGGGAAGGTTCTCTCTCACCCCCAGCTAATAAAGCATTTGTAGACATAGAGAGAGATATTAAGCCAGGAGGGGGTGAAGAAAAAGGCCACTTTGAAGAGCCTTTAGAAAGCCTTCTCTCCCATCTGTTCAGCTTGTGGGAAGGCTCTGTTTTCCATACTTAAAGGATTTGTAAATTCATTACCAACAAGTAAAATGTATAAAGCGCACACAGAGACATCGAGGTCTGATTCACCATCTGCTGGGGAGTTGCATCCATGCAAACAGAGCCATGCTATTCCCCATCAGTGAGTGGCATGGACTCAGGCCCACCCAGGACCCAGAGGTGCCAACAGGAAGGGCTGTTTCATCAAGTTTCACTGCATGTGGGGAAGGGGCTGCGTTCACAGGTGCAGGGACCTTTCCTCTGTTCCTCCTTCTCCACATTTAACCCTCCAGAGATGGAAGGTGTCTATGGTTTGCCCTTAAAGAACATCATCTTAGCTTCTGCAGATGCTGGGAGCAGAGATAGAATAGAATGCATTTTAAGCTGCTGCAGTTGCTGAGCTCTGTGTTTCAATGCAGACAGCTTGGCCGGATGTTGGTGGGAAGGGCTGCTGGCACCATTCTCTCTCCTGCTAAAGAGATCTGCTCCCAAAGCCCTATTCCAGCCTCTTTTCTTGGTGGTTCGAGATAAGTCCATTCAGGTCTGTTCCCTAGGAAAAGTGTGAATGAGGCAAGTTCATGCTTGGCTCTGTGGTTTAATGACCTCCTGGCTCCCTGTTCCTGCTACTCTATCTCCTAACAGCTACAGCTGTGGCCACTTGACAGCAGTGTGCCAACTCCTGCTGCCTGGGCCTCTGACATCAACCACAAGCTTCCTGCTGGATGAAAGAAGCAGCAAGAGGATTACAGAATCTTGCTCTCTTGAACACCATTGTATAGTTTCTTCAACTGTCCCAGCCATGTTGTACATAGATATGTCATGTTATTATATATATAAATATATGTATAATTTTGTACTTAAAAAAAAAGGAAAGGAGAAGCTCCCTATCAAGTCCATCCTTGCTCCTCACACCCTTCCCTCACACCCCAGCTCAGGCACCCCATCTTTGGTCATGCCCAGAATTCCACCAAATGCACCCTATGCAGATCGGGAGGTTCTGAACTGCCACTCTGGTGGGTGCCCCCGCTCTTCCAGGGTTAGGCCAGCCTTACTCTTGCCAGTTCTCCCAAGGGAGAGAGTTGTGACCTTAAAGCCCAGATTAGCAGCTAGTGCCTGGCTACCACACCTGACATTGCCTGCCTGCCTCTGTTTCCCTCATTGCTTTGCTTCTCTGCTGTCAATCAGAACATCCCATGTGTCTGGATGATCTTTCTGCACTCGCTTGGAATTCATGTACCAACTCTCTCTTTCCTCTTAAGGCTGCTGGCTCAGCTTGCCCCCCTGCATTGCCTGTAGATGGACTGGCCACAGTCCCCTCTTCTGCCCCAGCAAGTATGCTGGTGGGTGTCCTCCGGGCCCACTGTCCTTCTGTCCACTGGCTGCCCAGGTCTCCTTGCTGTGTCACATCTGCCAGGTATTTCTTCTTCCTCCCCCTGCTGGAGGGATTTGAATGCTCTGTGTCCCAAGACAGGCAGAAGAGAAGGTCTAGTGTTCTCTGTTAATTCCCCAGTCCAACCACTTGCTAGCCAAGAAACATTTCGTTCATTTGATCATATACTTGTTGAAGAAGACGCCAGGCAAGCTAGGTAAGACCTCTGGCGTCAGGAAATTTACTTTGCCATTGATGGGAGACAGACAATAAAATCCAAACGGGGGAAGAATCCAGATGGGGATAAATAGTTACATAAAGAAAATAACAGTGAGTCATAGAGGAGGGTTTTGGGGGCGGGGGATGAAGGGAGAGCTTGAGATACAGAAGCTGAGAGAGTTCTTTGCGGAGCTGCTTTTCAGCAGAGACCTGCAGCATCAGAAAGAGCCAGTGAGCTGGTGACCTGGGAAAAGAGAGTTGCAGGCAAAGGGAACGGCCAGTGCAGAGGCCGTGGGGTAAGAATAACCTTGGTGTGCTCCAGGGACAGAAAGAAGACCAGGGCACCCAGTCCACTGAGTGGAAGGAAGAGAAATATGCCAAGGGTGGAAAGGTAAGCAGGGGACAGATAACTGGGGCATTAGGCATTGGTAAGCAGTATGAACCTTTCAGCAAATGCAATGGTCAGTATTTGTAAGGCTTTACAGGACAGAGATATTACCTGGTTTAATTTACTCTTGATGCTGCTTAGGAAGGAGATGCTGGTCTCTAGGGCTCCTAGGATAGCAGTGAAGATGGTGAGAGGGGGTCTGATGGGGGATAGGTTTGGAGGTACAGACAAAAGGACTTGCCAACACATTAGATGGGAGTTAGAGAACCAGGGATAACCAGGGGAATGAGAACATCTGTTAACAGTTACGAACTCTGGTGTCTTCGCTATAAAATACAGTAAGCCCTCAATTACCATCATCCAAAGGTCCTTGGAAACTGCACCTTTAGGTGAAGCAAGAGACAACAAAACCAATTTTCCCTTAGGCTCATTGGTATAAACAAGAGTTAAGGTCCTACAGTGTATTTCTTGTCATGAAAACATCACTAAACTTCTAAATGAAGACCCGAACACCTCTAATATTAAACACTGAAATAAATGTGGGCCAAACATACACTTTAGAAAGATTAATAAAAGGATAATTACTCATCAGATTTTTGGTGAATTGGTGAATGACAATGGTCATAGTGGTGGTGGGTTACATCAAGGAACAAATGTTTGCAAAGTGAGAATTTTCAGGAGCACCTCCTCCCACCACACAGTTTGAAACCATCACAAATCTTGTGGGCTCACTGAGCATTTTCATGCTGCATCATTTATTGTCATGCATTTGTATCATTATCATATACTTTACAAGCTTTCATTTTCCAATAATTCATTTTCCAAACTGCTTATTCCAGTTCAGGGTCATGAGTAACCACAGCCTATCCCAGCAGCTCAGGGTGCCAGGCAAGAGCCAGCCCTGGACAGGATGTCATCCCCCTACAAGGCACACTCACATGTACACCCACACTCACCCAGTCTCAGAAAATCGAGCAGGTCAGTTTGTTTAACATGCTCAACTGTTGGATGTGGGATGAAAACAAGAGCACCAGGAGAAAACTCATGCAGACATGGGGCAGAACATGCCAACTCTACACAGACAGTGGCCCTGGCTGCAAATGGATTCTTTTTCATCAACATTATAACGAAATGAGATTGAATGAAACAATGTTATTCAAGGACCTGCTATAGTTGCATATTTGATGGACATTCAACAATATAAGCAGCTACATAATTGAATGTGAACCTGCCCTGCTGATCTGAATCTCATTTAGCAGCAAAACAGAACAAACATGCAAAAGACACACACATACTGCCCTAGCCTGCCCAGGAGCAGCAATTTGGAATAGAAGGTTGGATTCACCATGTTCTCTCTCCTCTAGGCCTCTGCATGTGCAGTCTTAGAGAACTGTTCTCCCTCTTGACCCAGCAAATCCTCATATCTCAGGTCTCAAACACGATGTGAATGTTCCAGAGCTTCCTCAGATGTGGCTGGGTTCTTCTTTGACCCTGCTACTGAAATGATGGGCTATTTGTCTATTTCCCTTCTTGGTTTATAATTCTTTAAGGATTGGATCTAAGTTCTCACTGCCTAGCAGAGTTTCCAACTTGTAGCAAATATCGCATTTATGTTTGATGAATAGGTAGAGAATCCTGTTCTGCCTCTCTTTGTCCTTCCTTGCTACCCTGCTTAATCTCCCTTTGAGCTAAACTTTTGTCTTTCTCTCCACTGCTAGCACCCTGTGCCTTCTTAAATGCCAGTCATCCTTCAAGACTCAGTTCAAAAGCCCTCTTCCCAGCTCAGACTCATATTTCGTTTTCTAGAACTGCTCGCCTCTCCTTGCCGCTCCGTGCAGAGAAGAGTTAATGGAACAAACCTGACACCACTCTCTTTACAAAGGACTGATGACAAGGTTGCCCTTTGTTGGCATCTTGGAATGTAGCCAGTTTCCTATGCTTATATAATACATTCCCTAATTGATAAGGGTGGCTCACAGTGTCTACGTGGTGTTTATGCTGAACACCTGCTTCCATTCTGGGAAGCTGGAGTTTTGGTACATGCTAGGCAGATTGTGCCAATGCAGTCACCCCCAATAAAATCCTTGGCACTGAGTCCTTACTGGGCTGCCCTGGGCAGAAATACCACACACATGTTGCTGCATTTTTGTTGCTGAGGGTTGGACAGAGCGTGAGGTATCTTGCACGTGGATTCCACCAGACTCTGCCTGTCCCTTTTCCCCTTATGATTTAGCTAAGCATCCTCACCACATCATTGTCATGAATATTAGGTGTGAGGACAATTATATGCTGAGTCTCAGTAGTGCTTCCAGTGAATATCCAAACGTGGTCTCAGGGACCCCAGTGCATGCTCATTTGAGCACTTAGCATTATTGTACCATTATATAACTGTCTTTTACTATTATATAACTGGTTTGTGTATGAAGGCCTTATATTCCCACAAGATCCTGAAAGACAGAAATAAATCTGAAATGCATTTGTATCCTATTCAACTCGTTGCACAGGTCTAGACACAGCAGGAACTCAAGAAATACCTGTGAACAGAATGAATGAATAAATCAATGAAACATCAAGGCCACTAGTAGGGGGGGCAGTGGCCGTGTGGCAGACTGTGGGCAGGTAGCTGAGATGCTTTAATGTTATTAGAGGTGTCCCAGCTCCTGGGGCAAAGGGAGGCTGAATTGATCAGGATTTAGTAGGGTTTTCAAGTAATACCTGGCATCATAAGGTAGCCAAGGAAGGCTCTGCTAAGACACCCAGGAGATAGAGACTGCTGTGCACAAAAGCAGGAAGAAGCAGTCATAAGACACCTGGAGCTTTTTGCAGACTCTGTATCTGGAACCCAGAGGCTCACATCCTGAACACTGTACACTGTACCAGAGGGCTACAGAGTAGCTGTTTGTTTGCATATTTTTACCACCATAATTGTGGGGATGTGGTTACCTGTGTATATGTACATAGACATGCCTTCATATTATTTGCAACATTTTGAAAATGGGTGTATATGTTTACATGTGCATGAAGAGATATGTCCTACACACGAATGTGCATGTGCAGGCTCATGGGATTTGCTTAGGCATACAAGCATTATTACATGAGTTCATGCTTTGGAGTGTGCAGGCACGTGTGTTTGCATGCACCCATGCATGCCAGAGCAAGCCTGTATATATATGTGCACATGCATACCAATCCCTGCTTATCTCTTCTGTGCTGAGAACGGACAGCTGCTTTAATAACATCTGCAACTGAGCGAATGCGCTAACTGCTGTGGCCCCATCATCCTATCAGAATTGCTTCAGCCCTTTCAGGATTACCAGTGCTCAGTGCAGTTTAAATATATCTCTAGTCCTAATCCCTAAACAAAGACGCAATGATTTCTGCTAAATATGATGGGTCATTTATTAAGATAAAGTCAAGGATATGGGAAGCCACGTCTGGTGGAACACTGATTACCATTCAAGATGGGAGATCATGAAAACAGATGCACCCCCTTGCCCCTGGGGAGAAAGGAAGGAAGTTAAAGAGAAGCCAGCGAATGATAAAATCAGTCCATGTCCTAGAGGCAGAAAGTCCAGAAATGAAGTGACAGCCGCTCATGCAGACACACGGAGATAGGAAAGAGAACAACCAGACTTATCACTAGCTAGGATACAGTTTGGGGTATTCAATAAGGATCAGGGACCATGAGCCAGGCCTGAGGGAGAATCTCCTGTGACAGTACCCCAAAGAGTAAAGTACCTCTTGCTTTAAAAATATTCCCAGTCAAGGAATGGGCCAGGGGAACAGGAAAAGCCATTGCTAGCCCATAGGACATTTGGGGGTAGATAAAGAGGGTGCCTTCTGTTCTCCAAGTGGACCCAGTCCTGGACCAGGAAGCACAGCTTGGTAAGTAGGTCTGAGAGGATGTCAGATCACTCAGGAATCTTTGTTAGTGACTGTGCATGAGCAGATGTAGTACCCTCAGTGCAGAAAAGAAAGGGCAGAGGGGTGAAGATGAGCAAAGCTATTGCTCACTTCAGGGAGCAAAGAGGCCATATTAAGGAAGCCAAAGGCATTGCTTTTTATCTTGGGCCCTCCAGCTCTGGAGACATGGTACTTTTTCCTCCTCCACCTCTTTCTCTCCAGATCGCCTGCTGCTCTCAACAAGATTTTGGTACACAGAAAAAGCTCAGAGTCTTGAAATATCGAGAGGAAGTTATAGTCAAAACAAAAGCCACAGCTTTCTGTGTTAGCTTGGCTCAGTAACTTAACCTTGTTACACTTCAGCCTCTTACGTAGCATAGGAATTAAAACATTTTGTTGTAAAGTCCAAATGAGATAACATAGTCACACGTTATTCAGCCTTGTCAACAAATAGTGCTAGAACATTTGGATATCTCTATGCAAGAAAATAAACACTGGAGCTGGGCACAGTCACTCACACCTGTAATCCCAGCACTTTGGGAGGCCGAGGCGGGCGGATCACGAGGTCAGGAGTTTTAGACCAGCCTGACCAACATGGTCAAACCCCATCTCTACTAAAAATACACAAAATTAGGATGGTGGTGCACACCTGTAATCCCAGCTACTCAGGAGGCTGAGGCAGGAGAATCGCTTGAACCCCGGAGGCAGAGGTTGCAGTGAGCCGAGATCGCATCACCTCACTCCAGCCTGGGTGACAAGAGCAAGACTCTGTCTAAAAAAAAAAGAAAAAAAAAGAAACATTGACCCATACCTCTCACTGTATTAAAAAGTTAAGTGAAAATGGATCATAAACCTAAATGTAAGCCCTAAAACTGTTAAACTTCTACAGAAAACCTAGGGAAGGTGTTTGTGACTTAGGGTTAATCAGTGATTTCTTAGGTATGATATCAAAAGCCTGATCCATAAAATAACAAATTGATAAACTTCATCAAAAGTTACTTCGTATGTTATTTACAAGACTCAGTTAAATGAATAGAAAAGCAAGCCATAGACTGGTTGAAAATAATTACAAAGTACATGTCTAATAAAGGACTTAGAATATATAAAGTACTCCCCAAACTTAATAAGAAAACAAACAGATTTTTAGAAATTGGCAAGAGATTTTAAGAGACACTTTGCCAAAGAAATATATAGACAGCAGGAAAATAAAGCAACTGAAAAGCTCCTGAACAATATTAATCATTAGAAAAATGCAAATTAAAAGCATGATGAAAATCCATTACTTACCTACAAACACTGCATACTAACTACAAGTTAAAATGAAATATTAATACACATCCATTACAATAGCTAAAATTTAAAAGACTAATTTTACCAAGTATTGGAGAGAGTATGGGTCAACTGGAACACTCATAATTTGCTGTTGGGGATATAAAATGGCAAAATCTCTTTGGAAAACAGTTGAGAAGTTTAACACAATTAAACATAGATAGGCCATATGATCTAGCCATTTTGTTCTTAGGTATTTACCCATAAGAAAGGAAACAACGTATTCATACAAAGACTCATGCACACATGTTCATAGTAGCTCTATTTCTAATAGCCTCAAGCTGGCAACTATCTAAATGTCCATCAACAGGTGAAGGGATAATCCAACCGTGGTATATCCACATAGTGGACTATTGGGAACTAAAAGGAATGACAGATACACACATAAACATGAATGAATCTGAAAATGATTATGCTGAGTGAAAAAAAAATCAGACCCAGAAAACTACATAATGTATGCTCTCATCTGTATAAAATTATAGAATATGCAATGTAATCTATAGCAATAGAAAGCATGTATTCCTTGGGGTTACTGGGATGGGGGTAGTGAGTAGGAGCAAGAAGGAAGAAAAGTGTCGTAAGAAAAATCTGGAGTGGGGTAATATTTATGTTCATTTTCTTAATTGTGACAGTTTCATTGGTGTACCACATATAAATCTTATGTCAGTTATACCTCAATAAAGCTATCGAAGAAATTAAAAATAAAATGATTGATAGGTTTTAAAAATTTATAAATTTTTATTTATTATTATTATTTTTTTGAGACAGAGTCTTGCTCTGTTGCCCAGGCTGGAGTGCAGTGGTGCAATCTCAGCTCACTGCAACATCTGCCTCCTGGGTTCAAGTGGTTCTCGTGCCTCAGCCTCCTAAGTAGCTGGGATTATAGGTGCCTGCCACTAAGCCTGGCTCATTTTTTATTTTTAGTAGAGATGGGATTTCTCCACGTTGGCCAGGCTGGTCTTGAACTCCTGACCTCAAGTGATATGCCTGCCTCGGCCTCTCAAAGTGCTGAGATTATAAGTGTGAGCCACCGCATGTGGCCAATTGATAGGTTTTGATTAATTGATAGCGAAGACCAGGAGGCTTATTATAATAAGCATCTAGAGAGATACTCCACTCAGCAAAATCATTGCTTGATTCACTCCACATGATATTTAAATAATAAACTGATGCTGTAAAACATTCATTTATCTATACTCTTAGATTGGATGCATTTATTGCACATAAATTAAACCTCCTGTGGGGGAACAAGCCCAGCCAGATGTGAGATTCCAGGATAACAGAAGCCACAGATGATCATTATCAAGACTGAGGTAGATTCCAGCAAATTGAGAAATCTTGAAAAGGTCACTGATTATTAAGCTTTGAAAAGACATTAAATGCTTGTTACAAATAATCCTCTTTATTGAGTGTGGGTTGAATGTTGCCCTGCCCTCTCTGGCTGGCCTTTTATCCATAGGACAGATGAAGAAAGCCGTATGTAATAAAAGGGCTATGAAGCTCTACTAGAAGAACGTCATCCACTTAGGCTCTTTCCTGCTCTATGGGGAAACTGCATATATCCTAGAAAAACATGACTGAGGGTTGAGGCTCTATCATTGGAGAGCAGATCCTTAAAATGGCATGGGAATGGTAGATGCTAGTGGAGACGACTTTATAGTGTGAACATAAGAGGACAGTTCCCAGCCTTTGGATACTGTTTCCTTCTCAGCAAACCTGAAAATGGAAGACATGGGCTACCTAATAAAGAAGAATATGTTTTCCGGTGTTTTGGGTTTGGATGGGTTTTCAAACCAAACTAAGGAGATTCAAAACACGGAGCTGTCTAGATCTCCCCGCTGTGCGTTTTTATCACTTTGTTTTCTTGACCCTTTCTGGTCCTTCCTGGCACCTGTAGCATTTGGCTCTGGTCAGCACCATGGTTCACTTCTCATTCCCTGTCTGGGCATTCGCAAGTTCTCCTTATTTTGGTTCATCTCACAAGAGTTTGAGGTTTTGGAGAAAGAATTTTGTTAGAGGACCCAGAGAAAAACAAAACAAGTCAAAGGCAGAAAATAAAAATGCAAACACAAAGAAATGATGTAATAACAGAGCAGGGAGCTTTACCTTTTTATAGTCAGGCTATGGTGGCTACCACTTTTTTTTTTTTTCAGACTGACTTTCACTTTTCTTACCCAGGCTGGAGTGCAGTGATGTGATCTTGACTCACTGCAGCCTCTGCCTCCCGGGTTCAAGCGATTCTCCTGCTTCAGCCTCCTAAGTTGCTGGGATTAGAGGTAACTGCCACCACGACTGGCTAATTTTTTTGTATTTTTAGCAGAGACAGGGTTTCACCATGTTGGGCAGCCTGGTCTTGAGCTCGTGACCTCAGGTTATCCACCCGCCTCGGCCTCCCAGAGTGCTGGGATTACAGTTGTGAGCCACTGTGCCTGGCCTGGCTACTGCTGTTTAATGAGCACCCAAGGCCAATCTGAGTTGGGGCTGATTCTGCATCTTGAATCACCTCTTGGGATGTGAGTCCAGAAATATCCCTGCACGTCCCAGGGGTGCACATACATCACCTCTGCGGCTGCTTCCCTCTCTAAAGAGCCTCTTGATTGCTAGACACTTCCCATTTTGCCCCAGCTTTACAAGGCAGGGGTCATGTCTGTTCACGGTTCTATCCCCAGTATGCAACACAGCATGCAGTATGCAGTAGGTGCTCAGTAAGTGCTTGTTAGACTGAGAAGTGTCCCTGAACTTCCTCTGCTGCACTCCTCAGTCCATCTGCCCATTCACCTCTCCTGGAGTCATTAATGGCTATGGCTGCAAGAGTGTCTCACCTCACCTGTTGGGTATATTTTTTTAAACCTGATTTCAAATACTTGCTTGAAATCTGGTTTGATTTCCAGCTCTGCCATGGATGGGGGTCCTCTGACCCCATATTTTGCTTAGAGTGGGCATGAAAATCATAATTTGAGTCACTTAGACGGTTACTTCAAAGACTCCTTTTGCAAATGCACGGCGGTGTTTTGTAATCTGTAAAGGACTACACAGATGTCAGGTGTTGGGGCACAGGACACTTATTCTCCATTTGTCCTCTTCCAGGTGGGGAAGCTTCCACAAAGGGAGCTCTTGGGCCTTCATGACTTCTCAGATGGGCATGTTTGAGAGAAGGAGTAGAGCTTGTGTGGATGCGCTCCCTCCTCTCACCTTTCTCGAGCCAGCCTACCTGCAGCTGCTTCAGCTCCTTTCTCTCCTTCTCTTAGTGTGTTTTCTAGAGGCAGGCTTGAATTTCAGAGGGGTCTGAGGATGGGTGGACAAGCAATAACAAGGATAGAGTGAAATTAAGCCACCTAGACAAACCTGTTTATGATACAGTCTCTATCCTCACCTTTACTGGTAACAACGACATTGTTTTCACATGTCTTCATCTGTCCAATTCATGAGCCTCTTTCTCAGTTCTGAATTCAGGTGAAAGAAAGAGATAGTATTAGTTGAGTCTCTCCAATCCCAACATTTGTCTTTTTTTTTTTTTTTTTTTTTTAGACAGCGTCTCGCTCTCTCTCCCAGGCTGGAATACAGTGGCACAGTCTCAGCTCACTGCAACTTCCGCCTCCCAGGTTCAAGCAATTCTTACTGTCCTGCCTCAGCCTCTGGAGTAGCTGGGCTTACAGGCACCCATCACCATGTCTGGCTAATTTTTCTATTTTAGTAGAGATGGGATTTCACCATGTTGGCCAGGCTGGTCTCGAACTCCTGACCTCAGGTAATCCACCCTCCTCAGCCTCCAGCTGGGATTAGAGGCATGAGTCACCACGACTGGCCTGTCATTTTTTATTGTAATTATTAACAATCTTCCCAGGATTCCTTCTATTCAGAATTCCTAGGAGTGGTATTAAGTAGTTCCCACTCCTGGGTGACAGAACTTGAATTAAAGCCTCTAGAAACTCAGTGCCAAGGGCAAACAGCTGTTTGGTGCAGTGGGGAGGGGCTGGAATAGTTCAGTTCTCTGATCTCTCTTCCCCAGGCCCAACTTCATCCTCCTTCCACAGTCCACGGCCTCCCGGGTCTCATCTCAGGGTCCAGTCAGGGTCTTCTCTTGCACCAGGGCCATCCCTCTTTTCTTCTTCTCTCGCCCCAGTCACCTTGAGTCTAAGCCTCCCTTTAAATCTCCCCAAAGGAACCTTCCCTTTCTCTTGGCACCTGGTGATTGACTCTCAGGGTAAAGTAAGCAGTGCTGATGTGTATGAAGGGCACTCTGCAGAAATAAATTGTGCAGAGGATGAATGAGAGCTTGGAGTAGAAATGCTGGCCCTGGCAAAAGACATAAGAACTCTGGAGGCTGTGCCCACTGCTCTGTGAGTGATGGACCCATCCAGTCTGAGTTACTACCACATGCCAGATTATCATTTTGAATAGTTCCACGTGGCTGCAGGAGGCACAGGCAGGAGTTCACCAGAGCCACTTTCATAATCACCCAGGGTTGATTTTGGCCTGCAGTGCTTGCTGGCATATAGACACCGGAGGACAATTATTATTGTTATTTTTTACCTGGATGACAGAAGTCCACAAGGATTAGTGAAATTAATCATACCTTGAGCATGTTTGAGATCTTAGCAATTGAGAGGCCAGAGAGTGAACCAGAAAGTCAGTCCCGAGGTCCTCAGCTACCTGGGCGGGGCTCCCTTACATTCCCATACTTTGTACCCATTGTAAAAAGCCAGTTGTATGCTAGGTTTGTAGGATATTTGCCAGACTTACAGAGAGGCTTGCTTCTGAAGAGCCACGTTCAGAGGCATGGTGGTGTGGTACTAAGATCGCCCAGCTGGAGGTCAGAAGACAGGTTTGAAATCCAGGATTAGCCTCTGACTAGCTCTTTGACTCTAAGTGAGTCAGGCCCCACGAAGCCTCAGTTTCCCCACCTATGAAATGAAAAAAAAAAAAAAAAAATTATAGCTGCTTGCTGTAACCCACCGTGGTGGTGTTGGGATCAAAAGACATAATACATTTGAAATTACTTTCCAAGCCGTGAAACCTTTTTATAAACATGAGACACTGTCGGTGTCTGTGTCAGTCTCCTTTCCTTCGCTTCTTTGTTCCTCTCTCCTCTTTCCCTTCCTCGGGCCTGCTCTGCATCAGCCTAGGTCACTCACAGGGTGTCTATAGAGGAGTCCTCTGTATTCTGCTTATATTTTCCACGCCTCAACTCAAACATGTTTCTTCTATTCCTTTTCCTAGAGGTGGTGGGTTCTCCCCCAACCAGGGTGAAGAGCTCCTTCAGAGTCAGGCAGTCATGACATAATTGTCACTTTGGGGCACGTGCTACTTGATAGCATGTATTCCTATGAAGAAATGGAGCTGTCAGTGTGGAAATTTGGGGCAGGAGGACGAAGGTCAGAGCCCCTGAAGTCCCCCAGGCCTGTAGGTCGGGTTAGGTGGGGTGAACATAAAGTCGTGGAATCCACAGAGCTTAGTTTTTTTTTCTGGAGCCTGTCTCCCAGCACCTACCCACTCTGGAAAGCCAAGGATGCTGACGTGTGTATTAAGCATTTTGGTCCAGGAGTATAGTCTCGGAGCAGCCTTCTAAATATTACATTCAGGTTTGGTCTGGCTTTGAACTTGCTAGTGTTTCCCAATCCCTGGAATTTCAAACTGAGGGCTCAGAGCACCATGCTGTAGCCCAACCTGTAGTTGATCTTACATGCCCTGAGCCAAAGTGCCTGCAAGAAAAACTAGTCAAATCCTATATTTAACTTGGTGCATCATTCATACTTTAGAAGATGTTGCAGATCGATCAGAACAGGCAGGCTCTGGGGAAGCTCAGCCCAGGCAAGAAGAAATGGCTTGGAATGTAAGTGAATACCTCAAAGACCAGACAAGAAATCCATCTTTTATTAATTGCTTTATTCATTGATTGATTGAATCATTCATCCCTTCACCGAAATGCGTTGTGGTTTACTGTGTTCTAGGCACACCCCAGCAGGGTTTCGAGGAGAAGGACGAAATGTTTGAACTGAGCCTGGAAGGAAAAACAAATATCTTAGGAAGTGATACAGAAGAGTAATAGAATGGGCATACTGGCTAAAGGAACACCATCATAAAGGCTAAGGAAGTAGATGAAGTGATGTGTTAGTTATTAAATAGGGAAAGTGAGGAGAAGGAGTGAGAGGTGGGGCCAAACATGTGGATAGAGTGAGAATTCAGAGGGCTTGATGGAGCAGACTAAGGGGTCTAAACACTTTGCTACAGGCAGTGGGGTTCCATCTATATTTTTTGTTTGTTTTTTTGAGATGGAGTCTCCCTCTGTCACCCAGATTGGAGTGCAGTGTCACAATCTTGGCTCACTGCAGCCTCCAACTCCTGGGTTCAAGTGATTCTCCTTTCTCAGCCTCCTGAGTAGCTGGATTACAGGCACGCACCACCATACCTGGCTAATTTCTGTATTTTTAGTAGAGATGGGGCTTCACCATGTTTGCCAGGCTGGTCTTGAACTCCTGACCTCAAGTGATCCACCCACCTTGGCCTCCCAGAATGCTGGGATTATAGACGTAAGCCACCATGCCTGGCCCCTTCATCTGTGTTTTGAAACCTGAGACAGGATATCAACAGGCCTGTGGCACTAGAAAGGCAACCTCAGCCACAGCATCAAGGGAGTGGTGAAGGAGGCAGGGAAGAGAATGAAGGCAGGGAGAACAGTTAGAAGACTTTTGCCAGGGAGGCCACAAGGGGCAGGCATGGACCGTGACAATGGGAATAAAAAGGGGGAATAGCATGAAGAGATGCTCTGGAGGTGGTGCTGCCATAACCAGGCAGCTGCCTGGATGTACGGGATGTGAAGGAGAAGGAGGGGACCAGCTGGAAAGACCAGAGGAGGATGATAAGAAAACGTACCCAAGAGCAGAAGCAGGTGGTGAGTGGGAAGATGGACTCTGTTTTGGCCACGCTGAGCTTGACGCAAAATCCTATGAGACGTTCAAGGGAAGCTCCAAATCAGGCATTTGGAGAGGCAAGCCTGGAGCCCTAGAGAGCCAGTGGCTTCAGAATAGGTGGCTGTGTCTGTACGCTGCACTGTTTGGTGATGATGGAGCCTTCCGTCGACCATTAGAAGCTCCAAGCTGCCAGGAAAAGGTTGGGGGAAAGGGGAGAGCTGATTTCTTCCTTCTTCTTTCTTCTCCTTTTCCTACATGGTTTTTCCTTTCTACTCCAAAGTGTTTCATTTCGTAGACAGACAAGCACATGTTGCCCTCTCTACTCCAGCATCTGTCTGTCTCTTTTCTGTCTGTCTTTCTCTCTCTTTCTTTTTTCTCTCTCTCTCTTTTTCTCTTTCTCTCTCTCTTTCTCTGTCTCTTTCTCTCGCTCTCTTCTCTCTCTCTTCTCTCTTTCTCTCTCTTTTTCTCTTTCTCTTTCTCTCTCTCTTTCTCTTTCTCTGTCTCTTTCTTTCTCCCTTCCCTTCCCTTCCCTTTCTTTTCTTCTTCCTTTTTTTTTTTTTTTTTTTTTGACAGAGTCTCACTCTGTCACCCAGGCTGGAGTGCAGTGGCTCGATCTCGGCTCACTGCAACTTCTGCCTCCCAGGCTCAAGTGATTCTCCTGCCTCAGCCTCCCGAGTAGCTGGGACTACAGGCGCCTGCCACCATGCCCAGCTAATTTTTGTATTTTTAGTAGAGACACGGAGTTTTACCGTGTTGGCCAGGGTGGTCTCGAACTCTTGACCTCAGGTGATCCGCCCCCACCTCTTGGCTTCCACTCTCGCATCTTTGTATTCTCGTTGGGTAAATAACAGGAGGCCAGGGACTGATACAGCAGTCAGAAGATGGGTAGAACCCTAAGACTGGAGGAGACAAGGAAAGGATGATTCCCCCACTGCCAAATGGAGGCAGGACCCTATAATTAGTACATGTTTCTGCATATTTACTAAGGTCATGCTACCACCTAAGACCATGTATACTAGTTGATGAGCTTCTCTTGATTAACCTGGTTCAACACACCTTTTCTTTTCTCCCTCACAGGGATGTGGTTTCTACCCCTGGATTGAGAGTCTGGCAAACCATGTCTACCTCTGCACTTTGCTGATGGTATTTCTCTCACAGGGAAGTCTCTTCTTCCTTTCTCTCCTCATTATAAGTAAATTTTACCTTCTTTTGGATTCAGCATAATCCCCAGCTTCTCCAGGCCACCTTCCCCAATTAATCCAGCCCACTGGGTAAATTCACCTCCTGCGCTAAATAAAGAGCGTGCCCATTTGAACACTGAATTCTGTACCTCCTGTTTCTTAATGATTTTAATCAATTGCCCTCTCCTTCATGGGAGAGCACAGCCATCACTAAACTGTCAAGCTGGAAGAACACTTGGAGATCCCCAGCCTTTATTTTCTCCTCTTTCCTTTGTTGTGTGGATCTAGGTAATTGGTAGAAGAATGACAAGCTCTAGAAAGTTCATAACCTCTTCTTTAGAAAAGGCAAAGTGCTGCTCAGGAAAGAGTTAGAAGAATAATAGCTTGAGAAAAGCCGGAGAATGGGGTGGGAGAAGGCGGGACTGCCAGAGCTACAGTGGATCAGAGGTTTTGAGAATCTGGGGGACAAGTTTTAGAATAGCTGCTCTCCTTCAATGAGAACAAAGGTGAAAAATGGGTGGCGATGACTTGGCTTTTGTGGTTTGTCATGACATGCAAAGCTTTGGGGCATTTTAAAACTATTTAAACTGTTTTTTCTTTTATTGCTATTAATATTACAAAGAGATTCAATTGTATTTCTACTGTAATTAATAAAGTACAAAATAAATTACAAGTAACTTTGTGTCAACAATATTTTAAACTCTTACTGTCATTGAGAACAGCGAACAATCCCTGGGACATTTTAGAAAAAAAAAATCAATGAAATTTTTAATGAACATGGATTATGTGCCTTGCTTATGCTAGATACTGTGGGCAGTTCCAAAAAACAAATCAATAAAAATATTCAAAGCATTGTTTAGGAGAAATTTAAATTATACAGAGGAAGATGGTAGCCACCATCCATATGGCGCCATCCAAAAAATAACATCTTAGTCTTTGTTTTTAAGAAAAATTATCTTCTTTTAAAAAAGAAAATAAGTGAATGATTTAAGTTTTAAACAATATAGGAAAACACAGAGACGACTAAAAATCACCCTCAAATCACACCATCCAATAGCAATCATGATTTTAACTAGGTGAACATCATTTTGAATGTCTTTCTGTACAAATATAAAGATAGAAGGGGTAGGCTAGGCTGCACTTTTAGGGAAACAGTTACATAAAAGGCCCCTATTTTAAATTTAACATAATTTTATTATAATTTAACAGAAGGGAGAAAACTCATATTAAACTAAGAATCTCTGATCTTCAAATAATTGTATTGTCACCACAGGGGAGAGCTTTTCTTAAAAGATTACTTTCTATTTAAAAAGGGAGATTAAAACACATTAAGAGGTGAGAGTTGTTTTTTCTTAAGTGGTGTTTGCCTATTTAATCTCTCTGTCTCTCTTTTTAAAATTTAATTTAATTTAATTTTTTGGTCATCTACATTGACAATGATTATCTAGGCTACTTTTCTATGGCAGTAATTTGGTTTCCAGAGGTGTCTATTGTGTTCCTTGCTTTTCCACTTTTATTGGTAACAAATGATGTTTTGGTTCCTAGTTTTTTTTCCCCTTTTAGAATTTCAGTCTCACTTTTTATGTCATTTTGCTGTTTTATCATCTTATCCATGAATTCTCATTTTACTGACAATTTCTTACTAGGTTATTTTATATCAAGGATTGATGAATGATTTATGTAGATGGCTAGGTATTCAAATATTTTAGGCCTTGTGTACCATAGCTGCAACTACTCAACTCTGCCATTATAGCCTTAAAGCAGTGGCAGAGAATACATCAACCAATCAGTATGGCTGTGTTCCAATAAAGCCTTATTTACAAAAATGGATGGTGAACCATTTATGTATGTTTCCCTTGTTTAGCATCTGCTAATGATTTTGAGTGTGGGGGAAGTGGATTGCTATAGTTTCGATATTTGTCCCCCTAAAACCTCACATTGAAATTTGATCCCCCATTTTGGCAGTGGGCTCAATGGGAGTTGTTGGGGTCATGGGGGAATATCCCTCAAGAATGACTATTTCCACAGTAATGAGTGAATTCTTGATCTATTGGTTCCCGTGAAATCTGGTTGTCAAAAAGAGCCTGACACCTGTGCTGTCACTTCCTCTTGCTTCCTGTCTCACCATGTGATCTCTGCACTGCACATACCAAGTCCTCTTCCCCTTCTCCATGAGCGGAAACAACCAGAGGCCCTCACCAGAAGCAGATGCTGGTGCATTCTTCTTGTACAGCCTGCAGAACCGTGAGCCAAATAAACCTCTATCCTTTATACATTACTCAGCCTCAGGTGTTCTTTTATAGCAACACAAATGGACTAAGACAAGAATATTCCTCTTTAAAAATGTTTGTTGTAGAATAGGAGACAGAAAAAGTTAGATGTAGTTTCAAGTGATTGTTTTAACCCAAAAATACTGAAGGTTTTGTTTTTTGTTTTTTTTTCTAATTGTTTTCTGGGACATCAGTCTCGTGGTTATTGTGGTCATGGCTGAGACTGTGCTGAGACTGGCCACTGGTAAAGCAGTTCTACTTGGGTTCCATTTAGATGGAAAAAGTGAGGCCCAGAGAAGTGCAGAAACTTGCTCAAAACACATGGGAGATCAGTCTCAAAGGTGAGACTTGAATATAGATTTTTTTTTTTTTTTTTTTTTTTTTTTTTGAGATGGAGTTTCACTCTTGTTGTCCAGACTGGAGTGCTGTGGCGAAATCTTGGCTCACTGCAACCTCTGCCTCCCAGGTTCCAGTGATTATCTTGCCTCGGCCTCCTGAGTAGCTGGGATTACAGGCATGTGCCATCACACCCAGCTAATTTTGTATTTTTAGTAGAGATGGGGTTTCACCATGTTGGTCAGGCTGGTCTCGAATGCCTGACCTCAGGTGATCCACCAGCCTTGGCCTCTGAAAGTGCTGGGATTACAGATGTGAGCCACCACACCCAGACGAACATAGATCATTTTTTAAAAAAGTTTCACTGAGATGAAGTTCATAAAACATAACATCAAGTATTTTAAAAAGAACAATCAAGTGGTGTTTTGTACATCCACAGTGTCTGATCATCATGTGTATTTAGCTCAAAAACATTTTTATTGCCCCCAAAGGAAGCTATGCCCCATGAAGCAATCGCTCTCTATTTTCCCCTCACCCCAACCCCTGGCAGTCACCAATCTGCTTTCTGGTTCTATGGATTTGGCAATTCTAGATATTTTATACAAATGGATTTATGCAATACATACTGTTTTGTGTCTGGCTTCATTCACTTAGCATAATACTTTTGAAGTCCATCCACAGTTTTGCATGTATTAGTACTTCATTCTCTTTATGGCTGAAAATACTTCATGCTATGTATATACCACAGTTTGTTTATTCATCTGTTGACGGACATTTGGGCTGTTTCCACCTTTTTGCTATTTCAAATGGTGGTGCTATGAAGGTGTATGTAGATGGATTTGTCTAGTCCCTGTTTTCAATTCCTTGGCGGTATATTCGAGGTGTGGAATTGTTGAACCATATGGTAATTCTATTTTGAGCTTCTTGAGGAACTGCCAAACTTTTCCTCAGAGGCTGAACCATTTTATATTCAATGTGCAAGTTTTCCAATTTTGCCACATCCTTGCCAACACTTGTCATTTTCCGGGGTTTTGTTTTGTTTTGTTTTGTGAACACAGATTTTGACTTTCAGCGTTCTTATCTTAAGAGGTTACAGGATTTGTCTTACATTTTCCACTTGTAATTTTTTTTATCATTATAATACTTGGCATATTTCAAGGCACGTGACTCATATCATTAAATGTTTTATTGATAAGTTTTCTCCAGAAAGTATAAATTCTCATGAAGTGCTCACAGATCTTAATAACAATAAAATTTCAAAATATTGTTTAAACAAAGTTAGTTGTAATTCATTTTCAAGTTTAAGAATCACAGTTGAAATAACAGCTGAATCTCTTTATAATTCTCATTCTAGGAGAAATAGGAAGGCTGCAGTGCCCATCTGCGAGGGTTGATGTGGAGGTGTTTACTTCCTTGGGTAGGATATTGGACAAGATGGTTGCTAACGTCCTTTCCAACTATGTTTTTAAAATTAGAATTTGAATATTTATGGAGGCCTTTCTGAGAAAGTACAAAGCCCTGAGAATATTGTAATGCATATGGATTTTGCTATCTTGTTACATAGAGGAGAATGGGAGCTGATGACCCCAAATCCAACCAAGATGGGGTGTTACAAGTCAGAAGGTTAAGGGTCACTGCTCTGTGTGTTACCAGTGGAGGGTGTCCAGGTTCTTGGCATCTTGAACAAAGAACTGGACAGAATGCACAAACAAAACAAAGAATGAAGCAACAAAAGCAGAGATTTATTGAAAATGAAAGTACACTCCACAGGGTGGGAGCAGGCCTGAGCATAGGGGGTCAAGAGCCTGGTTACAGAATGTTCTGGTTTGAATACCCTCTAAAGGTTTCCCAGTGGCCACTTGGTGTACGCTTCATGCAAATGAAGTAGTAGACTGCAGTCAGTTTGATTGGTTGTGGAGAGCAACCAATAAGAGGCTAAAGTGAAGTTACAAAGTTACACTTCTATGCAAATGAAGACTTGGCCCCAATCAGTCTGATTGGTTGCAGAAGGCAACCAATTAGAGGTACTTTGAATTTTCCATCTGCCATGCAGAAAAGGTGGGGGCGATTTGCAAAGGGAATAGCCTCTGGTCCTTTTGTTACTTAGGTGTGGAAAGTTGGGGTTTTCCTTATGATTTAGTTCTAAGAAGTCAGTGTGATTCAGCCATAGGTTTCCTGCCTCCAGAACCTATTCTCCTGCCTCATGTGGAGAGCCTGAGAGTATAACAGGTAAGCGACTCTCCTAGTTTGACTCTCCAAACTGGCAGCAGCACTCCAGAGCAGCCCTAGGCTCTGGCTGTGGTTAGCTGGCCCATTTCCTCGGAATCTGCAGCTTCATAAATCTGCTGCAAAATTGGCCAGATGCATGGAGCCCAGGCCCAGTATTCCCACAGCAAGGAGAGGCGTAAACCCCTTGCATCTTAGCCTCCAGCTTGGCTGCACTTGGACCCATCATGAAAGTCACTCCTGGCTCTTGGGAAGGAAATGCCACTTTTCCATTTCTCTATCTCATCTTCTTTACCTTTGGCAGACAGACTTATCTTATGTCCCCATTGAGGACATTTTATTATATTGTATTGTATTGTATTTTTGAGACAGAGTCTTGCTCTATTGCCCAGGCTGGAGTGCAGTGGCGAGATCTCAGCTGATTGCAACCTCCGCCTCTTGGGTTCCAGCAATTCTCCCTGCCTCAGCCTCCCAAGTAGCTGGGATTACATACATTTGCCGCCATGCCTGGCTAATTTTTGTACTTTTTGGGAGAGACAGGGTTTCACCATGTTGGCCAGACTGGTCTGGAACTCCTGACCTCAGGTGACCCACCTGCCTTGGCCTCCCATAATGTTGGGATTACAGGCGTGAGCCACCACGCCTGGCAGAGGAGATTTTTAAAAGAAACCTTCTTCTTTGAGGTTCACAGTGCCCCAGGGAAGGGAACGTGCTATCTGAAAGAGATGATCACAGAAAAGCCCCTTTATAGTATGGGGCTGGAACGTACCTGTCCTGATGTGCAGAGCTGCAAATCAAGTGGGCCTTTTGCAATATATACATATGGAATGAGGTTTATTTATAAGAGGGAAGAAACCTATAAAGAAGAGTTATTAAGTCCAGGAGGGACTGATTTATTTCATAGTAAAATTCAGACTATAGTTCAGCTAGAGGAATGACAGTCCCTGACAGGTGTCCATGAATAAATCCCCCTTATTCTAAAGCATTCTCTTTTCACTAGCCACTGGCCACATTTTTCAGCTGGCTTAGAAATTTGCTCGGCCTGCTTTTCTCCTCATTTCCTTCCCTGTTATAATCTTCACAGGAGATGAGCGGGAGGGAGCCATACACTCAGCCAGCTTTGAGAAATCCTTGAGTTTTCATCACCCCACGCAGGTTTGCAGAGCCTAGAAACGGAGCTGTTTCCCATGGGCTGGTGGATACTGGCTAAGAGATCTGAGGAAGCCAGAGTGGGTGTCAGCAGAGATACCTGGCTTCTGTCAATAAACATGCAGAATCAAAGCATCCCCCTGGGCTGGAGTCCACAGAGTCCTGCCTTTTAAGACTGTTGGTAGGAACTGTTAATGAGATCCTGGCCTCCAGCAGCCATGGCTTCTAAGAAGCTCAGCATACTCAGATCTTGGGCCAAGAGTTCTGCACCCAAGGATGCAACAGTGACTGTCCTCTGTGGACCCAGACAACTGGGGCTTCCTTGGACTACAGACCTCATCTGCATTCAGGTGGGATGCAACATCTTTTCGGCATCTATTGGATTGGTTTGTGTCGGCATGTATAATTGTTCAGAAAGCACAGGCTGACTCTATTAACAGAGTTGGGATGCTGACTGAATAAATATGGCTAGAAGTCATCTACCTATCTTGATACCAATAGCTATTGTCTAACTTTGTATTTGTCTATTAAAGTAGAAAGTAATATAGGGTCCATGACCAAAATCTTATTAGGAAACCTGATCAAATGGACACTTCATGATTAACTACATTCTTTTCTTTCTTAAAATAACCTGATGTGGCTGTCTTCGTTGCAGGAATGAATATTATACATATGGAAACTCTTTGAGACACCCCTTTTGGCTTACTGTGATATCAGCCTGCTGAAGCCTTCCATCAGCATTCTCAAAGTAAAGGATTAAAAACATTTCCCTCCATTTTCCACTTGTGGCCCCAAGGCTTTTTTTTTTTTTTTTTTTTGCGGGACGGAGATGGGGGGTGTGGGGGAATGGAGTCTCACTCTCTTAGCCAGGCTGGAGTGCAGTGGTGTAATCTCGGCTCACTGCAACCTCTGCCTCCCAAGTTCAAGTGATTCTCCTGCCTCAGTTTCCTGAGTAGCTGGGACTACAGGTGCACACCGCCATGCCCAGCTAATTTTTTGTATTTTAGTAGAGATGGGGTTTCGTCGTGTTGCCCATGCTGGTCTCAAACTCTTGAGCTCAGGCAATCTTCCTGCCTCCTCCCAAAGTGCTAGGATTAATTACAGTTGTGAGCCACCAAGGCTTTTGTGTGCAAGAATGAGAGGTGGTTTGAATGACACTGAGTGCCTGATCTCAGTGCTCTCATTCATCAGTCAGGCAATCATGACCCATCTGGAAAGGAGGGGAGATCTTGCTTTCTGATGTATGGGTGGAGAAGAACTGACCCCAAGACCTTGTCCTGGCCCTAGGGTCAACCATTCTATTGCCTCCTCTTTTCAATCCTAGAAAGCTGGCATATCACTGCAAATTCTGTTACTGGTATTACCCAGAGCTGGGGAGGGAGGAGGCTTACCCTGCTCTCAGCTGTGGGATTAGCCCTGGAGCAGAAAATGTGTGTGGCTTCAGTGTGAGAGGTTCTTCCTCAGGGAGAAAGTGAAAGAGGATGCGGTCCTCTGCATAAAACAAGATGGACAAATCCTCAGAATTTTAGGTCAGAACACAGCTACTTGATACTTGCTACTTGATATCCTCTTTCCCATCTGTGAAATGGGGAAAAATCAAGCAACATATTCCTGATCTTTTTTTTTTTTTTCTTTTTTGAGACAGAGTCTCACTCTGTTACCCAGGCTGGAGTGCGGTGGCACAATCTCAGCTCACTGCAGCCTCTGCCTCCGAGGTTCAAGCAATTCTCTTACCTCAGCCTCCCAAGTAGCTGGGACGACACGCACTTGCCACCATGGCTGACTAATTTTTGTATTTTTAGTAGAGACAGATGGGGTTTCACTACGTTGGCCAGGCTGGTCTTGAATTCCTGACCTTAGGTGTTCCACCCGCCTCAGCCTCCCACAGTGCTGGGATTACAGACGGGAGCCCCCACACCCAGGCATACCTGATCTTATAATAGCATTCTAGATATTCCTTTACCTAAATCCTACCCATATTTAATGGGTCATTTTCACTTATCAGTCTTCCATTTATCTCTCCCTGATGCTTCAGGGAAAACAAAACTCAAGAAGAGTGCCTAGATCTCTCATGATCTGTTCTAGAACACATCATATCTATATCTATAACTATATCTATATCTATATCTATATCTATAGATATATATTTCTCTTAAAATTTCCCATGTTTAAGTCTCAATATTCCAGAAAAGTTTTGAGCAGACCTTTTGTCACATATACATAACTTGGGGTCTTCTGGGCATCCTAAATTAGACGTGGCAGTGGAATAAATGAGGGCTATAGAAACACATGTTGATGAGCATTGATCCTGAAAACTCTTTCCAGACTCTTAGATAACTAAATTGTATCAACCAGACTCCATTGTTCTCATGACAGCCCTGGAACTTCCTGATATGCCCAGAAGTCATCATGCAAGATGGCATTAAAAATAGACATGTTTGTCCTAAGACGGATTCCTGTCTTTACTACAGTCCCTGAGATAGCCTCTTGCTTGGAGGCTTCGAGTCATATCAGAAAGGCCAGGGAGGCTGGGGTGCAGTGAATGGGGGAAAGGATTATGGAAGATGAGGTCAGACAGTTACCAGGAACCAAGCCACCATGGGCTTGGGATCAGATTCTAAGTGGTTGAAAGCCATTGGAAGACTAAGCAGAGGAGTGATAGGATCAAACTTAGATTTTGGAAATCTCAGGTTCTTTTCCCCCTGCTCCTTCTCAGCCCTCTGTGGCTGCCCATGGTGGGCAGCAGCCCCTTCACCCCACAGTCCCAACTTCTGCATTCTTCTCCCCATACTGCAGGGGTCTGGCACGCACAAAACCGCCACTCAATGGATACAGTCAGTCCCAGTAAAACTGTACTGTTAACCCAATGTGTTTTCTATCTCATTTTTGTTCGCCTGCGGATTTTGTTGTTGTTAGCATTCACTGATCCCCTTCAAATACACGGGGTCCTTGAACAGTTGTGGATGATGTCCTTTAGAAAGGGAAGCCCTTGATAAAGTCATCTACGCTATGTTATTAGAGGCAACATGGATAACCAACTAGGTAGATGGAGGAAAGAATGGAGTGTTCGGGTTTTAACAGAGGATGGCTGAAAAGGTCAGAGAGGAATACAAAGAGATGTGTCTTATAAGAAGAAATTCCAAGCAGCAGTGGGGTGAGGAGACGCAGGTCTACCTTTGCTCTGATGGAAGGGTGAGGGTGGCCATGAACTCTGCACATGAGCCTGTGCCGTACCAGGAAGGTGGATGATGACCAGACCTCCCCACCAGGGCCCACAGAGGCTTCTGCATCTCCACTCTCAGCACTCGATAACCCAGTGGACTGGCAGTCTCTCCCCTTCAGCACACTGGCAGGGACAACATTCTTCAGAGGTGAAAGTACAGTTTAATTTCTAGGCTCACCCAGGCATGGACTGGGCTGCATATTGCAGCTTGGATGGAGTGAATGCATTCCTATGGAGGTCTGCACCCCTGTCTATCTGGAGGTGGGGAGAGTTCAGAAAAGCCAGGACTTTGTTGCTTGCATTCTTCATGTCCTCTTAGCAGTGAGATACCTTCACCTCTCTCCACCTCTCCTACCTGAACAAATGTGGAGGGAGCGGGAGGAGAGAACAGAAGAGCCAAAAAGAACCACTTCTTCCTGCATTTTCTCTGCTCTAAACTGAGATCCTACAGAGAATGGTATTTCTCTCACTGCAGTTTCCCAGTGACAATGGGGTCAAAGAAAGCATTTTTCAAAAAGAGCTTCTTTTCTCAATTTATGGCAGAGCATCCAGTAGCAAGCAGGAAAATGAAATAGGTCTCTGTTATCTCTCCCCCAAAAAGAGACAGCCCGTACAAGGGAAGGAGATAATTCCCGTCTGGCTTTTATATGTCTCATAAAATGCATTGTGCAGGCATGTAAAATATACAGGGCTGGGCAGACATATGAGGTGGAGAAAGGTACAACCCTGGCTCCTTGTGCTTTTTGGGTTGGCAGACAGCAAAGTGGAGGGATTTTTTTTAAATTCTCCTTTTTGTAAGAACAAGGATGACAGCAAGAGAAACCCGCACATGTAGCGCTTGCTCGGACATTTCATGGCAGATGAGCGCATGGGTGCGAAGAGTAATAATAATAATAATAATATGGAGAAATAGGCTGGGTGCCGTGGCTCACATCTGTAATCTAGCAGTTTGGGAAGCTGAGGCGAGTGGATCACCTGAGGTCAGGAGTTCGAGACTAGCCTGGCCAACATGGTGAAACCCCATCTCTACTAAAAATACAAGAAAAAAAATTAGCCAGGCATGGGAGCGGGCGCCTGTAATTCCAGCTACTAGGGAGGCTGAGGCAGGAGAGTCGCTTGAAGCTGGGAGGCAGAGGCTGCAGTGAGCTGAGATCACACCACTGCACTCCAGCCTGGGCAACAAGAGCAAAACTCTATCTCTAAATAAATAAATACAGAAAATAATACGGAGAAATAATCATATTAAAAATGCTTCTTTTTTCACTTTGTGGATCCACGACTGGGCTTTCAGCTTGCTGGGATCCAGCTCCCAACGTGGGTGAGGGCGCAGGAGATGGGGCCACCTCTCCCTTAGAGTCTTGTAGTATTTGGTCTGTCCGGTTGCATATCTCCTCACAATATTTAGCCCAAGTCACGTGTGCTAATTTGCACATGCACACACACTTGTATAGTGTCATCTCAGCCCCAGCCCTCCAAAACTTACTGTGGGTGCTCTTGCTGGAGGTGGCCTCATGAAAATGTATGCCAAGTTCACAGCCTTCTTCCAGGAGGGAGGATTGGGGCATACTGCAGGCGCCTGGTCCCTTTGTGAGGTGCATTGTCCTTAGAAAATCTCCCACCATGTCCTCTACTCTTTGGTCAAAGGGAATTCAGGAAGCTTAAATGGCAATGCATATCAAACTGTTCCTAAGAACTAGCTGGGAAGCAGGTCATGGAATGAGGGATGGAGGACCGACAGCATCTGTTCTCTGAAGACAAGACCATTTAGATTTGGGCCTGGAATGTAATCTTTTCTTAGTTCTAAATCTCAGGGACGCTGGGCACAGTGGCTCAGTTCTATAATCCTGGCACTTTGGGAAGCCAAGGCAGAAGGATTGCTTGAGTCTAGGAATTTAAGACTAGCTTGGACAATATAATGAAGCTCTGTTTCTATAAAAAATTAGCAGGCATGGTGGCACATACCTGTGGTCCCAGCTACTTGGTTGGGTGTTGGGGGGGGGCTGAGGTTGGAGGCTGGCTTGAACCCTGAGGTCAAGGCTACAGTGAGCTGTGATCATGCCACTGTACTCCAGCCTGGGCAACAGAGGGAGACTCTATCTCAAAAATAAAATAGCCTAGGGATGAGGACATCTGGGTTTTGAGTCAAAACAGAATAGTGTGGTGAAGGTGGGTGAGATTATTTATGCTTCTTCTTTTTTTTTTTTTTTTGAGACATAGTCTCTCTCTGTCACCCAGGCTGGAGTGCAGTGGTGAGATCTCAGCTCACTGCAAGCTCCACCTCCCAGGTTCACATCATTTTCCTGCCTCAGCCTCCCGAGTGGCTGGGACTACAGGCACCTGGCCTGGCATTTTTAGTAGAGAAGGGGTTTCACTGTGTTAGCCAGGATGGTCTCAATCTCATGACCTCATCATCCGCCCACCTCGGCCTCCCAAAGTGCTGGGATTACAGGCATGAGCCACCGCGCCTGGTGATTATTTATGCTTCTTCCTCTCTCTCCTCTTCCTTTCTGTTTTCTTCTAGCCCTTTCACAAGTAATTCTGAGAATCTCATATGTGTGGGGTACCGTGCTAAGGTTTAAAGGCAGCAGAGTTAGCACCTCCTAAGAATCTGTGTTCATTGATTCTCTAGTTCTCTAAACCAAAGTAGAGGCTTTTAGCAATCCAAGTTTACATTGCCTGCCCAGGTCCACAGCATCAGAACAGCAAGGGGATGGGGTCCAGGACTTTGTATTTTTAAAAGTTGCACAGGGATCCTCACAGTAAGCCAGTGTAGGAACCACCACCCTTCTCTACTTCCTTTTTCCTAGAAAGCAGTCAGCTGACCCAACCCTGTACAATGAAAGGGCACAGGATTTGAGAACAGGCAGAGCGTTGTTTCACATGAGTGCTATGATTTTCTGGTGCGAACCTTCACAAAATTCAAGCTCGTTACCTCTGAAGTGGAGATGATGATAGCACCCAACTTCTAAAGTTTGGGTGGGACCAAATATGATCGTGTATGCCAACATGCTTTCTAAACTACACAGGGCTGTGCCTGTGCCTTCCCTCCTCTCCAGCTCAAAATCTTTCTTCAGGGCTAGCAACTGCTTCTCTTTCCCTCAAGCTCTGAGGAGGACCTGTCCTTCCATCTGTTATGCTCTTACCACTGAGCAGAAGTTCCCACCCCTTTATACTCAGGGGCTCCACCAGCTCCTTTTCCTGCCTACACACATGTGTAGATCATGTCATCCTTAAGATCTCTTTCCTCAGAACCACTATTCTCTTAAGCTATCATTTTACTTCTCTCCTTTACTTCTTCAATAGACTTTTGAAAGTATAGGATTTCTTTGCTGCACCATTTTCTCTCTATCCCTTCATCCCAACTCCTTAATTATTGCAATATGCTGTCTATACCTTGCACTAAAGCTACTCCCCAAAAGGTAACCAATGGCCACCTACCATTGGCTAACTGACAGGTCTCCTGCAGACTCCCTGCAGTGTTCAGCACCATTGCTCCAGTACAACGTGTGGTCTGCGTCACCTTTTCACCACCTGTGGTTTCAGATGACACCTCTGTACAGATGCTCTCAGGTCTAAGTATGTGGAGCTCCAGTTCTGTATGAATCACTGCTCACTCTGTGTATCTACCCATTTATTTACCATGAGGGAACTTCCCACTCAGCATGCTTGGCTGGAGTTATCACCCTCTTCTCCTCCTTTTGTGTATCGGTTGGGATGCTTCTGGCTGCAGGTAATGGAAGGATGAACTAAAAATAGCTTTAATGATAATAAAATTGCATGCTCTCACATCCCAGTAAGTGTGGGAACATAATAGTTCTGGGTCCTGTTGATTCAGTGACATTAAGGGACCAGGTTGTTTCCATCTGCTTACTTTTCCATCCTGAGGGTATTGAGTTGATTTTTTTGGTAGGGTTCTCCTTTGGATCCCAAGACAACCATAGCATTTCCAGATGATATGTGAAGATGCAGTATCAAAAGGCAGGAAAAGAGACTGTTCTTGAAACAGCTCTTTTCAAGAGCTGGGAAAATCCATTCCAGTTGACTTCCGGGATAACTCATGTGTCATTGGATAGAATCACATCATATGCCCTGTCTAAATTGCTCATCGGGAAGGGGACTGGAAAGACCTTGATTGCCTGGGCCTCAACTCAAGCACTTGGTAGCTCTAGAATGTTCATGAAAAAGAAATGGAGGAGTGAGATGACGTTGGATAGTCAACCAAGTCAGCTGCCCATCCTCACCACCCCCTTAACAACCCCTCCAAGTTTTCCCATCCCTAGTATTGGGGTTCCATAAACCCCACCCTAACACACACCTACCACCTTTCTCTCTCTTTATCCCAATCATGCAATGATACTTCCATTTTCTGATCTCAATGCAAAGTACTGTGCCTCTATTCTTACACTGTCCTTTAAACCTGGAATCTGGTACTTTCTTTTGCTACGTGCCAACATTTTATTAGAGACTTAACCTGGCAGGGGAGGGAGTGGGAGGCAGGCATCACAGCTAGGGCAACCTCTTTTGTATCTCCACTGTACACTGGACATCTTTGTAGCCTCACTCCATTGCACTCTGTGCGATTGTTACTGTTGGACTGTGTTTTCTTTGAGGGCAGAAAACCTGCTGATTAACTTCTATATGCCTGGTGCTTAGCATAGTGGCAGCATGTAATAGGTTTCAGTAAGTGTAGGTCAGATCAAAGAATGAGTAAACTGTTGAATAGAGATAGTTATACCTGATGAAATTATGCCTCTGTGATTGTAGTCAGCCCACTCCCCATCCCCAATACACATACAGAGTTCTTTCCTGATGCTTCAAAGGCCATTGAGATCACTGGGCCCAGGGAAGATGCCTGGCTTTTCCAAAGCCCATATTAGGAACAGAATACTATTTGAACAAGATACATTTTGAAAGAAGCTTCTAAGTGAAATACAGACCAGAAGGTAGCCTGGCAAGTTTGTATATATCCTCCACAAAGTTCACACTCATCATATTCTCTGAGGTCAGAATCCTTAAGAAAACCCTACCAACTGCTACAGTCCATGACATAAGCCACAGAATATCTTAAGCATAAGGGAACCTATAAGAACAAGTGGATTTTTTCCCAAGCAGCATTAACATTAACAATACAATTTTGGGTGCTTCAGAAGAGCAGTGCCTTGATGTAGGGCTGGACTCTGTCCAAGTGTCTGGGAAAGATGCCTGCAGAATGCACATGTCTCTGGCTCATTACTGCCGAAGGCTGAACCCCTAAGTGGAACATGGGCTCCTGGGCTCCTGGCAGGGATAGGTTGGAATGTGAAGCAGGACAGAAGTCCCTCAGTAGCCCAGCAGGTACCTTGGGGAGAAGCCTGCCTTTATTTATTCAGAGAGATTGATCAGAGCTCCTGCAGGTCAGGCTGGAAGCACCTGGGAGGCCCCCCTCTGCCCTGGTGTGGCTATCTTCAGTTTGCACACTGTCCCCAGGCCAGCCAGCCATGGCTGCTGTGACAGGGCTGTTAGTACTAATAAAGCCACTGCAGCAGCTTATATAAGAAAAACTGCTGGGACCACTTTGCGTTTAAAGTTGGTTGCCCCCTTGGTGGGTACTTGAAGGTTTACGTCACACTGCCTCCCCCAGCTTTCCAGCACAGTTTGGCTAATATGGGTCAGAAAATCTGAGAACCAGTCAGGTGGCATCCAAACAAGTCTATAGGCAGGGAATTCTGTCTTCATATGGCCTTCCCACACCTGCCATTTCTGTACTCTTTATCTCTCCTGAAACACCATCTTTCCTCCCCACCGAGACAGACACTGCTGTCTCACCCAGCCAGCACACTGCTGTCAGCACAGGACCTCATCTTTGTCACCATGCCTGAACGTGAATTGAAGCCCCCCCCCCGTTACAACTCCCAGGAATAAATACTTGCCAATTAAACCTGCTACTACTTGTGGTATGAAAGACCTTGTTCCCTGTTCAGGTTTCAAGCCTCAGCGAGTAGACATACTCTATGAGCACACACGCATGTGCGGACACACGCGCACACACACATACACACATACACACCTGCAACATTTAAACTTGTGTGTTGTATAGTATTTGATCCTCACGACACCCCCATGAGACAGAAGGAATATTCTTAGCATCTTCATTTTACAGGAAAAGAAACTGAGGTTCAGAAAGGCTAAGTAATCTGTCTGAGTCACAGAGGGAATCCAGCCAAGATTCCTACAATTCCAGACTTGGCATTTCATAGTTTTGCAACTTTGAGTGGGGATAACCCTACTGGGAAGACAGTCCTATAGCCTTGAGATGGTAGATGTCTCTACCTCTTCATCCTGAAGCCAGGATCCTCCAAGTGACAAATCTGCATATGACCTTACCCTCCTCTGTGCCAGGTCTGGTATCTCACAAAGATACTACTAATCGCAGTGGCCAGACAGTTCTAAATGACTTTTTTCTCTCTAAACCAGCCAATCTCTTAACCTTTTAAGGTAAAGGGATTTCCCTTGCCCCTTTATATCCTTTGGTTTCTCAACGTCAGAATTCAATATTCTCACTTGCCCCCAGTTTAAAAGACCCTCTTAGTATCTTTGCTCTCTTTGTGCAGCCTCCCCAGAGACCAGGTGAGGAAGGGGTGTGGATAGGACCATCTGCCATCATCACTGGGCATGAGTAATTTGTTCTTGCAAATTGCTGGAGACAACTGGAAAAGGCAAAGAAAAAGTCCTTTTGGAAGCAGAAACAACTGGAGAAATATTGTGCTCTGTGAAACAGATAAGCAGAAGAGCTGTTTATTCCCTTGGTGGTGTGAGGCTCGGCTTTGAGGCAGATAAATCTTTGCTGGTAATACAGTACTTAAACCAGAACTGACACCTTTTTATATCAACTGCAGAGAATCGCTTTTGTGAGGCTCTGATACAAAGGCTGCTGCGGCTGTCTCTTGCATATCAATTGCGTGGTAGTCTGTTGCTTTTCTCAGTCCCGCCCTTTAGGCAGTTGCCCCTGGTCTCCATGTGGCATCAAAGTCCAAAAAGTGCAGAGAAGGAGGGATACCAAAAGGTAAGGGACCACTAACTGGAGCAGGCAGGCACTGGATAGAGTTGAGGTGTCAGTCTGTTGCAGGGATCCTCCTCTGGGCACCCCTCCTAGCAGGAGTGTGCTGGAGCCAGCTGGCAGAGCTGAGCAGATGGGGCTAAGTACAGCCACTGTGCATGCATCTTTGCCAGGTACCAGGGCCCGAAGCACATGGGCTAAAATGATTTTCAAGTTTGTTCTTTAATCGACCACTAAAATATACTCACTGCAGATGAGTTAGATAACACCGATAAGCAAAGAGGACATAAGAACTGCTCATATTTTTGTCTCTCCTTCCCATGGCAAATAGATATAATATATAGAGACATAACACTTTTTGAGACAGTCTTGCTCTGTCACCCAGGCTGGAGTACGGTGGTACAATTATGGCTCACAGCCGCCTCCACTTCCTGGGATCAAGTAGTCCTCCCACCTCAGTTTCCCATGTAACCGTGACTACAGGTGTGCGCCACCATGCCTGGCTAATTTTTTTAAAATTTTTTGTAGAGATGAGGTCTCACTTTGTTGCCCAGGCTGGTCTCGAACACTTGGACTCAAGCAGTCCTCCTGCCTCAGCCTCCCAATCCTCCTGCCTTGGCCTCCCAAAGTGCCGCGTGTGACACTGTGCCTGGCATCATATACATTTTCAATTAAAATTGTACTGTTATGGACTGAATGTTTGTGTCCCTCCCAAATTCCTATGCTGAATTCTACAACTCCCAGTGTGACTGAGTTTGGAGACAGGGCCTTTATGAGAGTAATCAAGGTTAAATGAGGTCACAAGGATGGGGCTCTGATGTGATAGCATTGATGTCCCATTAGGAGGAGACACCAGATCTCTCTATCCCTCTCTCTCTTTTTTTTTTTTTTTTTTTTTTTTTTTTTTTTTTTGAGATGGAGTCTCACTTTGTCGCCCAGGTTAAAATGCAGTGGCATGAACTCAGCTCACTGCAACCTCTGCCTCCTGGGTTCAAGCGATTCTCTTGCCTCAGCCTCCTAACTAGCTGGGATTACCTGTGTGCGCCACCACACCCATCTAATTTTTGTTGTTGAGACGGAGTCTTGCTCTGTTGCCCAGGCTAGAGTGCAGTGGCGCGATCTCGGCTCACTGCAGACTCCACCTCCCGAGTTCATGCCGTTCTCCTGCCTCAGCCTCCCAAGAAGCTGGTACCTCAGGCACCTGCCACCACGCCCAGCTAATTTTTTGTATTTTTAGTAGAGATGGGGTTTCACCATGTTAGCCAGCTGGTCTCAAACTCCTGACTTCAGGTGATTCACCCACCTCAGCCTCCCAAGGTGCTGGAATTATAGGTGTGAACCACTGCACCTGGCCCTCTTTCTTGCTTTCTCTCTCCACCATGTGGAGAGACCAACAAGAAGGAGACCATCTATAAGCCAGGAAGAAAGCCCTTACCAGCAACTGAATAGCTGGCCCCTTGATCTGGGACCTCTATGTCTTCTAAATGGTGAGAAATGAACATCTATAGTTTAAGCCCCCGAGGCTATGGTGTCTGTTAAGGCAGCCCAAGCTGACTAATGCACATTCTACATAGAATTCTGCTACTTTTGCTACCATTTTCTACTTTGATGTATCATACATGTCTCTCTAGTATGCGTACTTCATCACGCTGTTTCTGCACTCACAAATCTCTGACTCTCAGCTTTCTGCTTCTCTGCTTAGCTAGAGGCCTGCCTTCATCTTTCCCTCTCCACCTAACTCAGCTCTCCATTGGAGGTAACGTGGAATCTGCAGACACAATGTTGGCATGACCAATTATTCTGTGACTTTACCAAGTTAATATTACTGAGACTCAGTCTCTTCACTTTTAAAACAGGCTAATAATTTTGACATTATATGAATAAGGTGCAGATTAAATAGGAGAAGACTTACCAGCACAGTGGCTGGGAAATAGAAGTTCAGTTTTTTTAAAAAGGTGGCTTTCTGGCCTCCAGAATATTCTCTCTGCACTGGTGTCTTTAGCATCCTGTGATCCACCATGCTGGGCAACACCTGGGGTCCCTGGCTGGCTAAGACCTGGTCTGGCCCATTCCTCCTTCCCCAGTATGTTTGCAGTGCACCTTCCTTTGTTCCCTGGGCTTGTTTCTCCCTGGCCACTGCTGTCCTTGTTGCCCTCCAGAGCTCTTCAGCCTCCAAGGCTGTTGAACAGACAGAGACCTTGTTTTTACATATTTCTTACGGTTCCTTAAATTCCCAGGCCTCTTTTGATTTTGAGGGTTCGCTGCCAACTGCTGTAGGATAGCTGGAAGTGGGTGACAATAGTGTCCCACATGAAGGGGGACATTTTGCTTTTAAAGACATGGGTCTGGGCTTGACTAGATCAAGATCGTTCCCTGACTCTTTTTGTCTGTGGCCCTTAGGAAAGATCTCTGTGGCCATTGTCCTGGGAATCGATGTTAGTCTTTCCCAGCCCAGATTATGGCACCTATCCCATTCCTAAGCTCTCTGCTTTCTTCTGAAGCACTAGCTTATTCCCAGGATAATGTACCACTTGTAGCACAGAACCTGTAGCTGTGGGTTCTTGGCTAAGCTAGAAACCCACATCCCTGCCAATCCATAGCTTCCTTCCCAAGCAGCTGCCACCACACAATGGAATTAACATAAAACACAACTCGGCAGAGGCACATTTAATTTACAGGGATTATACTATCTATTATACAATACAATTTTAAGTACTACAAGCTCCCTGGAGAACGGGGGGTGGGGGGGGGGGAACACATGTAAAAAGAACCCAACCCTCTCCAAAATCACATAATGACAGAAGAATCTCAGTAACAAAATACAATTCACGGCATAATAAATAGTGTATTTTAAAGTACTTAACATTTCTCAATTCTCTATTTCATGCCCATCAGGAACTCAGTTTATTTCTAGTGGAGGGGAAATATATATATATATATATATATATATATATATATATATATCAACAATTTTAAATTCTGAGAGACAATTAGAGCCAAATGGGGGCTTTTAGAGGAGAATATTCCAGGGTGGATATTGGGTGGTTTCCAACTAGACGGAACAACTCACCAGTGCTCAGTCAGCAGAGACCTGGGCACCATGTTCTTGCCCTTGGAGAGCTCTGACCCTCAGAAAGATAGAGCCGTGCACTTCCTGGGTCCTGACCTCCAACTTCCAGGTCACGGAGCAGGAGCTCATGCTGTCGGTCCCCCCCACACTCTCAGGCCTCCTCTGTGTGAGGGAGTAAGTAGGGATGACACAAAGAACAGGAGCTCTGATGCTGGTCCAGTCCTGATTCACCTTCTCACTAACCCTGCGACTACAGTGGCCCTCTGTTATCTCATCTGTAGAATGGGAATAACATCAGCCACCTGAGAGTTGCTGTGAGACTTTGATGAGATTTCATAAAATAGCTAGTCAGGTGCATAGCATATAACAGGTGCTTAGTCACTTTTTATTGTCTTCCTGTTTTCCACTGTCTTCCCTTCTAAAGTAAATGGAGAGGCAACGCCTTTTGCAGAGGAATGGGTCATGAAAAAGAGGGCTGCCAGGTAGTTCTGGGAGGACCTTAGGCACAAGAGAATCTCTTAGGCAACTTTCAACAGCCCCTGAATCTTCAGTCTGGAGGCATATGGTTGCCTGACCCCATCTGGAAGCAGAAGAGTAGATTGAGTGGCCTCTGGGATGGAAAGTCACACCCCCCAACCTGTGGGGCTACAGCCTAGTAGGAGTGTTAAGTGTATAAGCAGTATGGTGGGTCAGCCTTAAATGAGAAGACAGAACAGACTAAAGTGAGGGCACCAAGGAAGGAGTTGCCGGCCCTCTGGCTCCGAAAGGTGGCAATGTGTGGCCTGTGCGTGTGAGTTACAGACAGTCACATCTGAACTCCACTCCTCCCAGCACACATCGCAAGGACAGTGTGTCACTCCAGGCCTCAAGGAAGGGAGGAGTTTCCACCCCTCTTCATAGTTTGTTTAGCAGACTTCATTGCCAAGATAACCTTTATTTCTCTCAATGCCGCACTTATGGACCGGGGCCCTGTGCTGCTGTAGCACACCCCAGGCCAGACAAAGAGTCACTGCAAAGAAGAACAGGAGCCCGCCCTTCCTTTGTAGAGTGCACATAACAGAAAATGTGCAGGAGTTTCAAACACTGCAGAGGACGGCGTGTGCCTTCAGAGACCTGGAGGTAAACCGAGACATGGGGCAAAAACAGGAGTTCCTGTGCTTCTGACTCTGAGCTTTCTGCTTAGCTAGAGGCCTTCCTTCATCTTTCCCTCTCCACCTAACTCAGCCCTCCAGTGGAGGTAACATAGAATCCGCAGACACAATGTTGGCCTGGCCAATTATTAGTTCTGTGACTGCCAAGTTAATCTTACTGAGACTCAGTCTTCTCGCCTTTAAAACAGGCTAATAATTTTGACATTATATGAATAAGGTGCAGATTAAATAGGACAAGACTTGATGTGGAGTGGGGACATTTCAGCTGAATGAGTTAGGTCAGTGTGGGGTTGCTGCAGGCAGAGGTGTGCCTAGCCCTAATTCTCATGCTGTACACTCATTTTCTCAGAGCCACACTTTAGGGCGGGATCCAGACCTTTTCATCTTTCTCTATGGGATGTAAGCTTAATGAGAGTAGAAAGATATTTGATCCATAATGATTCTTTTCTGTATTATGTGAGAGAAGTAGGTATCAATCAGTCCACACTTACTCACTCTGCACTTTATATGTGCCCAGTGCTTGGAGGGCTGAGCTCTGTAGGGGATCTAATATGATTACTGACATGTACAGTAATTAAGAGTTTTCAGAACATTTTAGTCCATAGTTTATTATGCAATCCTCATAACAAACCCATAAGGTCAGGCAAAATCTAGATATTAATATGAATATAATCTTACATATTATTTTAATCTTCCTTACTATAACCTTCATTTTACAGAATAATCCATGAGCCGCGTTAACTGGTAATGTCATGAAGTCAGGTCTTTGTATTCTAAATCCTGTGCTTTTTTTCACAATTCTATTCTGCCTCTTACAAATACATGTGAGCAGAGGTGTGCTGTTTGAAGATTATTGCTGAAATATCTAGAATGGTATGTAATGTGAATTCCAAAAATCTTGCTGACCCCTGGGTTGCATATATAAGTGAAAGAGGAAATAAATCATCCTTTCTGCTACGAAAGCACCAAACTCCAAACGTTTACTCATCTTAATGAAGTGCCAGCACAGTCTTGTAGGTTAACCTTCTTATTGGCCAAATTTTACCCCTCTTTCTCTCTGTTCCTTCTTTTCTACCATTGTTTGTTACAGAGTTACATAAGAGTGAAACTTTATATAAGAGTGAAACTTGACCCCTTTGATTGATTGATTCCTTCCTTCCTTTGTTCTTATACCCCTCTCCCTCCCTCCCTCTCTCCTTCCTTCCTTCCTTTCTTTCTCTTTCTCTCTTTCTCTTTTCTTTTTCTTTTCTTTTCTTTTTCTTTCTTCATGATTTCTTCCTTTCTCTCTCCCTTCCCTTTTCTCTTGTTCTTCCTTTCCTTTCCTTTCCTTTCTCTTCTCTTCTCTTCCCTCTCTCTTTCTTTCTCATTCTCTCACTCTCTTTCTTTCTCTCTTTCTCTTTCTCTCTCTCTTCTTGATTTCCTCCCTCCCTCCCTCCCTCCCTCCCTCCCTCCCTTCCTTCCTTCCTTCCTTCCTTCCTTTTTGAAACAGTCTGTGTCACCCTGGCTGTTTTCTTTTTTCCTTCCCTTCCGCCCTCCCTTCCTTCCTTCCTTCCTTTTTGAAACAGAGTCTGTGTCACCGTGGCTGTTTTCTTTTTTCTTTCTTTCCAGTGGATCCCTTTCTGCCCCACCAATTGCTACCCTTACACATGTAATAAAATTATTCTCATGTTCTCAGGGCATGTCTGGGTATGAGTCTGGAGATGGGGCCAGATTACAAAGATAATAATCCATGTCACTGTTGTGGTGGTAAACTGGAATAGATTGCATTTAAAAGTATGCCATTTGGCTTTGTATAATAACAATGACACTGTTCTGGAGTTTTCCTCAGAGTGAGCAGAAAAAAAAAACAACAACTATCAATCATCTCACTTGTATTGAGCACAAAGTCCCACCCTTTGGATTTCTCAGAACTTGGCTGGCCATTCTGGCTGTCAGGTCAGTGCTAGGATTTGGGTCCCTGGTCTCCAGGAACCTATTGGTAGAATACAGGTCTGAAGTGGATGAGACTGGCTTGGTTAGTGGACATGAGGCTGGAGAGAATGGGAATATTAGAAAGATTTCAAATGAAAATCGAAGTATTGTAGTCTAGCTTGTTGACAATTTCTACCTAGGAAATGAGAGGACTTCTATATGTAAAGCCCACTGGGGTGTCTGAACCACTTATCTTAATGATCTGGCGGGACTTGGTTTAGCTTCATGGGCTTCCATTTTCATATTTACATGTGCGTGGTATACCTTAGGGATTCAGTAAATGTTGAAAGTTAAAACAGGAAGAAAGAAAAGATGGAAGGGAGGGAGGGTGGAAGGGATAGAGGGAGGGAGGAAGAAAAAAAGGGAGGAAGGGAGGAAAGGAAGGAAGGGAAAGTCATTTCATAAAGACTTAGAGATGTCATGTTAGGGTAGGAACATTAAGAGATCTGCTAAAGTGGTACCCAAAGGAAAGAAAGTCCTACAGAGGAGGACATCATATCACATTTTTTTTTTTCTAGCACAAATGCTAAAAGGGGACCAGGGACAGGAAAACACTTAGGAGAGGAGATTGGTGCCAAAGACTGGTGCAGATATCTGCCTGGTCTTTACATAAGGAATACAAAGGATGAAGAGGAAAATGAAGAGGGAGGAGAGAGAAACCCAAAGAAATAGAGAATGAGGAGGTGAAAAGAAAAGGAAGATGAAGAAAGGGATATTGAAGAAGGGATTGGTGGTAAGAGAAAAGAAATATGGGGAAATCAAGGACAATAAAGAAAGGAAAGTAATTTAGGGGGAGAGAAAACATGGTTCCATTCTAACAATATTGCCACTGCAGGCGTGCGGGTGTTGTCAGAGAAGAGGAGGGGGTCCAGGCCATTGTGCAACTATTATTATATAATTAAGTCTAATAACAGTAATTCTCTGGGAGAGGTCATTGCCTGCCTTGTGGATGGAATCTGATTTGATGAGACTGTCCCTTCTTGTATTCATGCTGCTTGTTGGGGGCCAGGATGGTGGGGAGCCCGTTAGGAAAAATGAAAGGAATAGAGGGTGAGTCGACTTGTTCCCCCTCCAGCTTTCCTGAATAGAGGCTGCTCCAGATTCAACTGCATTCGTTTATTCCCATGTATAATTTTTCCAGTCACAGCCTTGTTTCTCCATTAATTATGGCGATTAGCTTGAACTATTGTTGATGCTAATTAGACTTTGAGAAACGTGTTTGGGCTGCTCATTGGTTGGCGTTCAGAAGGGGAGAAGTGGGTGGGGGGAAGTGGGGGAAGTGCCAGGCTTCATCTGTCCAGACTAGGCAAACACAGTGGTGAGAGCTGCACTAGCTCAGCCACAGAAGGAAAGAAGATCACTGGCAATGACCCTCCTTCCCTGGGTTACTCTTCTGCATCCGTCCCAACTTTGCTTACGGTTTACTCCTCTCCTCTCATTTTACCCTATACGCTGTGCACAGTTGTGACGAGACAAGAAAGTCTTACTCAAGGTTGGCCCCTTGCCACCTCTAAGCTGTTGGATTCTTGCCATTGCTCTGGACTCTGAGTTCATAATTGCAAAGAGAGAAAAGGACAATAAGAGGAATAGAAACTTCCTTATAGATTATGGTGGGAGACGGAGATAATCACTAAAAGGATGATTTAGGAACCGTAATTTATTGAACATCTATATGACTAGCCTTGTGATAGGTTTTGTGGAGGAGGCAAGAGAAGAAGTCTGTGCATTTGTTCACGGGGTATCCTCCCTTTGAAACACCCTCCTCCTGCCTTTCTACCAATCCCAAACCCAAAGATCTCCAGAGTCCAGCTGATGACCCCACTTCCTCCAGGAAGTCTTTCCTGACTACCCTAATTTCAACTGCAATCTCTTTACAGGAATTCTGTTGTTACTACAGTGGAGTAGCTTCATTAAGAACACAGACAGGATTTAGAGTTAGTAAAACCTGCCTTCAAGTTCCAATTCTGCTACAGCTAGCTGTTTGACCTTAGACCAGTTACTGAATTTTAAAAGCCTGTTTTCTCGTCTTTGTAATCTTGAAATAATTAATATTCTCTGCAAGTGAAATTGTGAGCAGGACTCATGTCTGAAGTTTCTTCTATCCAATTTTTCTCAATCCTAAGAACATAGATTATGCTTAATAAGTCCTTGGAGATCGATCAAACAACAGAGATTTCGGTACCTAACTGCAAGGAACTTTTGGAAAAATAAGTTTAGATATGAGAAGAGTTGATATAGAAAAAAATATATAGGCAATGCAAGATGGGAATTGCTATTTCTTTGTTATTAGGATATCCTGGAGTTGTGTTTCCACTATTATTGTTATTGTCAATATCTACACAGGAGAAAAGAGTGGTCCAGAAGTTAGGATAAGTTATGCTGGGACAAGAAAGTCTTACTCAAGGTTGGCCTCTCACAACACTAAGCTGCTGGATTATTGCTGTTTCTTTGGACTCTGAGTTCATAATTAGAGAGAAAGGGACAATAAGAGGAATAGAAACTTAATTATAGATTATGGTGGAAGAGGGAGATAATCACTAAAAGGATGATATATAGGAACTGTAATTTATTGGACATCTATGTGACTAGCCTTGTGACAGGTTTTGTGGATGAAGAAAGAGACGAACAGGGTGGCGGGGTCTCTGTCCTGGATTTGTTTCTGTGGCTTTCTTTTGATTCATTTGATAAACATTTAATGGGTACCTACCATGTGTTGTCTGCTAGGCTTGAAAGTTTAGAGTCTCGTAGGAAATCCTCTTACCCTCATGGGCTCAGTCTGGAGAGAATTTGAGCTTACATAATAGGGTGTGCACAGGTAGGTGGTAGTCTCTTCTGTGGCTTGCTACCCTGCTTAGTCATGTGGTCAGGTGGCTTTGCCCCTGAGGCTGTCAAAGGCAGGTCCCAGATCTCCAAAGAGCCTCTGTCCTGGTGGCTGTGGACCCAGTGAGGTCATGTGGTCTGTTATGGTCTTGCTCCAGGACCCCCACACTTTTCTGACAATCACTCCTTGGGTCTCAGAATATGCCCACAGGGGTTGGGTGCAGTGGCTGATGCCCCTAATCTCAGCACTTTGGGAGGCCGAGGCGGGTGGATCACCTGAGGTCAGGAGTTTGAGACCAGCCTGGCCAACATGGTGAAACCCCGTCTCTACTAAAAATACAAAATTTACCTGGGCGTGGTGGATGGCACCTGAAGTCCCAGCTACTCGGGAGGCTGAGGCAGGAGAATCGCTTGAATCCAGGAGGTGGAGGTTGCAGTGAGCCAAGATCGTGCCATTGCACTCCAGCCTGGGTAACAGAGTAAGATTCCATCTCAAAAAAAAAAAAAAAAAAAAAAAGAATATGGCCGCAGACTTTGATTCTTGCAATTGCCCAACCCAGGTTAATGGTCCTGATGGATTATTTCACCCTGCTTAGTCCATAGATTTGCTTCCCCTTTACAGGTTTTTACATCTAGCTCTCCCTTTCCCAAGCAACTAATCCCATCAATTCATCCAGTAAGCACTCACTAAGTGCCTATTATAGGCTTGGCATTGGTAGTTAAATATAGTTGTTTAAATCATAGGCTTTGGAGTCAAGGCAAATGGGTCCGAAACCTGTCTCTTCCACTTACTGATTGTGTGACCTTGAGTGATACACTATATCACCAAGTGCCTCAGTTTCCTCAACTTTAAAATCAGGCTCCCTCATAGGGTTACTGTGAGGATTGAGTTAATACCTGTAAAGTGGTTTAAACAGCTCCTGGGACATACTATTTGATAAATGTTTACTATTATTACCATCGTTATTTCTAAGGATGCAAAGAAAATTAAGATGTGATTCTATAAACAAAAACATGTAATAAAATGTTGTAAGTACTACAGCGGAAGCCTACATAGGATATGCTGGGCTTACAAAGGAGAAATGTATTATTGCACCTGGAGGGAGTGATGTAATGAGGAAAAGATTAAAGGGGGAGGTACAAGAAAGGAGTGATGGCCAGTTGGAGGATGGGGTCAGCCAAGGAAGAAGCATAAGTAAAAATAAAGGCTTAAGGGCACAAAACACCAAGGCAGTTTGGAAATTGCAAACTGGTTGGTGTGACGGGAGCTTAAAATATGATGCTGAGGGGGTGGGGGTGGGGAGACCTGCAGAAATTGGGGAGAATCCTGAAACTGAAATGGGGGATTTGAGTTTTGCTTCACAGTATCAGGAAGCCACTAAAGGGTTCCATCCGTGGCAATATCAGGATCATGTTGGTGTTCTGGTGCAATCACTCTGGGAGGGTCAGTTGGAAAGCAGGGAGACAAATAAGGTATGAGACTCTTAGAGCAGACAAGACAAAGCTGGGGGTTAACCTGGGCAAGGGCTGTGCAACTATGACAGTTAGAAGGAAGGTGTATTAGTCTGTTTTCACTCTGCTAATAAAGACATACCCAAGACTGGGTAATTTATAAAGAAAAAGAGGTTTAATGGACTCACAGTTTCATGTGGCTGGGGAGACCTCACAATCATGGCAGAAGGTAAAAGACACATCTTACATGGAGGCAGACAAGAGAGAAGTGAGAACCAAGCGAAAGGGGTTTCCCCTTATAAAACCATCAGATCTCATGAGACTTATTCACTATCACAAGAACAGTACAGGAAAGACCCACTCCCATGATTAAATTACCTCCCACTGGGTCCCTCCCATGACATGTGAGAATTGTGGGAGCTATAATTCAAGATGAGATTTGGGAGGGGACACAGCCAAACTGTATCAGAAGGCAAAGACTGAAAATGGGGACTGTGGAAGAGAGTGTATCTGGGTGCTGCCAATCACTTGGAAACAGGCGGAAGAGTAGAGGTTTCAGGGAGAAATCTGAGTTGTTCTGGACATAATAGATTTGAAATGACTATGGGATCTCATTGGCAATGTCAAGTAGAGTGACATTCCATCTGGAGTTCCAGACTGGTCTGAGTTATTTAAAGTAATGTTTTGGGAGTCAGTACCCTATAGGGGTAGTGGAAACCAAGGAAAGAATGAAATTGCATAGGAAGAGCATGTTGGATTGATTTTTATAAAAGGCCAAGAATAGAAAATTAGAGAGGCCAACTGTTAGTCAGTGGAGAAGATGTGTGAAAACAAGACCAAGAAAGAAAAGTTGGTCAGAGAAGTGAAAGAAGACCCAACAGAGAGTGGATTTGAGAAGCTGGAAGTTGGTATCAAGAAGGATATGGTCAGTGGTGTCAAATGCCACATAAATAATTTAACAGGAGGACTGAGAAAGTTGTCCATTGTCCTGGTCTAGGTCCCAGGCCAATGAGAAAATTGTAAACGACTCTGAAATATTTACCTCAGCTGTAGACTCAGGTATTATGGCTCAATAACAGAGTCAGTCCTGCTGCTTGACAACAAATTAGGGAACACAGAAGTCGCCATGGCCCCTGACCCTTGTCCTTCTTACCCCGAAGCACAGATTGCTCTCAGCCTTTGAGATTTCCATTTCTTTCCTCTGGCAAGTGCTGGAGAAAGAGGGATAATAAACTTTTGCTTTGGGTTGGGCAGAACACTGGAGTGCTTCATGTACTAATATAACTCAGGGTATGAGAGAAGCATGGCTATCAAACTGTAGCTGTTGGTGCTAGATAAAAACTGAAGTTTGGAAAAGGAAATCCTGACCTTGAATGTATATGAAAAAGAACTTTGTCCATGGAAAAGCACTGCACTAGTGTTGTTACTCCTGTTAATGTTGTTTCTGGCTGAGCCAAGACAGCCTTTACCACAACACGGATCCAAGGCACCAGAAAAAGTGGAGACTTCTTGTTTCTCAGGACTTCTTGCAGTAATTAGACTTCTTCCCCTCTTTGAGTCTGGCTGTACCAAACCTAGGTGTTAAATGGTATGCCAGTGCCAGAGACCACACTCCCAGAAGGGGTGAAGATAGCACATGGCCTGAAGGAGAGAACAGAGTGAAATGCAAGCAGCATGTCTGGCCTGTCTGAAATGAGCCCAGCTGCTGAGCAAATCCAAGACACCAGTCTGTCTTCATACAACATCTTTCTTATTAATAATGTAAGCATGATGGAGGCTGTTATTGATCTTCGATATGTAAATCTTACTTCTCTATGAATAAAAAATGTAATAAGATCTCAGAAATAAGCTAAAGACCACTGCCTGGGTCTAAATGACAGGGATAAATTACAGTACACTGCAAAAGACTGAAAAATGTTAATGGATGGCAGTCCCAGTTTGCTTACTAGCTGGCTTAGAGCTGCTCAAAGCTGGAGCGATTAGGAAGTCAGCAGAAGAGATCACTGACCCCAGGCCCTCTGTGGCCTGCAGGATAGCACCAGATCCATCACTGTCAAGGGCCCTGCAATGGAAATAGTGAAGCTCCCTTGCTTTGACATACTTTGTCACTTCCGCTTTCACGGGTATGGGTTTGTTGGGGTGGGGATGGGGAACAGATTAAAGCTTTACTACTTTCCATGGGACTTAAGGTGTCATATAAAATTAAGTATGATATAAAATGGGAAAATTAAATAGTAAAACATCAAAAAGAATGTTAAAATAGACATTGCCAAAATAGGAATTGCCAACCACTTAAGATCAGTTACCTATTCTAGCTGGAAGTGTGTTTAGCTCTGTGTTCCATTGCATCTAATATATATATATATATATTTAATATATATTGTTCACTGAAGGTTGCTTCTCTGTGTTCTGACCCTACTTTCACTCTGAGTTTTCAGTTGCACTCCTTTTTCTTCGTATGTCCCACTGTGGTCCAATCCACAGTTTAGGTGCATTGCTTGGTTTAGACGGTGGGAGAGGGCTTTTCAGGACGTGTATCTTATCCAGTGGAGGATGCAATGCGTAGAACAGAAACAGTCAGCTCAGTACTGGCTGAAACTTCTCAGTGTTACCACTGCTTCCACGGGTAAGGGCACATATTTAAAGTATAAAGTGACCTTTTCCAGGTACAGCCTGTTTTCATGTTCCTTTTCTGCTTTCCAGGAAAGCAATTGATAGCCTCCATTTGACCTTGGCAGAGTGAGGCCATGTCCATTTTGGTAGGCTCTTTTGAGACTATTTTGTGTGTGTGTCTCTGAGCTAAAGTCTGCAAGACATGCTCAGCTTTCCAGATTTTTCCTTTCTTTCTCTTTCCTCTCTCTTCTCACCCCCATCTCTCTCATTTTTGCCCACCCATTTCCTTCAAAGATCCACACCTACTGGACTCACCCCTTTCAGCTACTCTTCATCATGACTTCCTTCCCTGGACCAGACCATTTTGCGTCTATTCTCCATCTCTGGTATTGTCACAGATAAAAAGAGCACTGAATCAGGAGGGTCTATTACTCTGTACTCATGGTGTCTATTACTGGTGTCATTAACTTTATGACCTTGGACAAGTCACTTCTTTTACGTTCTGGACAGGAAGTTGAAGACTTTAGATTTCATATTCTCTAAGGCCCTTCCCAGCTCAGAGAAACAGGCTCTTACTTTCACTGTCTTCCTGAAATTGCTCTTTCAAAGGTTACAATTATTTTCTAATTGCAAATCCAATAACTTTTCTCAATGATCAACCTACTTGACCTTTGGGGCAACATTTAATTATTGATTTAGTTTTTCTTCTTGAAACTCTTTGCTTCCTTTCATTTCTTGGCACTTGGTTCTCTTGCTTAATTAAGAATTCTCATCTGACTCTCTTTACATATCCTCAGTTTTCTCTTCCATATCACCAAATATCGGAAAGTCATAGACTGCCTGCAGAATATTAAAACCAAGAACAAAACAAGAGAGAAAACAGAGACCTAAGAATTCCATATGTTGAAGAGTTAGCATTCATATGTGAGAGTCACAAAGTTATTTTTAGATGTGATTCAGAAATGTTACCACCAATTTATCTCTTATGAATTAAAATTACTCAATGAATTGAGGAAATAATAATAATAAAATGATTTAAAATGATAGTTGTTTTACAATAGAATTACCAATGAACAATGAAACTAAGTAAACATAGAATTATATAATTGTTATTGTTATAGCTGTGAAATATAATATGAATGTCAAAAAGTCTATTCTTATAAAATAAGATGCGTAATATGAATAATAATTTAGTGGGAAGATAAAAAATCAGAGCAGGCTAAGTTTTATACAGAACAAAGTTAATAGTTTTAGTTTCATTATTAATCTTGATAATTAAGAAAATTCATTTAATTATTTTAAACATTGCAACTATATAGTCCAAATGTAAAATGTATATAAGCCAAATCATAGGAGGGAGAAAAGAGAGGAAAAAAATAAAAGGAACTTAAAGGAAGTAAATACAATGAAGTATAAAGCAAGATAACAGAAGAAAGATAAAATATATTAGTCTTTATAATAATTGTTAGCAATAGTGGATTTACATATAAAGCATACAATCATGAAACTTTCATAATTAATATATTAATTATAACAGCAGTTTGTGGATACAAAGAGTTCTTAGATAAAATGCCAAAAGAATGATGCATAAAAAATTGATAAATTGGACTTCTTCACATTAGAAACTTTCACTCTGTGAAATGTCCTATGAAGGGGATGAAAAGAAAAGCTACACATGGGGGGAAAATATTACTAAACCACTCATCTTACAGTGGACTAGAATACACAAAGAAGGCTCACAACTCAGCTGTGAAAAACACAAATACTAAAGAAGAGATATGGATGGCACATGAAAAGCTGTTCAACATCATGAATCTCTAGAGAAATACAAATTAAAGCCACAGAATATCACTACATACCTATTAGAATGGTTAGAGTTAAAAAAGTAAAAAAGATACGATGAAATACTGTAAAGGATGCAGAAAAGGGGGATCTGGTGAGAATTGCCAGTGGGGATATAAAATGCTACAGCCACTCTGGAATATGGTGTGGGAGTTGCTTATAAAAACTAAACATGCACTTACAATACAACCCAGCAATTGCACTCCTAGACATTTATGCCAGAGAAGTGAAAACTTATGCTTACACAAAAATGGGGCATGAATGTGCATACCAACTTCATTGGCGATAGCAAAAAAGCTGGAAATGATATAGACATCCTTCAATGAGTGAGTGGTTGAACAAACTTTGGTACATCCATACCGTGGAATAGTACTCAGCAATAAAAAGGAACAAACTATTGATATATGCAATCACTTGAATGAATCTTAAAGGTGTTATGCTTAGCGAAAATAAAAAAAAAAACAGCAATCTCCAAAGGTTACAGGATATGTGATTCCTTCTATATAACATCCTCAAATTGACAAAACTCTAGAGATAGAGAACCAATTAGTGGTTGCCAGGGATAAGGATGGAGTTGGGAGGTATGAATGTGATTATCAAGGGTGGTACAAAGGAGTTCCTTTGTGGGGATGGGACACTTCTGCTTCCTGATTGTGGTGGTGGTTTCACAAATCTATATATTAGGTCAATTTGCATAGATCTCTATCCCTCTCTCTCTCTCTCTCTCTCTCTCTCACACACACACACACACACGCACAGATAAATGCATGCAAAAATGGATAAAATTTAAATAAGGTTTGTGGTCTAGTTAGTAGTATTGTGCCAATACAAATTTCCTGGGTTTTGCTGTCCTACTGTTGTAGAGGTTGTCCCCATTGGAGCAAGCCAGATAAAAATTGAAAAGATTTCCTGTGATTCTATAATTATTTCAGAATTATTGAAAAATTAAAAATAAATAAATGACATGTATTTCCTTGCTCCTTCAGCTGAGACGTTCAAGAAGCAATTATACCCCACTAGCAACAATTGTGCAGATGTTCTGTTCTAACACCATTCTTCAGTTAAAAGAACCAAGGCTTCTTCGAGAAATGATTGGCTTTAGGACTGGGATAGGAAATATGCAAAATGAGTCTGTAGCATCTTATGCCAGAAAGTAAGGAAGTGCTGAACTAACACACAAAACAATGGAAAGATGATGTCAGAGGGACACAGGGCCAACAGAGAGAGCTCTAAATGGGCAAAACTGCAAAAACCAGGGCAGCAATATAAGTAAAATGATATTGTATTTAGCCCAAAGTATATAATAAATAACCTGTGAGTTTATCTTGGTAGAAAGGAGTACCTGAATAAATAAGTGTAGAAGAATAGACAAATCACTGGTATAGAATTCTAAATAATCTGAGTAGATGCTCCACCCTTGAGGAGGTAAAGCATACCTACCAAATCTTTAAGTGTAGGCTGCTCATAGAGACTTACTCCCAAAGCGAACACTATGGAAACAGGAGCAGAAGAGTAACTTCACACTGGAGAAGCTTGGGAAACACTACCTCAGCCGGGTGATCCAGGTCAGTATCAACAGTGACAAGTCATGGTGGTGGTGCCCACCCTTGTTGTGATGTGACGAGAATGGCATTTTCCTTCTGTGGTCTTCCTCCCTCAAACCCATAATCTAAGTTTAAGAAAAAACATCAAACAAATTCTTGTTGAGGAACACTGTACAGAAAACCTGACTAGTACTCCTCAGAATCATCAAGGTCACTGTCACAGCCAAGATGAGCCTAAGAAGATGGGACAACTTAACATAATGTGGTTCCTGAATGGGGACCGGAACAGAAAATGGACATCAGGTACAAACTAAAGAAATCTGAAAAGTTGTTTAACTTTAGCTAATAATAACATCTCAATATTGGCTCATTAGTTGTGACAAATACACTAATGTTAGATGTTGTTAATAGAGGAAAATGAGGGTGAGGGGAAAGGAAATCATTATTAGTTTTGCAAATTTCCTATAAATCTAAAACTATTTTAAGATAAAAAGTTTATATAAAAAGTGACGAGGAAATATCCACATCAAAATACAAGGATTCTTAGATACATTGAAAAACTAAACCCATGAAACTGTAGATTCCACCTATATATATCTTACATATATATATAATATGCAGATATAATTTATATCTTATATATATATATCTTTATGTATATCTTATATATCTCATGTATATCTTACATATCTGTATATATGTTATATACAGATATATATCTTATGTATATCTTATACATAAGATATAACTATGACAAACATTACATATAAAATTAAAAAACAAAAGTATGTGAAATGATACATCAAGTAAATACAAATGAGAAAAAGTCATTACTGAAAACAGGCAGAGGAGAATTCAAGACAAAAGCAGTTAGGTTAATGAGATCTTTCATCATGATAAGGATATAACAGTCATTAATGTTTCTGTTATAAATATCATAGTATTGAAAATTTAAAAATGACTTTGGAACACATGAATAATCCCATCACAGAGAAAGGGAAGCCTTAACATAGCGCTCTCAGTCTTTTAATAGATCAAAATGACTGAGATAAATGGGGATAGTAATGATTGAATAATATAACAAGCAAGATTAATTTTACATATTGTATATCAAAATGTGTCACCTGAGGAAATACACTTATTTCAAATAGTCATGACATGTTTACAAAAAATTGTTCATAGTCAAGGTCACAAAATCTATAATAAATTCTTAAAAGTAGATTTGTATGATCATATCTTTGAATTGCCAAGTTGTAAAGGTAAACTCGAATCTCAATTGCTTTTATAAAATAAGAAACAGTAAAAATAAAAAATAAAGAATCCAAGAATTAAGAAAATAGAAAAAAATTAAAAATCAGTAGAAAAACAAGAAGTTATACATGGTAACAGTAGCATGGGAATTAATGAGTTAGAAAATGAAGAAGTAATGGAAATTGGAAATAAAAATCCGAGAGCCATTCTTAAAATATCTGATAAATATCTGACAATCATAATAAAGAACAAGAAAAAATGGGATTAAACATAAACACACTCAAGATGTATCATGACATTCTAAGAGTAATTCTTGAAACTCAAAAAGATATAATTTTCAACCTATGTTATTTCTTTAGAAAATTTCAATGAACTGAATAACTTACTAATAAGAAATACTGAACAAAATGAACTCGAAAAGAAAAGACAAGCTTCATAGTCTGATTCAAAGGAATGGAGAAAATTTAAGTTACTTTCTGAAATTATCTTATCATCTCATACATGAGCCAAATCTTCTCATTGCTTTTGTTTCTTTTTATTTGTCTCCATCTGGGCTGCTCTGGTTGTGCCTATTCTCCAGCAGCTGAAGCCAGGTCAGTCTCCTGCTGGAACTATCATAGCTCTTTCAGCATTTCCAAAGCTAGATTATTCTAAAACAAAGTCTTGAATGTGCTCCGTCTGTCCAAGTTTTAGAGTCATTGCAACATAAAACTCCGGAGTATTTAAAAGATACAACTGAAGAAGTGTCAGGAACTCTACCAGAAACCAAAATCATGGTGTTTTTTTGTTGTTTGTTTGGTTGGCTTTTTTTTTTTTTTTGACAGAGTCTCTATCACCCAGGCTGGAGCGCAGTGGTGATCTCTGCTCACTGCAACTTCCACCTCCCAGGTTCAAGCGAGTCTCCTGGCTCAGCCTCCCAAGTAGCTGGGACCACAGGCATGTGCCACCAAGCCTGGCTAAATTTTGTATTTTTAGTGGAGACGGGGTCTCTCCATGTTGGTCAGGCTGGTCTCAAACTTCTGACTTCAGGTGATTTACCCACCTCGGCCTCCCACAATGCTGGGATTACAGGTGTGAGCCCCCATGCCCGGCCCAAAATCATGCTTTTATTCAATGGGCAAGTCTGATTCCCAATCTAGAATATTTTTCTATTCAAGTTTATAAGGCTTTTTCTATCCCTGATGTATGGGGTTAAAACCATTATTCATGATTAGGAACCAGAAGAAACAGTCAGAGGGCACGCAAATATGGAAAGGTAGAAAAACATATGAGCAGGATATAAAGTCACCATTGGTTAATACGCAAAACAAATGAAACAGGTAGAAAGCATCTTTGTAGAACCTATTCCAAATACATAATTTTACTTGATTTCTTTCCCCCCTTGAGATGGGGTCTCACCTGTTGCCAAGGCTGGAGTGCAGTAACATGATCTCAGCTTACTGCAGCTTCTGCCTCCTAGGTTCAAGCAATTCTCCCACTCCAGTCTCTTGAGTAGCTGGGATTACAGATGTCCGCTACTATGCCCGGCTAATTTTTGCATTTTTAGTAGAGACGGGGTTGCACCGTGTTGGCCAGGCTGGTCTCAAAATCCTGACCTCAGGTGATCCGCCCTCCTTGGCCTCCCAAACTGCTGGTATTACACGCATGAGCCATTGCGCCTGGCCTGATTTTTTAATATCCAAACGTTGAGCAATTAAGAACAGGAGCTGAGAAATATCTGAAATTAGCAAAAAGGGATCTGAAAAAAAAAAACGAAATATAGAGGCTCAGACCAATGTAAGATAACAACAGATAGATCACAGAAACATCAGAAGAATAAGAAGTCCATAAAGTTTTACACATTAGAGATTTTTCATTCCAGTACATATTGATAAAAATTTAATTTTTTAATTTTTTTTTTATTTTTTGTAGAGATGGGGGTTTCACTATGTTGCCCAGCCTGGTCTTGAACTCCTGGGCTCAAGCAATCCTCCTGCCTCAGCTTCCCAAAGTGCTGGGATTACAGGCATGAGCCACTGCACCTGGATGCTAAAAAAATTTTGTGACTCCTTAGAGATAAATAATTTAAAATCTATTTCAGAACATTTGCAAGTTCAGAACATGCAGACATCTTCTGTAGAAGATACGTAATTTGTTTTATGTAATTTTATTAGATAAATAGTGGGGTAGGGTAATGTATGCCTCTCTCTTATTGCAAAGTATGGGTTTAATCATTCTCTAATCATCATATTATTAACATTTTGAGATCTAGGGAATAAAAGCCCTCCAGATATTGTTATTGATTATAACCTTGACTGGGTTTACCCACCCCCTGAGAATTTCAATCATAATATAGACTTATTTCAGAATGAGACCTAAATCAGTGTTAACCTGTCTGGCAGTTCCACAAACTCAAATATAGTCTGACTTATCCTCTTCCTAAGTTTCATTCCTTTTCTGGAGTACACAGAAATACTGCATTTCTCAGCTTCTCTTGCAGTTGGGTTGAGACATGTGACTAGTTCTGGCCAATGAGCTTTAGCACAAGTGACATGAGTCCCTCTGGGCCAAAGGATAAAGCAACAGTGTTAAGTTTGCTACGTATTCTCTCTTCTGATGTTCTGCTTTATTATGGAAGCACCTATATCAAGATTGGAGAGCCACAAACTGAAAGAACCTGGGTCCCTTAGCCAGTATTTAAAGGGAGCTGTCCTGGAGAGATGGAAGCATCTGCTTTGCATGAAGAAGAAATATTTCTTTTCACACGAAGCTACTGAGATTTCTGGATTTGTTTATTACTGCAGCCTCACCTAGCCTATTCTGACTAAGAGCTTTTCCTTCCCAGCTGGACATCACAGTCACTATTATTCTTTATTGAAAATATACAGCTCCACATTTTAGACAACTCATTGTTTTACTAAGAATGTAGAAATGTTTATTATTCCACATTTTTGTATGCCTTGTACCTCTGTCTATACTGTCATTTCTAACACTAGTCCCAATAAATCACAATTATTTGGGGGCTAGGGAATGTTCAATGAATGTATATATATATATATATATATATCCTGTCTTGAAGCCTAAGTTGTTTCCTCTGCCTAAAATATTCTTTCCCTAGATATCTGCTTGGTTAACTCCCTTACTGTCTTTAACTCTTTGTTTACGTCTCAATTTCTCAATGAAATCTATACTGACTATCCTGGTTAATACTGCCACCTGCACTACACACACACACACACACACACACACACACACTTCAAATCCCTCTTATTTCATTTTTTTTCTACAGTGTTTCATTTTTTCCACAGTAAGTTTTACCTTCTTGTATGTTACATAATTTACTTGTTTATTCCAGGCATTGTCTGTCTTATATTCCTCTCTGTCCTGATTGTAAATTCCATTAAGGGTAAAAATTTAAATGTTTTGTTGATTGCCGTAAGAGTGTCTAGCAGCTAGTAGGCATTCAATAAATATTTATGGAGTGAAAAAACATTCATTTAGAGCAAGATCTGGTGCTGGGCACTAGAAGAAATACAAAGATCTGCAAAATGCCATTTTGTGCTTGGTATGGGTGAACTTAAAATCTAGCAAGAGAAAAAATGAAATTCAGACATCACTGCAGTGTTACATATGAAATGTGGTATATTCAGGAGATCGTAAGATTATTTACATGGGAAATGTGGTATGTCCAGGAGATGGTAAGATTATTTACATATGAAATGTGGCATGTTCAGGGGGTGGTAAGATTATTTACATGGGAAATATGGTTATGTCCAGGAGATGATAAGATTATTTACATATGAAATGTGGCATGTTCAGGGGGTGGTAAGATTATTTACATATGAAATGTGGCATGTTCAGGGGATGGTAAGATTATTTACATGGGAAATGTGGTATGTCCAGGAGATGGTAAGATCATTTACATATGCATATGAAATGTGGCATGTTCAGGAGATGGTAAGATTATTTACATGGGAAACATATGTTCAGGATATGTTAAGGTTATTTACATGTGAAATGTGGCATGTTCAGGAGATAAGATTATTTACATGAGAAATGTGGCATATGCTGGAGATGGTAAGATTCTTTCTAGCTTCAGCCGTGTGTGTGTGTGTGTGTATGTGTATGTGTGTGCGTGCATGCTGAGTGTTTGTTTATACCCTATAATGTTTTAGGTGCAGTTTCCCTCCTAAATTTGTCCTGCTCTCTCATACCTTGTAAATTTACCGATTCACGCTGCAGTTAAATGGTGCGGTTGTACCATAACCCTCAATATTAACAAAATAGGAGTAGTCCCAGACAGTGGAGAGTGTGTGTGGAGCTAACAGACCTGTGAAACTCAGGGCTGAGTCTGTTCTCCAAGGCTCCTCCAGGGTGTTTCTCATTACATCCCAACATGTCTGCCTTACGGGGGCCCTGGGGAGAAATTCATGGAAGGCTTAAGAGTCTGGAATAGTTTTGTATCTGCAGAATGATTGGTCTGTTTTTATCATACGGAGGGTATGAATTACATAATTAATCAGGTTTTTCTTTTCAAATAGTCCATTCTAAAGCTTAGCACCAAATTTGTGGTTCATCATTTGTGAAGGCATGGTCTTTTCTGGCTTGTTTTTTATTCTGTTTTCCTCATTCCCAGCTCCATTTTCTGTCTCTACCCTTGTTTTGGTTTTTTCCTTGCCACCTTTGTTTAAAGTGTGTTTATTTATTTATTTTATATCCCTTTAAGCTACTTCAAATCCTTTATGAAAAGTTAGGGGAAATATAAAGAGAGCAGTCCTTACATGTCTCTTTTGGGTACATCAGTGTACTGGGTCTAGGGAAAGGAAGATGAAGAAGAGATGCAAGGAAGAAAGAAAAAGAAAAGAAACATGACAGTGTCCCTGCCCTCAAGGAACTTGGGGAGTGATGGCCCAGAGCTCTCCATGGCTGCACTGCTCATTGATTTCTCCCCTCTCTGAACTCTAACAGCACTTAGAGTCAATAACACCTAATTTAGCACTTGATGATATACTGCCTGGTACTGTCTGCTTATTGTTTTATGTGGCTAAGTGTTGCCTTTTGGGCAGGGACCTTGTGTTAACTTCTCCTGTCTTCCCATAGTGAATAGTGCAGTTGCTCAGTGGATTGATTGATCGAGAAGCCATCCTTACCAGGAGGAGGATCTATGCCCCTTGGAAGTCAGAGACTGGTGCAGAGACACCCTTAGACCCGCTAGTCAGACAATGGCATTGACTGCCTCATCCATCCTTTCTGGGCTGCTGGGGTCTCTGAAGAACTGGACACTATGTATAGCTCTGTATGTCAGGTTTGGGTCTAAATGTGTTATTGTAAGGGAAATTGAAATGGTTTAATAATTATTGCATTCAGCAGAGATTTGCTGTTTCCTTACCCTGTGCCAGACACTGTGTTATGCTTTTGTAATATGTCAGTAAACAAAACATCCCTGCACTGATGGTGTTTACATGCAGGCAGCATGGGAATGGGAGAGTCAGATGTTAAGCATGAGATGTAAAACAGGTAAATTATATAGCATGCTAGAAAGAAGTAAGAGTTATAGAAAAATTTAAGAAGGTAGACATGAGAATCGGAGATTGAAAGTGCTATATGTGGACAGGGCATTGCAATCACAAATACAAAACAGCTGTAGGTGCTATGACCTGTAGCCAGATTCTAGAAATATTTTTTGAAGCTGGAGGATACGGTATTTCTGGGTTTGGATGGAAGATGTGAGAGAATGGAGTCAAGGATGACTCCAAGGTCTTAGGCCTGAATAAAAGGGCAGAATTGCTGCTTCCAGAGCTGAAGAAGACTCTGGGAGGTACTGATGTGGAAGCGAAGATAAGGGGTTTAATTTTGGACACACTAATTTTTACATATCTGTAGACATCCAAGTGAAGATTGGATATACTAGTCTGCTAGTGGAATGCTAGTTGGAAAGAAGTCTGGAACGGAAATGTGAACTTGGGATCCATTGGAATATAGATGTTATTTAAAGCCCTAAGACTGTAGATCACACATGATGAGAGCTGATAGGTGAAGAGGACCAAGGAGGGAACTGTGACCTTCCATCAGTAACAGGTACAGGTGAAGAGAAGGGATCGGCAAGAGAGCCTGAGAAGGTGTGGAGCAGAAATTCAGGAGAGAGTGGTATCCTAAAAACCAAGTAAAGAAAATGTATGAATGAGAAGGGCGTTATCAACCAGGGCAGACTCTGCTGTAGGGTCAATTTAGAGGAGGACAGAGAATTGATTTAGCAATGGTGAAGTCATTGGCGACCTTGATATGAACAGTTTCAATGGATTGGTGTGGCCAAAGGATTGACTGGAGTGAGTTTAGGAGAGAACGCTAAAAGGAGAATTGAAGACAGTGAATGAGGATAACTCTTGCAAGGATTTTGCTGCAAAGAGGAGTAAAGAAATAGATCAGTCACTGGGAGGGAAGTGAGAATCATAAGAAGCTATTTGTTTGTTTTTTATTAAGATGAGAGAAATAGCAATATAGGGATATTTTGTATGCTGATGAAACTGTTTTAGTAGAAAATGAAAAAAAAATGATGATGCAAAGGAGGGTAGAGAAGGGCAGTATTGCTGAAGTAATGTCCTTGAATATGCAAGAGGGAAATAGGAAGGAGTGCAGAGAGCCTGGCTTGAGGTGGGGCAGAGATCTTGGTAGGAGGCAGGAAGAGAGTATGTGGAGAAAGATACATGCTGCTGGTGAGTAGAGTATTGTCGTATGAGAACCACCATTTTTTTTATTACATAAATAGAATGTGCTAATATCAAAATATCAAAATCCCAATATCAAAAATCCCAATGAGGTGGTAGTTATCCTCCATATCAAAAATCCTAATGAGGTGGTAATTAGCCTCCATATTTTACCTGTAAGGAAACTGAGGCTAAGAGAGTGAAAATAACTTGCCCCAGGTCACACCATGGCTGGCAACTGGTAAATGCCAGAATCCAAGCCCACATTTTTCCTACTCCAGAACCCATAACAGTGACCATTGCTCTCTGTGGCTTCTGTGGGGGATGAGCCTGTGGTCCCTTAGGCTGGGGTCTCTGGGAGAGTAACTGGGTATCTCATCGCAGATTCCCACAAGGGCCACAAGTGAAATGGGACTTAGAAGGGCTACAGTCAGGACAATTTGTCACCTTTTCTCTCTTTCTGTCTAAATACTGGATTCCACGTAGCCCCAAATGAGAAGTCCAAGGGAAAAGCCTCCCCCAAGGATGGCATTGGCATTTAATGTTACCCTCCGAGAATCGAAGACATAGGGACATGGTCTAGAACCAACTAAGAAGATCGGAGAAGGAGATAGGAGATGAGGAGTGAGGTCTGACACGGATCCTCCGACATTAAGCTCTGTGCCATCTGCATGCAGACCTGTGTTTAGTACAGGAACTGAGTCCAGTCTATTCTATCCTCTGTATTACCTCCTGTAGAAGATAAGAGTCAAAAGATGGTTAAAATAGAGACCGCTTAGTCCGATTTCCCACCCAGGGGAGAGTGCTCTCAGGAATGACTCTACCAGACTCTTTTTAAACACCTCCATTGTTGGGGATTTCACTGCCTTATTGGACAATTGGCTCTATTATTAGGCAGCTACAATCATTAGGGTTTTTCCTTAAGCATTGCTGAAACCTGCTTTTTTTTACGCTCCCCACTAACTGGCTGTAGTGATGTAGTCACACCTGCTGTGAAAGTCAGGCTTTTGAAATTTCTGAATGATTCATCCTAAGTAGCTTCAGTGGAGGCAGAGGAGAATACTTCTTTCTACTAGCTTGTAAGCTCATGTGGTAGTCATAAGAGAAGGAACAGACAACGGCTGAGGGGGTCTCTGCTTTACCGAGCACTTGGCTGTGATGCTTTGGACCTTCTGAGTAGGCAGAGGAAGACTAGATTTGGTGTAAGCTCTGACTCTACCTCGATGTCCTGTAACTTGAACAACTCAGTTTCCTTCATCTGCATGGGCCTGCTTTGCCATGATTCTCTTAGCAGTGCTTGTCTGGAAGATGGTGGGCCAAGAGGCTCCCTGACTGCCCCTTCTCTTCCCACCAGACTTCTTTGATTTACCTTGAGTACTCCTTGCTTGTAATGCCCCATCCTTGGGGGAACTCTGACTTTCTCACTTATCAAAGTGACACATAGCTTGAAAGAGAAGCTGTCAACTCGGAAATGCCATCTTTCTTGCAGAAAGAAGATCTGTGAGGTGCCAGGGGCAATGATGGTAAATGGTCTGGACATGGCATGTGTTCTTCCTGCCTTGTCACAGAGTAGACAGGAAAAAGCTATTGTATAGAGCTCCCCAAAAGTGCGCTACCACTCCGGGCCCCCGGTATGCCCAGGAAGACCCATTGCTGCACTGAGGTAAAAAAGGGGCATATTTTCTCCCCCTTTTTCTTCCTGGAATCTCTAAATTGTTTCTACCCATTATAATTTTTCTCCCTTAGAACAGCTCTGTGAATAAGCCATGAATTAACAGAACATAATGTTCAAACCATGTCCGTTGTGGGCATGAAGTTCTGCTTTCGAAGGGGACACCAGAAGGGGTCCCCGGGCAGAAATTCAAATGCTCTGCCCGGCTGGTTGTTCCCTTGCCTCTCCCACAGCCGTGTCCCAGACGTTACAGCCCAGAAGCCAACACTGACAGGGAGAGCTATAGGTAGCTGGGCTGCCAGTGGCCAAAGGATGGTCCACCTGAGTTTGGAAAGTAGAGGACATGGTAAGATGTTTGGGCATGAAAAGTGGAAGGAACATTTCCATTTAAGCCCATTCTGTGATACCTTAGTGAAAACGTTTCCAGGCTGACAAACTCTTCTGTGCCTCTGAAAAGACCTCGGTATTTAGTATTCACTCTTGACCCCACCACACAATACGGAGCAGCCACTGATGGTGCCTGGTGCCATGTTTTTGGTGCTTCTTGCTGGGTGATGAATCACAAGGAAGAAACTGAAACATGTCCTGAACAAGTACCATAGCCCAGGTACCATGCTAAATACTTTCACATATGCTAGCACATTTAATCCTCCTTCTTGTGAAAAGCAAGATATTACTGAATCTCCCAGATAAGATAACCAAAGCTTACAAATGTTGTATAACTTAGTAAAGGGCTGAGCTTTGGTTGATTTAAGGTTTATGATTTAAGGTTGTTTAATCCTAGATTGAAACATAAGGTGTTTCCCCTGCATACGTCAAATTATGTTTGTGATAAATTCTAGAGAAGTATCTTGATTCTTCTCTGGATTTTGATTGTACGTTGCACTGTTTGCAATAAGTGGGCTAATAGGGATTTGGTACCTATAATTTGTTTTAGGATTTATAGGATGTTTTTCTTTGGAGTCAGTACTATCTTTTGGAGGGTGTGTCATGGAGGAATTGTCAATAAATCCTATCCTGGAGACAAAGT